>NC_000008.11:12587375-12890405 GCF_000001405.40 Homo sapiens | reverse complement strand
TCAGAGAAGTATGGGCAAGATGTTTAAATACATTTGTATCTATTTTAGTTTGCCCTATTTATAAGAATGCTTCAAATGTTGAGATGCTTATAAATTAGATGTTAATTAATTAAGTGAAAATGATGCAGGAAGAGATGCAGATTTATGTAAAAATAGCGTGATGGAATTGGGCTCTGCGCTAAAGTCAAGTTATGCAAATACAACTGACTGCATTGATAATTGTAAGAGAATTTATCCTTCTAAGAAAGGAATGTTATTTAAATATGTTAAATATATTCTACCAGATAGTGAATATTTATAATACCAACTAATTTTCTATTTAAGATGATGTATATTTAATGTTATGCATTTCTAGTTCTTCTTTTGAAATAATTTTATCTTCAATATTAGTGCTTTTCTTCTCTTATGCATGAGTGTATAGGTCTCATATTTGTTACAGTTTCTCAAACTTAACTTTAAGTTTAAATCTTTTGCCCATTTTTGAAAGTTAGATTGTCCTCTTTTGTCCTTCCTTCCTTCCTTCTTTCCTTCCTTCCTTCCTTCTCTCTCCTTTCTTTCTTTCTTCTTCTTTCTTTCTTTTTTTGACAGAGTATTTGTTATAGAACAATTTCTCAAATTTAATTGATGCTTTTATTTTCTATCTTTGCTTTAAAAAGCAATTTTATTTAGTTTTAATGTACACACCTGCACAAATCTTAAATGCACTACTCGATTAGTTTTTACAAATGTATATATTGACATAACTAACATTCAGATCAAAATATAATACATTTGTAGAACCTTAGAAGTCACCCGCCATACCCTCTCCCAATTCATACTCAACCCTGCAGAGGTTACTGCTGTTTTGATTTCTATTGCTGTCAGTTCATTTTGCCTATTTTTGAACTCTATGTAAGTGGAATGATATAAGTTATACTCTTTTGGGCCTGGCTGTCTTCCCTCAATACCATGTCTCTGAGATGGAACCATGTTGCATATGGTTTGTTCTTTTTCATAGATGTGTTATTAGATGCTATTTATGAATATACCAAAACTTATTTATTTCTAGGGATGGACAGATTTCCAGTGTTAGACTATTATGAATAAGTCTTACATATTAATTGGGTAGACATACGCACTCATTTCTCTAGAATAAATAGGAGTGGAACTGCTGGGGCATAGGATAGGCCTATATGGAACCTTAATAGATATTTTGCTAAATAGCTTTCTGAACTGTAACCATTTAAATTCATGCCAGCAAGGTATGAGAGACTGGGTATTGTCAGCTTTTCGAACATTTTAGCCATTCTGGAGAGTGTATAATATATTGTGGTTAAATTTGCATTTCCCTGATGATTAATTTTGTTGAGATTCTTTTCATATGCTTGTTGGTCATTTGGATATCTTCTAGTGAAGTGCCTAAGGCCTGTTTAAGTCTTTTGCCCGTTTTTGAAAGTTGCATTGTGTCCCTCCCTTCCTTCCTTCCTTCCTTCCTTCCTTCCTTCCTTCCTTCCTTCCTTCCTTCCTTCCTTCCTTCCCTCCCTCCCTTCCCCTCTGTCTCTTTCTCTCTTTCTCTCTTTCCTTTCTTTCCTTTCTTTCTCTTTTTTTTGACAGTCTCACTCTGTCACCCAGCCTGGAGTACAGTGGCATGATCTCAGCTCACTGCAACCTCCCCATCCTGGGTTCAAGCAATTCTCGAGTCTCAGCCTCCCAAGTCGCTGGAATTACCGGCACGCACCACCATGCCCGGTTAATTTTTTTTGTATTTTTAGTAGAGATGGGGTTTCTTCATGTTGGTCAGGCTGGCCTCAAACTCCTGACCTCAAGGGATCCACCTGCCTCGGCCTCCCAAAGTGCTGGGATTACAGGCGTGAGCCACCATGCCCAGCCTGGATTGGCTTTTTCTTATTAAACTATCGGATTTCTATCCCAAACATGAGTTTTTTTAACAGGTATATATGCTGTGACTATCTTCTCCTAGTCTTCAGTATCTCTTTTTACTCTTTGAATGGTGTCTTTTCGTCGTTAAAAATAAGTTCTTAACCTTCATGAAGTTTAGATTTATCAATAGTTTCTTGTATAGATAGTACATTCCATGTCCTGTTAAATAATCTTTTGCCTCCCCAAACAAAAAACCATCATGAAATGGAAACAAAAGTTTTAACATTTCTCATATAACCTTCAATCTTCCACAAATACATATGTAAATTCCCACTTTGACTGTAATCCTAGCACACTGGGAGGCCGAGGAAGGTGATCACTTGAGGTCAGGAGTTTGAGACCAGCCTGGCCAACGTGATAAAACGTCGTCTCTACTAAAAATACAAAAATTAACTGGGCATGGTGGCACACACCTGTAGCCCCAGCTACTCAGGAGGCTGAGGCAGTAGAACCTGGGAGGCGGAGGTTGCAGTGAGCCAAGATTGTACCACTGCACTCCAGCCTGGGTGACAGAGGAAGAATACGTGTCAAAAAAATAAGTAAATAAATAAAAATTCCCACTTTGAGAGCCATTGCTGTACTACATTGTTATAGAACATCTGTAAATAAATAGCTTGTAAATAAATAGCTTTCCTCCCCACAAAACACCAAAATACCTACATGGGAGTACTGAATTTTAAACTCAATTGACAAGGAGTTTTAACTTTAGAGGAGTACTCAGAAATTGTATATTAAATAAATATAATGTATATATTGTTAAGTATATATTAAATAAATGTTTATGCTCTACTGTGTTTCAAAGGTTCAGTAATATTAAAAAATTCTAAACAAAGGAGTGTAAGATAAGGAATCAATTCACTTAAAAGCTTTGGAGCAAATCCCTGCTCCTCCCTCTGCCTCGATGCCCAGTTGAGACCACTGATCTCTCCCCTTGACCCACTTTTTATCACCACACAACACACTCACACTGTCACACACACACATACACACACAAAGGCATTGGTCCCAAGGGAAGAACACACACAACTGAAATATTTCAGTTAGAGCATTTGAAACTTGCTCTAATTGGACAGACCACAAACACAATAGATGGCTTATAATGACTGAACTATTGTTGAATTTGTCTTTAATGATTAATTACGTGCCCATTTTTTAAAATAAAAAAATACATGGAGAATCATTATTCCAAACAAAGGAATGTGCTTGCATTTTCCCATTCTCATTAATCAGATTATCATACAATTACATATCTATACATATATATATATATATGAGATTTCAACTGATTAGGCATATTAAAACATAATTACTAGGCCAGGTGCAGTGGCTCACACCTGTAATCCCAGCACTTTGGGACGCTGAGGCAGGCGGATCGCTTGAGGTCAGGAGTTTGAGAGCAGCCTGGCCAACATGGCAAAACCCTGTCTCTACTAAAAATACAAACATTAGCTAGGCATGGTGGCATGTGTCTGTAATCCCAGCTACTTGGGAGACTGAGGTGGGAGAATCACTTAAACCTGGGAGGCAGAAGTTGCAGTGAGCCAAGATCATGCCACTGCACTCCAGCCTGGGCAACAGAGTGAGACTCCATCTCAGAAAAAAAAAAAAAAAAAAACCCACAAACAAAAAACATAATTACTGAACCTAACTTTTCTAATTTTTAAGGCTCTAAAAAGTTCATAAACATTGGGGTCTTAGGTAGTAGCATGCCCTTATTCAGTAGCACCCCAAAATTCAAATTAGTCTTTCTACATGGCTTCTATGTATAAATGGGAATTTACTCTGTAATTACATACAAAAGACTTCTCTCTCCAATGAAGTTCTAACTACAAATAGAAACACACTAAAGGTTAATGTGCCTCATTAGAGTCAGAGAAAATCGGTGAAATAGTTGACATTCTATTTAAAATCTTAGAGCTGAGAATCTTCCTTCGACATCCAGTGATGAGAATTCACAATACCAAGAATATGTATTTTCTGAGTGTGGACCTTTTCCAGTTTCCCATGATTATTATGGAAAAACCCTCAGGGCAAGAATATTAAGTACATTTTTCTTCTTGTTAATTCATTTTCTAATGCCTTATTTATGAAAATTTTTGTTCACATGTGAACAATACATGCAAGCAAAGGATTACAGGTGCTTTGCTAGAAGGGGCTAAAGAAAGCAGTGAGCTGCAGATTGAGAAGGTCCGTTCCACTTAGGATGGAGAGTGACTCCAGAAGCTTTCCCTAGCCATACAGCCACTTCCGAAAGAGGACCAGCCTCAGTGCTTCTCCTTCATGTCTGCTCTTCCTCTGTGTTCTTTTCCTGTTCTCATCACTGTTGTTCTGTTTTCCAAAAATGTTTTCTTAGCTATCTTATCACTAGCACAATCCAACCAGTCAGCAGAGAGTAACTCTACAGGAATACTCTCACAGCTGTGAGAATATGGAGGTGGAAGGCAGTGATCTGGAAGACTCTGTATTAGTCCATTTTCATACTGCCATGAAGAAATACCTGAGACTGGGTAATTTATAAAGAAAAAGAAGTTTAACGGACTCACAGTTCCACATGGTTGGGGATGCCTCACAGTCATGGTGGAAGATGAAAGAGGAGCAAAGGCATGTCTGACATGGCAGCAGGCAAGTGCGCGTGTGCAGGAGAACTCCCCTTTATAAAACCATCAGATCTCATGAGACTTATTGACTATCTTGAGAAAAGCACAAGAAAAATCCACCCTCATGATTCAATTACCTCCCACCAGGTCCCACCTATGACAGGTGGAGATTATGGGAGCTACAATTCAAGATGAGATTTGGGTAGGGACACAGCCAAACCATATCAGTTTCCTTTAGTGTCTGCTTTGCAAAATTCATGTCTGCCCTGGGCTCAATGTCAACAGACCACTGATGAATAATAAAGTAGCTAAGAGACTGCTGAGGGTGTATGCTTACAAGAAGACCTCAGACCAGAAAGATACCTTATAGCTGTGGGAAAGCTCTAGAAGCCTGACTTAGGTGGCAAAGGTACAGAAAATTTAATCATCTGTGCTTTAGCTTTAGCATTCTAATAAAGGTTGGATTTGCAGTGATCCATTCTGTGTTGCAATGTTCCCTCCTGTTCTTCAGTACATTTCATTCTGTTCTAGTTGGAGCAGAACCAAAGTTCAAATAGCAAGAAGCATTCTAATGCTATATTTTTAACAATTAGATCTCCTTAGGAGATTTTGTGCAATAATTAGGATGGATATGAAATGGAGTGCTGGTGAGCTGCTCTCCCTCAGCTCACAAAAAGTGCGTGTGTATGCTGGGTTGGATTCCAAGGAGGTC
Organism: Homo sapiens; assembly: GCF_000001405.40. Classification (NCBI taxonomy): domain Eukaryota; kingdom Metazoa; phylum Chordata; class Mammalia; order Primates; family Hominidae; genus Homo; species Homo sapiens. The sequence continues at coordinate 12,885,176 of NC_000008.11, read as the reverse complement.
TAGGTTTCCACTAGGTTTTTTTTTCCTGCTTTTCCTGAAACTTTACAACTAATACTTGAACACCATCCTCACCAGAGCAATTCTGAAAACTAATTTATATGTATTTACATAAGAAAAATGAAGAAATATAGACAGAACAATCTGAGCCAAAGAAATTGTGCCTTATGCATTTGACAAAAACCTCCTAATTCTTTCAATCATAATGTGCTAGACTTGTCAATCCTCCCAGCTTATTTTTGTTTTTTTAATTCTTTCCCAAAATGTTACACTTATTTATTTGTTGCACTGGAGCAAAAAATATTTCAAGATTATATCTCAGTAATTTTAAATTTGGAGGACATTTTTATTAAATGGGAAGGAATTTGGGACTTTTTGAAGGTTTGAATCTCTCAGTGGGAAGGAAAAAAGTAGGGAGTGAGAGAGGGAGAGAATGTGTGTGTGTGTGTGTGTGTGTGTGTGTGTGTTGTCTTAAGAGATACAGGGGTATGGTACAGGGGGAAGAAAGAGACATTTGCAAGGAAATTACAATCCTTTCTCCATTGTGAATTGAAACAGTGCAAATCTTCTTATGGTCTAATACTGCCTAGATCTGGGGTAGTAAGCTATTATAAATACTGGTGCCTGAAATCCCTGATTCCACGTGAGACATACAGGATCAAGTGGAAACTGTATAATTTTGTTCTAATTACTTTGTTCAAAACGTGTCTTTACCAACTATAAGTCTATTGCCCTAACTTCTGATGTTGTCTTTTAAGACCCCCAAATTAAAATCCCAGTTCTGTAGACATTGTTACCAGCAGATATCTTTTTTCTTCTCTTTTCTTTTAAGAGACAGGGTCTTGTGCTGTCAACCAGGCTAGAGTGTGGTGGCACAATCATAACTCACTGTAACCTCGAACTCCTGGGCTTAAGTGATCCTCCTGCCTCAGCCTCCCAAGTAGCTAGGAATAGAGGCATGTACGACCACACCTAGCTTATTTTTTAAAAAATTTCTGTAGAAACAGGGTTGCCCAGGCTGGCCTCGAATTTCTGGCCTCAACCAATCTTCCTTCCTTAGCCTCCCAAGTTGCTGGGATTACAGGTGTAAGGCACTGTGCTCAGCTCACCAGCAGATATTGTGATGTTTCCACAGATAAATTGTCAAGATTCAGGTGCCCAGTGTGAGTGGAAAAGGTAAGACTCACGTTTAACTGAGCTTATACTTATTAATATTTTAGTGTACAACTCCTGACATTTGTTCTGATTCACTAGGTCTCTAAAACTGTTATAGAACACAAGAGATAAGACATCTTTACCCACACATAGGTGAAGTAGAAAACCACCTAATTCATAAATTTAAAGCTCAAACATTTCCCTACTTTTAAACATTTTCTGTATTGGTTTGAATTGTTTTCCTTGTTGGGGCTGACATTGTTGTCCTGTGGTTATAATAGTTTCTTGAAAGGCTGAGTTTGTTAATGGTTCTGTTTCCTGTATGATCTTTATTTCCACAGTTGTCAGCTCTTCTGAGTTTGGTGCCATTCTTTCATGATACTGATTTTTCCAAAATGTTTGATGATTGTAGTTGTTTTTTCTCATATTTATATTTGCTTCTGTGTAACAGGAGTGAGTGTTGGGAGAGCTGAAAAGACTTTTCCTTTGGACAGTGGTTGTTGGTGCTGATAAATATATGTGGGATTCATCAAGCTCTTATCTGTACCTAAAAAAATTGATAATATTTGTTCCAATATTTTCATTGTTTTTTATAACCATCTGTCTTGGTGTTGGTGTTCTTTATGCCGTCTGTTTTGGTTTAAGTGGAACTTGCCATTCTCAATAAGAGAAAAATATTCTACTTACTGAAGAGAAGGGTTTGTTGAGATGCATTTGAGTGTATGTGGGAAGCGCAGACAGAATACGTGAGTAAAGTCTAATTGTTGGCATGAAACAAGACTCCCCCTCCTAAATAAAAATACTGTCTTCACTTCTTTTTCACCACTTCTTTCTAGTGAGATGTTTCTCTGCCTTACCCTTTTCCAGTGTCCAGTGGAAACTTAAAAGCTTCCAAGTCTATTATTAAAAAGTCAAAAACTAACAAATGTTGGCGAGGGTGCTAAGAAAAAGGAACACTTATACAGTGTTGGTGGGAATGTAAATTAGTTCAGCCACTGTGAAAAGCAGTTTGGAGATTTCGCAAAAGAACTGAAAATAGAACTACCACTCGACCCAGAAATCCCATTACTGGGTACCCAAAGGAAAATAAATAGCCCTACCAAAATGACACATGCACTTGTATGTTCATGACAGTGCTATTCACAATAGCAAAGACATGGAATCAACCCAGGTGCCCATCAATGGTGGACTGGATAAAGAAAATGTGGTACATATACACCATGGAATACTATGCAGCCATAAAAAAGAATGAAATGATGTTCCTTGCAGCAACACAGATGCAGCTGCAGGCCATTATCCTAAATGAATTAACACAGAAACAGAAAACCAAATACAGCATGTTCTCACTTGTAATTAGGAGCTAAATCTTAAGTACACATACACATAAAGATGAGAACAATGAACACAGGGGACTCTAAAAGAAGGGAAGGAAGCAAGGGCTGAAAATCTTCCTGTTGGGTACTATGTTTACTATCTGGGTGATGGGATCAGTAGAAGCCCAAATCTCAGCATTAATGTAATATACTCAGGTAAAAATCCTGCACATATGCTCTCTGAATCTAAAATAAAAGCAGAAATAAGAAAAACAAAAACCTGACTTCTCACAATGGCTCACACCTGTATTCCCAGCACTTTGGGAGGATCACTTGAGCCCAAGAGTTTGAGACCAGCCCGGGTGACATAGCAAGACCTTGTCTCTACAAAAAATACAAGCAATAGCCAGGTGTGGTGGTGTGTGCCTGTGGCCCCAGTTACTCAGGAGGCTGAGGTGGGAACATCACTTGAGCCTGGGAGATTGAGGATGCAGTGAGCCATGATCATGCCACTGCACTCCAGCCTGGGCAACAGAGTGAGACTCTGTCTCAAAAAAATCCCCCCATGCCTGGAGCGGTGTCTCACGCCTGTAATCCCAGCATTTGGGAAGCCGAGACAGGTGGATCACGAGGTCAGGAGATTGAGGCCATCCTGGCCAACATGATGAAACCCTGTCTCCACTAAAAATACAAAAATTAGCAGGGCATGGTGGCACGTGCCTGTAATCCCAGCTACTCGGGACACTGAGGCAGGAGAATTGCTTGAACCTGGGAGGTGGAGGTTGCAGTGAGCCAAGATCGCGCCACTGCACTCCAGCCTGGGTGACAGAGCAAGACTCCGGCTCAAAAAAAAACATCCCCCCAAAAACAAACAAACAAAAAACCCTCCAAGCCTCATTGCTGAGAGACTGATGCTGCAGTATAATACTCTGGGTAATAGTGAGGACCTTGTTCTTATGTTAGGATTCTTTCCTACACAAACTTCTTGAAGTATATTGGGTGTCACCTGAGACACTTTAAAAAATGACACCCAGCTTAGTTACCTCTGAATCTGGGACTGAAGTTGGTAAGGGTCTTAGGGCCCATGTCTACTGTTTCATCTTTCCATTTATAATTAATATAAACCAAGTTCTACTGTTAGTGATTTTGAAATCACTGAATCTTGTATCTGGACTTAGAGTTGTAATCATAAACTTTATCTCTCTGCATCAGGTTTTCATGCAGTGCTCCCAGTTAAAATGCAGATTCATGAGGCCACACCCACAGCCGCTTGGATTCAGCGTAACTGGAGACGGGTGCTGGTTCTGGGATTTCCTTTGATGAAGGAGTACTCCAAAGAGTCTTTGGTAAATGGAATTTGGGGAACCATTGATCTAGTGATTGCCTCCCTATCTGTGTCAGTTAAACATCAATTTGGTTGACACTTCCAATGGGTGAACATACACTCTTTTATTTAATATGGAGTCTCCAAAGAGACTTCTACAAGAGGCCAAATCATGTAGAATTTTCAAAGCCAAGGGAGAGAGTTTGGATTTTAAAGTGTGAAAGGAAGATTTTCCGAGTTTTATACACAAAAGAGTGGTCTGATTCAGGGCTTGTCTAAGACCCTGCACCTAATTTTCTTTTTAAAATTTTATATTCTTTCTCTTAAAGAAGATCCCCAAATTGTGTACGTTTTTGATTCCCCAAATCCTGGATCTGCTATGGCATGTAAAGGGCCTAGGAGGGTACCTGGCACACATGACATCCTCAGTAAATGGAGGTTTTCTCTCTTCGTGTCTTCTTCTTCTTGAAAGTCATACCTTACCTTATTCATTTATATCTCCAGCTCAGTGAGTGACACGAAGGGACATTCTTTTTATTTTCTTTTCTATTTTTGAGGACAAAGTCTTGCTCTGTTCCTCAGGCTGGAGTGCAGTGGTGCAATCATAGGTCACTGCAGCCTGGAAATCCTGGGCTCAAGTGATCCTCCCACCTCAGCCTCCCCAGTAGCTGGGATTATAGGCATGTGCCACCATGCCCAGCTAATATATTTTAAAACATTTTTTATAGAGATGGAATCTCACTATGTTGCCCAGGCTGGTCTTTACTCCTGGCCTCAAGTGATCCTCCCACCTTGGCCTCCCAAGGTGCTGGGATTACAGGCATGAGCCACTGCTCCCAGCCTAGCACCGTTAAACAGTTACTGAGTGACTGATAGAAAGTAGGGCAGGAAGAAAAGAGAACTGACTTTTTGCTCTTTTCCTTCTCATACCACTGAGTATTTTGTTAAAAACTCCTCGTTTATTTTAACTTCAGTAAATGCAAAAAAACTTCAATTGATAGACAGTAGAGCCTTCCTGACATGCACAACTATAGTTGTTTCTTTTCATTTTTGCTTTTTTTATTGTTGGTGGTGTTTTTGAGACAGAGTTTCGCTTTTGTCTCCCAGGCTGGAGTTCAGTGGCGCAATCTCGGCTCACTGCAACTTCCGCCTCCCAGGTTCAAGCGATTCTCTTGCCTCAGCCTCCCAAGTAGCTGGGACTACAGGCACCCGCCACCACACCCGGCTAATTTTTTGTATTTTTAGTAGAGACGGGGTTTCATCATGTTGGCCAGGCTGGTCTCAAATTGGATGGAATAAGTGATAGATATCAATTTTATGGGGAATACATTGTTCCTGATTTTGCCAAAGTGCTGGAAGGAAACAAGAATCTTGGAATAAATGCTCTCTGTTATGTTGATTGTGAAACTCATAGGCTGCTGACATTTTGAGAAAACTTTCACAGGTTTTCAAAGATATTAACTGGAGGAAATGTGAAAATGTCTATTGCTTTTTTACTCTGAGTAGCAGATACTATATACAAAAATGCACATGTTTTTGATATTTTGCAAACGTCAGTCATTATTGCTGGATCTTAATTATTACCCTGATTAAAAACTTTAAAGATTACCCTCTCCTCATAATATATTTACAGAAATGCCATAATCATCTCAGCAGAAATATACATTCAATTTTAATTTTCTTTAAAAAAGAGGCTTCCTTTTATCTTGACTTCTGGGATTGCGACTTCCTCCTACCTTTCTGTTTCATCTCAGTCTTCTTTATGGACTCCTATTATTCTTTTTTCCTCTTAAAGCCTGACATTTTTCAGGTTTATGTCCAAGTTCTCTTTCTTTCTTTTTATGATCTCTTCGGAAAACTTCACCATCTTTCTGGCTTCATTTGCCTCCAGTGTTTCCAGATTTTTACCTTGAGCCCCAGGCCCTTTCTTGATTTTGTGAGACTTACAACCGAGTGTCCCTGGAAGGCTAGGATACAGATCGGAGAGGTTCACTCACCATGCTCAGAAGTCATCTGGTTCAAGACCTTGGAGAAGGAATACTGTGTTCTAGTGTTAGGGCCCCTGACAGAGGAAATGCACAGAAGTGAAAGCTAAAAAGGTCTACAAACAAATTGTCAATGGAGACACAATAAAAGGTGGATAATACTTCCTAATTAGTTTCTGTAATTGAAAATTATAAAATTAAGATGAACTGATTATTTCTATTTTCACTAATTTGGTGGATTACTCCCCATTAATCTGAAAGAGAGTGGTTTTTACTTCTCAGAGACTCTCCACTCCCGGGACATGAAGAGGTGTCGTTTTAAAAGCTCCCCTCTGTCTGATGTATGGCATGATTAGGACCAAGGGTTCTCTCTCCTCCAGGCTCTATGCTCAGCATTTTATAGATACTAACTTTACCAGTTCTCACACTGACCATGAGGAATGTGACTATGAAGAAACAGATTCAGAGAGCCTAAGCAATGTGCTCAGGATTACACAGCCAGCCTGGAGCCAGGATTCAATGACAGTTCTGTCTGACTCCCAAAGCCTGGGCTCTCTATACAACATCACACTGCTTCTCAAAGAAAGACAGTCATTCTTTTGGTTTTTTTTTTTTCTGTTTTTCAACTTTTATTTTAAGTTCAGGGGTACTTGTGCAGGATATGCAGGTTTGTTACATAGGTTAATGTGTGCCTTGGTGGTTTACTGCACAGATCATCCCATCACCTAGATATTAAGCCCAGCATCCATTAGCGATTCCTCCTGATTCTCTCCCTCCCCTAACGCTCTGCACAGCTGTCCAGTGTGTGTTGTTCACCTCTACGTGTCCATGTGTTCTCATCAATCAGCTCCCACTTATAAGTGAGAACATACAGTGTTTGGTTTTCTTTTCCTGTGTTAGCTTGCTGAGGATAATGGCTTCCAGCTCCATCCATGTTCCTGCAAAGAACATGATCTTGTTCCTTGTTATTTATTTATTATTATTATTTTTTGAGACAGAGTCTCACGCTTGTCGCCCAGGCTGGAGTGCAGTGGCACAATCTCGGCTCACTGTAACCCCCGCCTCCCAGGTTCAAGCGATTCTCCTGCCTCAGCCTCCCAACTAGCTGGGATTACAGGCACCCAACACCATGCCCGGCTAATTTGTGTATTTTTAGTAGAGACGGGGTTTCACCATGTTAACCAGGTTGGTCTCGAACTCCTGACCTCAAGTGATCCACCCGCCTCGGCCTCCCAAAGTGCTGGGATTACAGGTGTGAGCCACTGCTCCCGGCCAGTCTTGTTCCTTTTTATGCCTGCATAGTAACCCATTGTGTATATGCACCACATTTTCTTTATCCAGTCTATCACTGATAGGCGTTTAGGTTGATTCCATGATTTTGCTATTGTAAACAGTACTGCACTGAACATATGTGTACACGTATCTTTATAATAGAATGATTTCTATTCCTTTGGGTGTATACTCAGTTATGGGATTGCTGGGTCAAATGGCATTTCTGCCTCTAGGTCTTCAAGAAATCACCACACTGTCTTCCACAATGGTTGAACTAATTTATACTCCCAGCAACATTGTAAAAACATTTCTTTTTTCTCCATAACCTCACCAGCATGTGTTGGTTTTTTTGTTTTTGTTTTTGTTTTTTTTACTTTGTAGTAATAGCCAATCTAATTGGTGTGAGATGGCATCTCATTGTGGTTTTGATTTGCATTTCTCTAATGAACAGTGATACTGAGCTTTTTTCATATGTGTGTTGGCTGCACGAATGTCTTGAGAAGCATCTGTGCATGTCCTTTCCCCATTTTTGAATGAGGTTGTTTGATTTTTCTTGTAAATTTGTTTAAATTCCTTGTAGATTCTGAATATTAGACCTTTGTCAGATGGCTAGATTGCAAAAATTTTCTCCCATCCTGTAGGTTGTCGAAAAACGTCTTACTATCCATATATGGGGAGGTAACTTCACAGCCCAGTACTCCCATGCTTGAGAGAAAAATGGGGCACAATTTAAATGGCATTGCCTTTTAAGTTCTCATGTATCCCCCCCAAAATGAAATGCATTCTTAAATTCCATTTGTGTATATATAGCATATGCTATCGAAATGAGCTAAAGTTTCCATATTTTAACAGATATAGTAAAAAACTCCATTGTGGTCCATAAATTTAAAATGAATTGAATTTCAAAATTGTTTTAAATGGACACAAAAGACACTATCTCCAAATTGAGTTGATTTTGCCATGGCTCTGAAAGGTAATGGATACACATGTCTCTCTGAGACATGTTCCTCTATTACAACACTGTCTTTCCAAGATTAGTAAAGCAGCCACGGAATTTGCTCACCCTTTCTAACCAAACCTACCTAAGAGGGATGGAGCAAATTGCCTCTTGGTGCATCTCACTCCTGTATCCTTGAGAGGCATTTAAGTGAGTCTCAGAACCTGAAGTCCTGATGGCTATGCTCTAGTAGAAATGCAGTTTTTTCTTCAAGGCACAATCATTTTACATAGTTTCAGTAAAATTGGATTGCATAGGTTGTATCATGTGAAGAAGACAATTCAGGAAAGGCAGGCAACTGAAAAATCTAAAAGACAAGCAGCTATAGTTGCATTACAGAACAAAAGCAAAATAGGAATCAAATCTTGCTTGGAATCACATATTGAAGAATAATTCTGAGTAAAGAAGAAAACGTGGTGTTGCAGAAAGTGATTTATTAGCTCTCGGCATCTGGAGACTGCTCTCCAGAGATACTTTCCTCTCTTCTTCCCACTGGCTAATTAAATGGGAGGAGGGTGCCCACGCAAGGAGAGCTTGCAAAATACTTTATAACCTGGACTATTCACCAACATCAAATAGCATTAGGGAATGGCTGAAAGCCACACATGGGAACCTTTCAGTCCAACCAAACCAGGAAAGGGCTCAGAACATCAGCTAGTGAGTGGAGGGGAAAATCTCAGAAGTTGCAAAGATGTGCAGGTTCATTTCACAGAGCCCTCCCTGAAAAGCCAGAGCACTGACCATATCAAAGACTCCCATTTGAAAGAGATTGCCAAAAGGAGTTTTCAAACGATAATGTCTACCAATGGAATGTATTTAAGAACAGAAATAAGAAGTTAAGTTAAAATTAAATGAGTAAGTAGAGAAAAAGGATACACACTTAGAAATAAAGTAACCTTATGCATAACATGTTCAGGAAGCAAAATATAATCAATAGCAGATACAAAGCAAATTTTTGGCTGTCAGGAACAATACAATATTCAAAAAGTAAATGAAAATTCACTAATAGCTTAGTGACCTTTATTATTCTAGGGTCGTGTCATAAAACCAGTTAAAATTATATTTGTTTGGCTGTTCTAGTCCAAATGCTCCACTAAGAAAATTTCTCTCCCAAGCTAAAGATGTGAAGGAACTTGCAAAGTGTCTATTAACAATTATTGAAAAGTAATTTGTAAATGTGAAGGAACTTGCAAAGTGCCTAGTAACAATTATTGAAAAGTAATTTATCTTTTAAAAAGCCATTGATTAAAAGAGACATCAAGATGCAGTAGGAATGATTAAGAGACATCTTCTCAGATGGATGGGGGAAATTAAGCAGAGAGGCAAGAATGAGCCATCTGGAGGGCTTTCAGCTTAGAAGAGTCCGTGGATTTAAAGGATCACTGTATTTTTCCTTCCATGGAGATTTATTTGAAACAACAAAGCTGAACCGAGCAAATGGGAGAGAAAAGGAAGTCTGGAAGACACCAGTGAAACAGGGACTAATTAAAAAAAAAAAAAAGAGTAGGGAACGAATGTGCTGCCCTGGACCTGGGTGATCAGCCGAACCTCCCCTGGCTAACATCGCTGGAAAGAGGCCTTGCTGCTTGGTAACAGTGATGCAGTGATTGGGATGTCTAGTTGTGAGAACACAGCAGAGAGATGACCTTTCTAAAAAGTCCTTAACAATGTTTTAAAGGGGGAAGAAGAAATATGAACATTTAGGACTAAATAGGAATAAGCTAGCCTACCTATTATTTATAGGTGAAGAAAGGAGATCCAGGGATTTGTTAGAGCTACAAGCTCGCTGTGCTGTTCAAGGACATCCCACTTACCCTAGCCACGTCTTCTTTCTACTACAGAACAGGTAGTGCTAAAGAAGGCTTTATAATTGGTAGCTTGAAAGGCTAAAAGTGATCTGATCTGTTTTTGTGTCATATGCTTTGGGAAAGCACGTTAATTATCCAACTTTTGTCCAGTAGAATATATTACAATCAAAGCTCCCATACCTTTGCACAAGATAACGACATCTGTGCTTTGAACATCTCCTCCTTTGTCTGCCTGGAAAACTTAACTTCTTTTTATTAAAAATTCTGCTCAAGAGCCCCTCTCTCTGATGCCTCCTCCAATCCCCCCAGTCAGAATTCACATCCTTCTATTCTAGCTATCTTAAACATGGTTCTATTTTGTATGTATCACTTCTTTCTGTTGTGTTTATTTGCATATAAGTCTGTCTCCTATGCTAGATATTGAGTGTCTGGAGAACAGACATGGTATTTTATATACATTAATATGTCCAGTAGATTCCATGGCTCCTGGTAACATAGGAACTATTCAATTAATGTTTGTTAAATTGAGCTAACTAGGACTAACCACCGATTGTTTCTACTCCAGGCTCCCCAGCTGTAGGCACAAAGACTTTGATCCTACAGGCTTAGTCCTGCCACGATATCCTCAGGGCTCCATTAAATGTGGGATCCCACTTTAAACTTCCATATGTCTCCAAATGACCCTCCGGGGAAGAAGAGTCCTGTGTTACTTCTCAAGCAGTGTGTTAGTGGCCTGTCACCTGCTGAGATCTTGCATCCCCCATTCCTTCGGGAGTTTTATTCTGTCTTGGTTCCTACCAATGACTTTTCAGAGCTGTGCTGCTAATGCCCACATGACCACTAGTGCTGCTGCTGTTTGAGACACTTCTTGACCCTCCCTCAACAGCCTGGATTCCCTGGCTTATCCAGCAGCTTGGAACACATACGTATTGGCCAAATTGTGCTGAATACTGCAGTTTACACTGGGGCTCTTTCTCTCCCCACCCTTATCTCTTCTCCCCCTCTCTATCCCTTCTCCCCACTTGTAATAAGGCCAACTCTATGCAGACTCCATTCTGAAAGTATCAAAATCTAAACATTCTCAGCGTCATCCATTCACACAATATCCAGTGAGTGCTTCTGTGCTAGGTACTGACCCGCCAGTGGGGAAGTAACAGTGAATAAGGCAGTCGGGGTTCCCATCTTCTGTGATCTTCAGGACTATTCCCTCCTATTAAGGATGCTCAGTCAGCCCCTGTGGGTTAGGAGATGATGTCTTTTTTCTTTTCTCCCATTCAGAACTCAGATTTTTGAAATGCTGGGCCACATTCACTTTCCCCTTTTCTTTACCTTCCAGTCACTTCTTAACCCACTATAATAATCCAGCCCTTCCATTGAAATTTTGTTTTCCAACGTCATCAGTGTCGGTTTTTAAATTGGTGCATCTGGTAGGTATCTTTCAGCTGTTTTCTGACTTGACCGTTCTGCAGCATTTAGTAGAGTTGAGCACTTCTTTAAATACAGTCACAGGCCTTTAAGCAAGACCCTTTCCTGGTTGCCTTTCCTACCTCTCCAGCAATCCCTCGACTTTCTTCAAAGATCTTTCTTACTGTCTTAAAGGTATCTGTTCCCCGGAGTCAGTAGCTCTATGTTCTTCTTGCACTGTGCGTTCTCCTGGGATAGTTCTCATTTCTCTGATTTAAGGGCCACTGCAGAACAACTCCAGGGAACACCATCCCTGCAGTGTTCCAGTGCTTGACTTGAACTTCCTGTAACATTTTGTGGTCTCCCTATTTCACTCTGGGAGTTTTGCACTTTGCCTACCTGGAATGTTCTGTATGTGCAATGCCCCACATTGCTGGGAGGTGATGCATTTGTCACTGCTGACCTCTCCATCTGGGAAGCACTCCTATTTTGAACACTATGACCAGATCTTCTCTTGATTTTCTTCACACTTCCCCAGAAGCAGCTTTCCAATCCCCTTCATCCAGCCTTCTGCCTTGACACAATCTGAAAGCGCTTCCCTTTTATTCACCACTCTTATGAAACTGACTGGAAAACAAATACCCTTCTCTTGGGTCCATCCTGTAAAGTCTAGTTTTAAAAAGTCAAATTCATGAATATTTTTAGGTTCTGCAATTTTTCTCTGTAGCAACAGTGGCCCTAAGGTTTTAAATTATGCAGTACCCAAAAAGATTCTTAATGAGAAATAAGTGGTGGAGCTATGATTTTGACCTGAAGAGGCTTTCAACCTTTTAATCCCAATGAATGAGTCATCCAAAATGGCTATAATGATCCCTCTTTTGTATGTCCTTTTAGGGTAGAATTTAATTGCTTACTTTCTAAATGAATGGTGTGTAGAAGTGATTGTCGGGTGTGACAGACCTCACCATGGCAACCCTCCCTAGGGGAAATTGATGGCTGTGTAAATAGAGGGTTTCTGTTAGGAGCATAACCACCCCCAGGCTGTTCTTTTGGATGCTGTAAGTTACTTAGGATTTCAGAAGAGGGATAGTAAATCAAATATTTTATCAGTTTGGAAAGGCTCAGCCACAAAATATGTATTTATCACTTCAATTTGTTCTCCGCCTGCCATGCCAGTTTAGCACTATCATTTTTTTTTTCCTGTCTGTGGCATTAGGGCTGAGATCTCTGATCAGACACTTACTTCCTCAGTCAGTGCTAAATGCTGTCAACTCACACCTGCCAAACACTGAAAAGGCCATGCCCTCTCTTCAAAGTTTCCCCCCTCCTTATAGGACCGGCTACATAATTTGAGGAGCCCAGTGCAAAATAAAAATATGGAACCATTTGTTGAAAAATTATTTAGAATTTCAAGGCTGGGTGCGGTGACTCACACGTGTAATCCCAGCACTTTGGGAGGCTGATGCAGGTGGATCACCTGAGTCAGGAGTTTTTGAGACCAGCCTGGCCAACAAGGCGAAACCCCATCTCTACTATTAAAAAAAAAATTAGTTGGGTGTGGTGGCACGCACCTGTAGTCCCAGCTACTCGGGAGGCTGAGGCAGGAAAATCATTTGAACCTGGGAGGAGGTTGCAGTGAGCCGAGACGGCACCACTGCACTCCAGCCTCGGCGAAAGAGCAAGACTCTGTCAAAAACAAAAAACAAAACAAAACAAAGCAAACAAACAAAAAAACAGAATTTCAATAAGTGACAGCAAAACCGTAAATCAAGCCAAGGTCCTTTGGAGTAATTGCCCAAGTCCCAGCCCATGGAGGCGGGCTCCCTACTCTCCCGTCTCCCTCCCCTCTCTTTTCCTCATACAGGCTGAAGTTTTCTTCTTTCCTGCTCATTTGGAAGAGTGTGAAAGTGGTGAATGCCTTACCTGTGTAGCAGATTCTTCTCCAAGTTCTCATGTCTTCAAGGTCAGAGAAAAAGGAAAGCTTTGCGGATTTGGTGGTGAAAGTAAACCACTTTGCTGAGTACTAAGTGCACAGATTGTTAGCCTAAAAGAGCCAGAAAACATTTTAATGAAAGTAGCTGTGCCCTGCTAAGGATTAAGCGAAATAGCCTTTTAGTATTATTCCGTTTTTAACATTTTTAGAAACTCTGAAAATGTGTCAGTACATCACATACTTATGTACCAAATCTAGGCTCTGTTTTAATAACAGAAGAAACATATCTATTGTTTATAACAAACCATTGTCTTTTTCCTTCAAATATATTAACATTTCTTTTAAAAATCATTTAAAATTCTTTAAAACATATGAGAACCAGTCCCATCACAAAACTGTGGGGTATAGATACAAGAAAAGCAGCCATGGTTGAAGGATTTATTGCTCCGATGGAGGGTAACCCACTATTTCCCTAAATGTGCCCTGCAGATTGTTACTTTTGCGGGAAGAAAGGACTCCATATTCAAATAAGACTGGGTAATGGTGCTTTAGAAATCCACATAAAAGTTTCCTAGATGCCCTGCAGTTAAAAAAGGAAAAGGAAAATGTAACTGCTCCAAGCCAATCTTGTTCAGCCTTTATGTAACAAAGTTGGGAGTTGTTTTTCAGTTGCCATGGACCCTTAGGCCACATAAGCTGAGCATGCCTGGAAGAGCCAAGCCTGCACCAACCGGGTGAACCTAAGTGCTCTGAATTAAGGGGACTGAATTAAGAAGTGGAGGAACACGGTATAGCAAGGTACAGGATCCAATCAGATTGAGTTCTGGCATCACCCCATGGCAGGATCCAGTCAGATCATGCCTCCCAAAATCATCTTGTTGCAAAATCCAGTCAGATCATGCCTCATTACCCTATGCTTATAAGAAGTGACCCAGCCCCCAGCTCAGGAAGACACTGCTTTGGAAACTACCTCAAGGTGTTCTCTTTGCTTGTTACAAGTAATACATTCCCTTTGCAAAAGCCTCTTTGGTTGTGGCCATTGGGTTGGTATCCACCAAGTGACTGAGCCCACCCCTTGTGTAGGTAACAAAAGCACAAGGGAAGTCTATGATCGATTTATCTTTGTATAAGCCAGTTTTGCCCAAATATATTTAATCACAGAAACGTTTCTTTGCCGTAACTATTAAAAACTGGTAGCGAGCATGCTTTGGGGAATGCTGATTTAACTACTCCTTGGAGATTATAGGAAGGGAATTAGTATTGTTGAGCACCTTCCAGATTCTATGTGCTATTTAATTGGCATGACTGAACTCAATTAATAGAACAATCAGCCCTTATATCAGGAGTCCTATTTTATATATGAGGTTGATATGTTAAGGAGCTCTAATGCACATGCAGTTTTAAGTGGTGCTGAGACTTTAGGCCAGTGTTTGACTCTAGAGCCCAGGGCAGCATTCAAAATGTACTGACAGCAAAAACAAAGTAACATAAAGTATTTATAACACCTTCCAAATGCATGCTCTCAGTTCTGAAGGTTGAGCCTTTCATGAGATAAAAGGAATTTTCTTGGCAGATTTTTCACCAATGAAATAATGAATCTGCCTTCTCATGTGGCCTGCCATCTGCTATGAGGCCCAAGAGACACATTTTTCTCTTCCCTACAAAGCTAGGCTGAACAATTTTACCAAATAACTAAAATGCAGGAGGCAGAATCCCTTTGTGAGAATCAGAGTTCATGATGAGCTCTTCAAATACTGTTAAATTGAAACAAATATTCAGAATATTATAAATCTCACTAGATTCTTCTAGAGATAAATGTGTTAGAAATGTAAACTTTAAGATAAATTTACAGACTTTTATTAAGCAGCTAACACAGGCAGCCAAATCGAAATCAAAGCAGGCTTTCAGGTTTGCATTAGGTTCTGATCAGATTCTAAATTACAATTTATTCTTAAAATG
This sequence comes from Homo sapiens, assembly GCF_000001405.40. NCBI lineage: Eukaryota > Metazoa > Chordata > Mammalia > Primates > Hominidae > Homo > Homo sapiens. The sequence goes on along the minus strand of NC_000008.11, from coordinate 12,870,029 downwards.
AACGCTGAAATTTGCTGTTGAGCTTCTTTTTCACTCTATATGAAATAACTCAGTATTTTATACCTGCTAGTTTTTCCATATTTTCAGGAAACACTGACTCTTTAATGAGTGAATTGTTACATCTATTAATATTAAAGGAAGCATTCCATAAATAAAGTCAATCTGGAGTTGAGGCTGCGTTACAATAGAGACTGTTGAAAGCAAACGAGAAGAAATAGAAACACTTGGTAAAATGAGGTAGACTAAGAAGACCGCTTTGTTAACAAAGGACCATGACATCTATGGAGAAAGGAAAGAAGAAAACTTTGAGAGACCAGATCTGCAGATCAAAGAACGTAGCCTCCAGAGAAACTGAAAACACCAAAGAGCGGAAAGGGAAAGCTGGTGTTTGTGTTCTTTGGGGTCTGCCTTAGGCGCATATTTAGCAGATTTGGAGAAAATCTATAAATATTTATGAGGGAGACCCCAAATGCATGTGCAGTGGGTGTGCATGCATGTAACATACATTCTCTGTTCATTTTAGGGTAGAATTTTAACATTAAAATGAGGCAGAATTGGGCTCTTTACCATCAAAAGGTGAACTGTAGGGCATAGAGGCGTTTTGCAGGCAAGGGCTAGCTTCTGCTCAATTATAGGAAACAAGACCTTATGACAGGAATACAGGGTTTTGTGGCCAACCCCTCTCTGCTACGGCCACTTGATTTCATCTCTGAAGTGCCTTGTTTTAGCCACAGGGAGTTCGTTTCATCCCTCAGCAGGGGGTCTATTTTAACAGCTCTCACAGGTTGAAAGAGAGATTACAGTGACAGAAGACCCATTCAGAGAAAGCTCGATTCATGGTGGCCGCACTGGAGGGACCAGTAGGGATTAACTAAATACATCTGGTGGGTTGACCATGACGCAGTATGTGTGGAAACACAGACACACCAGCTAGTAAGCAGTAGACCCAAGACTAGAAGACTCACTACTTCTCCTAGCAGTGGGAGGGCCTGGTCGGTTTCAAAGAGCAATGTCTGTTTCCAAGGGCAGTGGGAGGGTAAAGGTGGTCACCCATGAGGACTGCTCTCAGAGATACATATAGTGTGGTACCTTCATAGGTATAAGGTGAGGGTACCGCACAAGAGGCAATAACACCGGGGTCAAGATTAGGAGGCTGGGGAGTGAGAACCAGAGAAACTCATTCTGGAACACACAGGAGAAGAGCTCCTGAAAACTCTAGAAAGAGCTGGGAGAATCTTTGAGGGCGGCTGATTTCTAGCAATCAGTCAATTTGAGACAACGTAAGATGCTTAACTCTATGTTACAGTGGCAGGCTGAGAAGTCCATTAGAAAATGCAACACTGCATAACGATGTAGGGTTGGATGTGTTGGTCATGTTGCCCATTGCTTGTGTTTACCCAGCACTCCATTTCTCCTGTAACAAAAATTCGCTCCATCTGATGATGATGGGAGTGGGCACATGACCCAAGTGTGGCCAATCACAGTATGTGGTGCCCATGGGTTGCTGTGATTTGTACAAGCATGAGCACATAAGTAAGAGCAAGCCAAAGGGACTATATCCTTGAACTTAATTGAGTCTGCTTCAAATAAATAGTAACAAAGCATTTATAATATAATTGGGGAAACTGAAATGCTGACTGGATGTTTAATGACATTAGGCAATTGCAATGAATATTTTGGGTTCACCAATAATATTGTCCTTGTCCTTTATATGTTCATACTGGAATATTTATGAATAAAATGATTTGAAATCTCATATTTGAATCAAAATAACAAAAATAATTCAAGAGAGTGTGGGTCGATGAAACAAGATTGTCCGTGTTGAAACAGGATGGTGGATACATAGGGGTGGTTTAATTATACAAATGAAGCTGATCACATATAATCCCTTTGCATAAAATGTGTATTTGTTTTTGTAAATAAATGTATATTTCTATGCATAGAACAAAACACTGAAAACTACACACACACAAGCACATATAAATATATTGCATTTAATATATTTCACATATATAAATATCAATATTGCATTTAAATCTTTAGACCATCTGCACTTTATTTTAGAGCATGGTGAGAAATATTAGCTTTTTCTCCCCGAGTAATTATCCCAGCACCATTTACTAACTAATTCACAATTATTTCACCAATTTGATATGTCGTGTTAATCAAATTCTAAATACTCACAGATCTGTACAATCTATTCAATTTATTTGATGTTATATTTTAGCACATGTCATATTGTGTTAATTATTATGGTATGTAATGTGATGCAAAATCTGAAAGTTCAAGTTTCCTCTTGTAGAAGTTATTCTTATTTTTCAGTGTTTAAATGGCTTCCTGCTCCTTTACTCTTTCAGATAAAACTTAGAGTAATCTCATCAAGCTTTTAAAAATTCCCACTGAGTTTTAGATTACAGTTGCATTTCATTTATATATTATTTGGGGGAATTTTAGGAATCTTGAATGTTGAATCAGCTTTCTGAAAATTGCATAGCTTATATATTTTAAAAGGCCTCTGTAAGAGAATACCAAATGCACAGTACTTGCTTCTGATTTGCTTTTTAGAAAGAGTGGTATGATCTTTCAGAGTTCTGGGTTCTTCATTTTATGTTTCTACCAAATTTTTTTCTTTCTTCTAGCCCTGGTGAAACACATCCTGATTTATTTATTTAGTTTTTATTTATTTTTATTTTACTTTAATAGACTTTTGGGGAATAGAGGATGTTTGGTTACATGAATAAGTTCTTTAGTGGTGATTTGTGAGATTTTGGTTTACTAGAATTTTTAAAAAACGGGGTGTTTCCTTATTTCCAGTATCATGGTCAATGCAGAATCAGGTAATATTTGCTCTGCCAGTATAACTTTATTGAAGCATTCTATTCATTTCTATTTATTTCTAATGTGTGGGTTTCTGACAAACGTTATCCTATATTTTTCATTTTGATCTCTGCTGTATTCCAAAAAAAGAAGGCAAAGTGCTTATGTTTGGAAATTGGGCTCCCCCTGCTGGTACATTTAGCACCTTTATTGCCTCCAATTCTCAGAGCCTTTTAAAACCCAATTCTATTTTATAGAGTCTTGGACCTAAGAGATTAAAGTATTTGCTAACTGCTATGCTATATTATCTGAATGACTAAGATCTATTGATATAAAATTTAGAATATCATATAATTAATTCTAATATGCGCAAACCAAGAACTAAGAGAGACGAGAGATCAGTATAGTTTAAAGGCAGCAAGTGGTGTGCTGGTAAGTGTTTAACAACCGGGCTCTCTGAAAAGCCTGATTTGTAGCATTTGCCAACTTTTCTGGTGTAAATAATTCTACAGTGGCTCATTACAAGTTACCAACGTGAAGTCACTGAAAGTGGAGTTGGGAAAGATGCTCATTTGCTGCCACAAGCTGGCTCCAGCATACCTCTGATTGAAGATGAGAAGGTTTGAGCTGGATTTTATATTCTGCAAAGAATATGTAAGCGCTAATAGCTCATAGTAGAAAAACCATGTGCTTAAAAGTTTGATAGATCCACATTTAAATCCAGCTCCACTGCTTTCTAGCTTTTAGCAATGTGTTTTTTGAATCTAAGTGTTAATGTCTTTAAAATGAGCTGATAATACCTACCTTTCAAGGTTATTGAAAAATTAGAAAGGATAATGTATATAAATCACCTCAGCAGAATGTATATTTCTAATAAGTGGTGAGCTGACTATCCAAAGCCACCAGAGGACAAGATGTTCAGGCACAAAGATGCTGAAATGGGGGCTAGCACACTGAGCAAACTCTTGTCCTCTAATCCCAGAGAGTTTATATCTAGGAAGAGCAGTCTGCTTAACTGGCTATGAGGAAGTCATTCTGGTCATAATGAGAGATACATATTGGAGGAATGTGGAGCACTAATATCAGATAAATATTGTGTCTCGATTTTGGTTTTCTGCATAGGAAGCAAGAGAAGGAAATTCATTGTCAAATAATAGAGAACACATTGCTTTGGGAACTCTGGTTCTGACCTAATGGCAGAAGGAACAAGACTTACCTGTCTCTTTGTTGTCTTTCTGTTGGAGTGGATTTGTTTCTAGTCTTTGCTCTTAATAGGGAGCAGTACTTTGAAAGTGCTGACTTTATGTAGGCCCCTTGGTTCCAACTTCCCATTTGAGAAAGACTCAAGGCTTCATTCATCTCCCCTCTTCTTTTTCGTATTAACAGAGATGCCCCAGGTAACTGAAGATCAGCAGATTCCTAGATTGCTGAGACTAACAACCTGTCCTCTGGAAGCCAGAGCATCACTGCTCAAAGCTTCTCACTGTGGTTTTAGTTCCAGGTTCATTTCTGAACTGTGTCTACATTAGATAATAAAAATATATTATATTTTAGCCAGTATTTCTAGGTGCTTTTAGTGGAAGGATTTTCAAATTCTGTCCTCCACAAGCCGATAGCTGTCAAATAAGTTTATCCCTCCAATCCTATAGGCCAAACAATCTCCAGTTCTATCAGTTAAACGTCCCATTTCAAACCAGTCCAAACTCTTGCCCTGCTACTCAACTCCCAACCTGGCTCACATTTTCAACTTCAGTTTCCCCAGGCATATCCAATCCCCCTACCCTCTGATCAAACTAGAAAACACTCTCTATGATCTAACAATCCACAAAGCAAATACTGCATGGTTCGAAGTCTGTGACAGTAGATGTTTTTTTGATTTGAAGAAGAAGAATAGAAGCATCAAGAATCCTCGCAGAAAAGTTTTTAAATGATTTGTAAAGGATTCATTTAAAAATGATTTTGTTAAGACCCTCCCATGGTAATTGCTAATATTTATAAAACCCAAATTTATGCCTGAAAGTTTCAGTAATTGAGAACAAAAGTAACATCTAAAAACCCCATTACAAACAAACAAGCTTTTTTTTAGTATAAAGTCTTACATTAGTATAAAGTTCTTAGTCTTTACTGTTGAGTCCTTGATGTAAAGTCTTAACTAGTTTTTCTTTTTCTTTTTTTTTAGAGATGGGGTCTGATTATGTTGCCCAGGTTGGCCTTGAACTCCTGGACTCAAGTAACCTCCACTTAGGCCTCTCAAAGTGCTGGGATAACAGATGTGAGCCACTGTGCTCAGCTTCTTTACATTTTTAGTGTAAACTTAGGGTAAAATCTCCTATTGTAGAAGCTTCTATTGTGGTCAATGTAATATGTCAAATTGACTAGGTTATGGTACCCAGATGTTTGGTCAAACACTAAACTGGATGTAGCTGTGAAGGTATTTTTAGAATAAACTTAACATTTAAATCAGTAGACTTTCAGTAAAATAGACTACCCTTCATAATATGGGTAGGCCTCATTCAATCAGGTCTTAGGAGAAAAGACTGAAGCATCCCAAAGAGGAAGAAACTCTGCCTCAAGATTTCAATATAGAAACACTGCCTGGGTGTCCAGCCTGCAGATTTTGGATTCAGGTCTTCAACTTCAACTCTTGCTGAATTTCCAGCCTGATGGTTTGCTGTACAGATTTTGGACTTGCGAGACTTTCCGCCAGATGCTTCCTCTCACCCCTTGTCCCTGGCATGGCTTTATTCCAGAACCTCTGTCAAAATATACTTTATGGGTGGCTACTCTGGCTTAATGAAGAGATAGAGATGGCAAACTTCTCATCAAGTCATATTTGTTTGGCTCTCCAAAAAATGTATTAAGCTATTAATATATTTGCAGCACTGGGGCCACCTCAAAAATGGGTTAAAAGATGGGTTCTTCTGGCAGGGCGTGGTGGTGCATGCCTGTAATCCCAGCACTTTGGGAGGATGAGGCGGGTGGATCACCTGAGGTCGGGAGTTTGAGACCAGCCGGACTAACATGGTGAAACCCCGTCTCTCCTAAATACAAAAAAAATTAGTCAGGCATGGTGGCAGGTGCCTGTAATCCCAGCTACTCAGGAGGCTGAGACAGGAGAATCACTTGAACCTGGGAGGCGGAGGTTGCAGTGAGCCGAGATCGTGCCATTGCACTCCAGCCTGGGTGACAAGAGTCAAATTCTGTCTCAAAATAAATAAATAAATAAATAAAATACCTTCTTCTCACACTCATTAGGAAGGCTAGTATCGAAAAATGGAAAATAAATGTTGGTGAGAATGTGGAGACCTTGGAAGCTTTGTGCACTGCTACACATGCTACAACAGAGGTGAGTATTGAAGACATTGTGCTACATTATGTGAAATAAGTAGGTCACAAAAGGACAAATAATGTGTGATTCCACCTATATGAGGTACCTAGAATAGATACATTCACAGAGATGGAAAATAGAAGTTACCAGTGGTTGGGGGGAGAGATTAATCAGGAGTTATTATTTAATGAGTACAGTTTCTGTTTGGGATGATGAAAAAGTTCTAGAAATGGGTGGTGATAATGATTGCGTAACAACGTGAATGTAGTTAATGCCAATGAATTGTACACTTCAAAATGATTTACATGGTAAATTTCATGTTAATGTATGTTTTACCACAATAAAAATGTACCTTCTTCTTTCAATCATGCACATGGGTCTAGATAAGCTTACATTGTTGGTAGAGATGATAAAAGAGAAAATAGTGAGAGTCCATAATTCTGTTCCGAGGTGGGGACTAGTCAATATTTTCCTCCAGTTTGGCTAAAAATTTGAAAACAATCAAATTTGTTTTGACATTTATTAAGCTGATGAAAATGATGGGATGGTACAGTCAAAAAGGTAGAAATTATAGTTTTTTTAATACTTTAAGTTCTGGGATACATATGCAGAATGTGCAGGTTTGTTACATAGGTATACACGTGCCATGGTGGTTTGCTGCACCGATCAACATATTATCTACATTAGATATTTCTCCTAATGTTTCTTCTCCCTTCTTGAAGTGTTGGACAGTTTTGTATTTTCTTTGGCTCTGAATGCATGCAATCTTGATAGAGGCAGACCCATCTACTTCTGAAGGTCAGGTTGCTTGCGGCAGCTCAGTTATTCAAGTGTGCAGTGTGAAGAAGGAAGGAGACTGGATACAATAATTACTTAAGCAGCTACTAGTTTCTTGACCAGAGTTAAACCGCTTAATCTTCTGTGCCATGGTTTCCTAGCCTGCGTGTCTTCTCGCTTCAGTTTGTAAACTAAGATTGACCCTAAATCAGAAACAGATACCACAGTATTAAAAAATATTACTCATTATTTTACATTGTGGGTTTTGTACTCTTTCTGCATCAGATTTTGACTGTTTGTATGGCTGGCTCTGAAAGCTCTAGACAGTTGCTCAAAGTGAGTATTCCTGTCTGCTCAGGTTATAACCTCAGCCCCCTCTCTTTGAGAAGCAGATGCCAACTTGGGGTGAGAAAGGGCCACCACCCTCTCCAAAATTCATCCCTTTGTGACCATAAAGCCATGTCTTTACAGCAGAAATGACTACTTCCCCTAGTTAGCTCTATGTTTCCTATAAAATATTTTACTATTCAAGATCAAGCAGAGCAATGTTGTTCTGTAAGTTTGTGATTTGCCTCGGAAACCACAGGGGTTGTGTGAGAATTTATGTTCAGAGCATTTATAACTTTATAAAACATGAGGTAAAAGCTTTCCTTCACAAAAGAGGTGAAAATCCTGACCTGTGCTGAGAAATGAATAGGAATGGAGGATCTGTGCATGTGTAAAACGACACTGTCAACTAACATTTTAATTTCACACCATGCATCAGACAAATTCGAGGCAACCAAAATGCAATATATCAGAGATGAGGAGAAATCTTTATCAGGCTATAAAAGTAACCCTCTGCACACTTACAATAGTCCATCATGGGACACCCAAGATGGATTTATACCAAGAGTAAAGATTATTTGCACGTTACAACTCACCTAGGTGGTACTAGCTCAAATTGGGACCAGTATTCTCTTTAATGATATTAAAGTGTGAATGTCACATAGATGTGATAAACAACTTGAGTTTCAAAGACGCTTCTGAGAGTGGTCAAAACCATTAGCTACTTTGAGAAATTGTGGCTATTGAAGATTTAGTGAACACTATCTGTACCCTGTTGGGTAATTCAGAAGTTGAGGTTGGTCCTATGAGAGAATATGGTAACTAACAGAGACAGCAACCGATGGGAGAAACATTCAATAATCAATTATTAAATACACTACTGATACAGTTTTGCTGTGTCCCCACCCAAATCTCATTTCGAATTGTAGCTTCCATATTTCCCATGTGTTATGGAAGGAACCTGATGGGAGCTAATTAAATCATGGGGGCGGTTTCCCCATACTGTTCTCATGGTAGTGAATAAGTCTGACGAGAGCTGATGGTTTTATAGGAGGCTTCCCTTTTCACTCGGCTCTCATATCTCTCTCTCTTGCCTGCCATGTAAGATGTGCCTTTTGCCCTCCACCATGATTGTGGGGCCTCCCTAGCCATGTGGAACTGTGAGTCCATTAAAGCTCTTTTTCCTTATAAATTGCCCAGTCTTGGGTATGTCTTTATCAGCAGTGTGAAAACAGACTAATACAACTACTACTTTTCTTGTTCATGCTAGAAGTAAGCACTGCTTAAATTTAGCATTTTCATCCTTAAAAGAGAAAGCTAAATAAAATGTTCACCAAATAGAAAAAATTGCAGCTGTTAAGGCCTGGCAAATTATATCCAGAAGAGAATGGTTTAAAATAAATCTACCAAACATCTTGTAGCTTGATTCAAAACAGCTAAATCGTTCTGAATATGTGAATGAACAGCTAATTCAAGGAATATCAGCTCCATTCTCCTGAGCCATGGGTGATTTCTCTTATATCTTCCATGGTAACTAGTGGTCCATCTGTCCGACAAGATGGAAATCATCAAGACCCACTGGGGGTTTGAAGGCCCAGTATTTCCCAAAACTCACCAGCTAGGACCTTTGAAAATGGGAATACACTAAAAATATAGACAACCTGTTATAGGTGTTTCTGTCCGTGAATTGGGAACTTCTCAGTATGCTAAAGAGCTAGGAAGGACTTAGGCCATTCACAGGGCTGCAGACTCTGTTGGTGATACTGAATTCCAGTTTATAAATCGACAGAAGGAGTTCCTTTCTCCACATCCTGGGAACCAGAGAGTTGCCATTCAACATTTCATGGAAGAAATTCAAGTAAAATAGCTCCTGATCTCGTACAACTATGGTTAGTGGTAGGAATATATGCATCAGAATTTTTCGAACTGTTAAAAATAGCAGGCTACGTTATTGGTGAACATAAGGAAGATTAGTCCCTAGCTCTCATTTCAGAAGAGTTACAGTAACTGTTTAAGAGAAACAATGAGAAAAAAATTGGAGGGTGAGTTACATGTGTTTACAATCTAACTTATTCCTGGGTGACGCCTCCTGAACTTCACTTTGAGGAAATGAATCTATGTTTTGATGCAACATTATTATATCCTCGAGCTCAGCTTCAATATGAGTTCTTAAGATTTTATGCATAGATTTAACTGAGAGATGTTGTGTTTTTAGAGAACTGATGGGGATGACTATAAAGTCAGATCATGAAGGGAACAGGAAGTTTTACTGCTAGTGGATGAATGTGACTCCCAAATTGTTTTCATGTTATTACAAAGTGACAGAAATGCAAGGAGTTTAGGAGTATAAATTACATGTATGAAAACCATCATGCTATTTAAGGGCGTGGTGGAACATGGCTGTGTATATTTTTTTCTTTAACTGAAAATTACCAGTTTGCAAATGTCCCTGTTGTAAAACTGTTTGTGAGTCAACGAAACGATTGCTCACGACAAAGCCTAGGCAGTTAAGGGCAAGTTAGAAATCATGGAAGGAAACAGAATTATACTTGTTAAGTATTTCTCCTCTCAAAGACCCAGATGGGGTGATTTGTGCTCTGGCAGGTTGAGAATGAATCCTGAAAGATGGTGGACATTTCTGGACCCCATAGATTGTGACCCACAGAGAAATAAATAGTCTAGGACTTTAAATGTATGCAAGAAAAGGTTCTATACCACAAATTTCACTGATGCTGTATCATTAATCAAAATGGTCTTGAGGTAGAATTAGATGACGCAGAATGTGTTTCAGTGTATCTGGATTCTCACAGCCACTGCATCGTGAACTTCTTGTGCATTGCCTATAATTTAAAATGTTGTGACAGTTATTTCATTGTGAGACTACTGTTTCTTGTCACATTGATTATTTTATATAGGTACCCAAATTTTAAATTCTACTGTGTGCCCTCTTTAAGTTTCCTTTAAATGCAACAGGAGTTTTCTGAGAGTAAGCTGCACGTATTAGTTTGCCAAGGCTGCCATAGCAAAGTGCCCAGACTAGGTGACTTCAAAAATAGAAATTGATTTTCTCCTGGTTCTGGAGGCTAAAAGTCCAAGATCAGGGTACTGGCAGAGTTGAGTTCTTCTGAGGCCTCTCTCCTGTGCTTGCAAATGACTCTTCTCTTGCTGCCTCTTCACCTGGTGGTCCTGATATGCACATGTGCCCCTGGTGACTCTCTCAATGTTCCAATCCCCTCTTTTTATAGACATCAGTCAGATTGGATTGGATTAGGACCCATCCATAGGACCTCATTTAACCTTAATTACCTCTTCAAAGCTCCTCTCTCCACATACAGTCACTTTCTAAGGACTTCAAACAGGAATTTTTTGTGGAGACGACAGAATTCAGTCAACAACAGCATACTTCTTATATTTAAGCAAACCGCACAGGATAAGAATTCCATGAGGCCCGTGCTGCATCTGAATACTAGGGCCCTGATCACCTGATGCGTGGCAAGAGGAGTAACTTAGCCAAAAGGTACAAGGAGGAGACACGGAATGACTTTGATCTCCAGGGAGAGTCCCAGCCTTTCTCTAAGCAGGTCAAGCATGTCTTGAAGTCGGGTTGTACTTGTACCGCTCAGAGATTTTGACAATGATCTCAAAGGTTGTTTTCAAAGAAGAGGGTGACCATATCATGTTAGTGGGTCAAACATTGAACCATACCTGCACAGTACACAGTACACTGGTTTCCATCTACTGGCTATACCTAAGTTTGAATCTTCTTTCTCTTTCTTTCTTTTTCTCTTATCTTTTCTTTCTTCTTCTTCTTTTTTTTTTTTTAACAAGGTTTTTCTCTTTTGCCCTGGCTGGAATGCAATAGTGTGGTCATAGATCACTACAAACTAAACTCCTAGGTTCAAGCAATCCTCCCACCTCAGCCTCCTGAGTAGCTGGGACTACAAGTGCGTGCCACCATGCCTGGCTTTTTTTTTTTTTTTTAATTTTTATAGAGATGGGGGTCTCACTATGTTGCCCAGGCTGGTCTTGAGCCCCTGGGCTCAAATGATCCTCCTACCTCAGCCTCCCAAAATGCTGGGATTACAGGCATGAGCCACCACACCTGGCCTAGGTTCAAGTCTTTATCGTAGAGTCTGCCGGTTCATTTTTCGTCATTGCCAGTGGCCTCATGCCATCCCTCCCTTCCAATGGTTGAGCAATATAGCTGGCCAAGAAGGGTTGTCTGAACAATACCCTGCCAACTGAGGAGAGGCTATGGGCCCCTATTTGGGGACTAACCTTGCTATGATTGACAGTATGAAGGTCACCTGTGAGTTTATTTTAATTTTTCCTCAGTTACCCCATGAGCTACTATGAGAAGGAGCCAAAACCTGAGTCAGGGACTTGTGAGCAGCTTTGCAATAAAACCAAGATCCAATGACACTGTCTCCAGAGGTACAAGTTATCTGGGAAGAGGAATGGAAAAGGCAGCTCATGCTACTCTCAGCTCTAGGCTTTCTGGGAATAAAAGACCTGCCAACTCTTGTAACCCCCAGAGATGTCCTTTTTGGCAGTTGTTCAAATGCTATATCTGCTGAAGGTGTCTCAGCCTGGGAAAAAATAGCACTTCTATGACTACACAAGCTTGTACCTGTTAACAAGAATAAGCTCTGTCTCATCAGCTATTGGGAGATTATTTATAATGGATTTGGTTATATTTAAACCTGTTTCTGGATGGAATAAAGAAAGCTGTATAAAACAAGGGGGATGTTTTTTCCATCCTGCCATTCGGGTTTGACAGTAAGTTGAGGTCCTTTCTCTGGTGGGTCCTATGCGGAAAGCATCAGTGGACTCTCCCTATGATAGATGCAACAATATGAATCCAGCCTTAACAGGGACCCCAGATGGAAAGCAAAGGATTGCCAAGACATGACAAATAGCAGTTTATAAAGTTTTGTATCAGACCGTAACTACAACACAGACAGGAGCCTAAGACTCCCAACTTGGGGCAAGACACTGAATCAGGAGGCCCAATGTATTGAGTTCTGTCAACAGAATATACTCCTGTGCAATTGCCTGCACCCTGCCAGGAAGCAGATGGTCAAGTCTGTTTTGAGTTCATTACACAGTACATTTGCATAATTTTGCAATGTTACCAGCACTACACTGATGAGGAATAGGCAGAGCTGTTTGTGTCTTTTACCTTCCCAAGAAGTTTGTACTGTGACTTCATGGACAGCGATATAGAAGCTGTATGCTAAAGGTACACTTTCAAATGCTAAGAAAGACACGTAGCACCTTCATACCAGCTTTGTCACTGCAGTGACCCCTTGGAACTTTAAAGATACTATAAAGAGATCATCAACCTAATATTGACTCTAGTTTGCAGCAACAAAGAGAGGAACCTTGTTTCTTCTTTTGGTAATACCAAGGAGAATTCACAAGCAAACTGCCACCTGGGGGGCCTTTTTCAAAGACTGCATATATTTGTCCCAAATCACACACCCGTAAAACCACAGATGACAAGATGGTGCCGGAGAAAGGGAAAAGCTCAGTTTTGAGAGTATAAACAAACTTGTTTTACTACTGCTCAGAGAGGAAGTTAAACCATCTAAGATGGCTGTACAGGCGGGGACGTCATTCCTAATACCTGTGAGTAGATGTGAATTCCGCCATACCTAACCAAACCCACCTAAAAACTGCTCATTTCATACCAGAGAGGTCTTTTCTGTTCTTAGAAAACTATGGAAAGTTCTAAGAAAGCTAACGTTGTGGCTGACCCCATTGGCCAAAACACCTCTAACACTACAGTCATGTGTGAGCTCATGCAGAACAAACTAAATGCTTTGCAATCATCTCCAACAAAGGGAAACCGCCCTGTGTGGTGCTTCTGATGATTTTGTTTATGCAATAGCTAAGATCACTCTCAACACAATGAAGGTGATACCCTGCTGTCTCCCTAATGATGGATCTCCATATTGAAGAGAAGGCACAGGGAGATAGGAGTCATTGTGTCGAAAAGGTCATCCTTAAGATATCCAAGAGAGTGTTGGCCAGGCATCGTGGCTCATGCCTGTAATCACAGCACTTTGGGACGCAGAGGCGGGTGGATCATGAGGTCAGGAGTTCAAGATCAGCCTGGCCAAGTTAGTGAAACTCCATCTCTACTAAAAATACAAAAAATTATCTGGGTGTGGAAGTGGGTGCCTGTAATCCCAGCTACTCAGGGGGCTGAGGCAGAAAATTGCTTGAACCCGAGAGGCGGAGGTTGCAGTGAGCTGAGATCAAGCCACTGCACTCCAGCCTGGGCGACGGAGTGAAACTCTGTTTAAAAAAAAACAGAAAAAGAATGTCTGGAGCCTTTTTTAGAAAAACAATTTCTCCAGTCATTAGACTTTTGATCAGTTGTTAATGAAGTAAACAGAGAGGCTGTTGGAAGTCCTATGAAGAACATCCCTAATTTGCTGAATAGAACACCATCACAACCATGACTCAGCAATCAGATGCAAGCATGACAGTTGCCTTTCACCATTTGGACTTCAAAGATGTTGAGATGATAAAGAATTATGTGATTTTGCTTCAGGGAATCTCACATATACATGGAAAGGGCAGCATAAGGAGGAAGAAACCTCTTCTTCATGAGGACTGAGCCTGAGCTACTTAACTGGGACCCTAGCAATTATCCATGTGGGATCCTGTCAGCCAAGAAGTCTTGTTCTGTGGGAACTGACACTGTAGAAAGCTAATGAGCCCCAAAACTTGTCCCTGAGTAAGTTGAAACAGCTTAAAAATGTGACATCATGACCAGAGGATGGGTCATTTGTGGATAAGAATCTAACCTATCTAACCCAGGGTTTTGCCACCCATACTGTTAAGCCCCAGTCTAAAAGACAGTGATCAGTATTCCATGTTCTGTCCTCAGGAAACCATCCCTTGAGTCCTGGTAGGTCAGATGATATTTGGGCTGCCTCAGGGTAAATAAAAGGGATTGTCCAGCCACTGTTTCTCCAGCAAATCCATTAATAAAAAGTGAGATATGGTATTATCTAAACTTACAATTTCAGCTGGGCATGGTGGCTCCCGCCTGTAATTCCAGCACTCTGAAAGGCCAAGGCAGTGGGGGGGGGTGGATCACATGAGGTCAGGAGTTCGAGACCAACCTGGCCATCATGGTGAAACCCTGTCTCTACTAAAAATACAAAAATTAGCTGGGTGTGGTGGCGCATGCCTGTAGTCCCAGCTACTTGAGAGGCTGAGACAGGAGAATCGCTTGAATCCAGAAGGCGGAGGTTGCAGTGAGCCGAGATCCCACCACTGCACTCCAGCCTGGGTGACAGAGCAAGACTCCATCTTAAGTAAATAAATAAACTTAACATTTCAGAAAAATGCAAGCTCTAATTGTAAGCAAAGGTTAACTTCTCTATTTATTTATTTTATGTGAACTTTGGGTGTGGAGGATTGAGTTAATCATGCCATACATTTTACATTTCTATCACAATCTTTCAGCTGCTTAACTGGCTCTGAAACCTGTCACCATGAGAGGTGAAGCCAGCTGGACATCCTGGGTCAAGTGGGGACTTGGAGAGCTTTTCTGTCTAGTTAGAGGATTGTAAATGCACCAATCACTGCTCTGTGTCTAGTTAAAGGATTGTAAATGCACCAATCAGCACTCTGTAAAAGTGCACCAATCAGAACTCTGGGTCTAGCTAAAGGATTGTAAATGAACCAATCAGCACTCTGTAAAAATACACCAATCAGTGCTCTGTGTCTAGCTAAAGGATTGTAAATGCACCAGTCAGCACTCTGTAAAAACACACCAATCAGCACTCTGTAAAATGGACCAATCAGCAGGACGTGGGCAGGGCCAAATAAGGGAATAAAAGCTAGCCACCCACCCCCCGCCACCAGCCAGCAGGGCGACCTGCTCAGGTCCTCATCTGTGCTGTGGAAGCTTTGTTTTTTCACTCTTTACAATAAATCTTGCTGCTGCTTATTCTCGGTCCACACTACCTTTAAGAGCTGTAACACTCACTGTGAAGATCTGCGTTTTCAATCTTGAAGTCAGGGAGACCACAAATCCACCAGGAGGACAACTCCGGATGCACCACCTTTAAGAGCTGTAACACTCACTGCTTTGTTCTTTAACCGGGAGGAAGAAACTCTGGACACATCTGAACGTCTAAAGGAAAGAACTCTGGACACACCATCTTTAAGAGCTGTAACACTCATTGCAAGGGTCCGTGGCTTCATTCTTGAAGTCAGTGAGACCAAGAACCCACCGGAAGGAATAAATTCCGGACGCAACCACATCTGTATTGATAAATATTTCCTTGATATTATTTGCCCATTCTCTTTTACAACTCTCTTCTCTCATTTGGATATTCTTACATGTCACCTATTTTCAATATATGCATTCCAAACCCCTAAAAAATGTGCAACAACTTCATCTATAGGACTTTTGGAGATTGTACAATGGTAGAAAAATTGAGGCTTTTGATAAAAAAAGATATTATCAGAATGTTCTATGTGTTGATTGTGGTGGTTATATAATTGTAAATAAGATGGTTTGTTTCATTGTATGTGAATTATACCTCAATAAACCAGAATTTTAAAAAAAAGTCAAAATAATTCGTAAATAGGATTATTCCTTGAAAAAATTGTTATGGTCTAAATAGTCAGAAAATTAGATACAGTCCTTAGAGGTGACTGTATTTAATATTACCAAACAGTTCTACAAAGGTTAAAATTATGGTGTAATCTAAACCTTATTATTATGTTTTGTACTAACATTTACATTTTTATAAAGCATTTTTGGTTTAAAAAGGACATAATGTTCTTTGTAAATGTACCTAGCTAATGCACTCTCCCTGCCTATTTATAATAGCTGTCCATCTATAGCCTTATTTAACAATTTAACATTTTAAATATTTGTTCTTTCATAAATAAATTTAGTGAATAAAATATTAGTTTTCACATTCCTCATTAACTTTCACCACATCTTACTCTTGTCAAGATAAATACACCTTTATGCACCAACTGTCTAATGCATATCAAACTCCGAGTTATATCTAGAATATTTGCCTATGTTTGAAGATAAGAATGACTTGCTTGAATTACTCGTGTTACACTGTTTGGATAGGATGATAACCTACATGATTGGCAGATCATGGGTCTGTGATCAACACCGGAGTTCAGGGATACCAAATGTGATGTTGAAGCAGACATTCTACTATTTGGTTTTCCAAAAGCCAAATCCAAGTCAAAGCCAAAAGGCAGATTCAGGGTACAATCCTATTTTGTGTTCATCTTATGTAACTACTGTCAGTACACAGAATAATCTTGGGAAGATTCAATGGATTTTTTAAATTCTCATGATGACCATCACTGATGCTAAGCAGGAGTGGGATGAGCCGCCATTTAATCAGCCATTGCACTGGTGATTTTTGGTCCACTAATGCATCAAAACTAGAACAGCTCCCTGTAGCCATTCCCAAATAACCCTGAAATGATATGAGGAACTTAGGCTTTCGAGAAGCATTGAAACCGTTCACTGTATGGCATTGGTCTTGAGGCAATTGAACCTATTCCAGACAGAAAAAAGCAACATGTTAAGGCACATTTCTTTAAATAATTTTTGGAAAAATTTGCAAGTACATGTATGTGCACATTCATATACAAGCTTTAAATTTGTATTAAGGTGAAATTCACATAACATAAAATGAACTATTTTAAAGCGTACTATTCATTGACACCTAGTACATTGACAACGTACAAGCAGCAGCTCCATGTAGTTCCAAAACATTCTAATCACCCTCAAAATCAGCTATTCGGGAGGCTGAGGCACAAGAGACCCCATACCCATGAACCAGTCACTCGCCATTCCCCTTCTTGGCCATGGCAACCACGAATCTGCTTTTTGTCTTGATGGATTTACCTATTCTGAATTTTTCATGTAAGTGGAATCATACAATATGTGAACTTTTATCTGACTTCTTTCACTTAGCATAATGTTTTCAAGGTTCCATACAGGTGCTTTAAAAAAACTAAAGTGAAAACGGAGGGCACTTCACTTTGCTGAAACGTACATAGGCTCTGAAGAGTGTTTGTTCATTTATTTATTTATTTATTTTTTATTTATTGGCCCTTCAGCCAGACTTCAGGTGTGTTTTCAGACATAACCAAAAATTTTTGGTGAAAAAATTTCAGAAAGATCTCCGTGGGTGTCCATAGCCACTCCATCACCCGTCTTCTCTGAAATGTCACCAGAAAATTGCAGGGAATGCAATTCAGGAAATTGAGAAAGCCTCACCAAACTTAGACATAGGCCTGGTTTTCTGTAAGTTTACTTTTCTCACAACCTTAAACTCATAGAGTTAATCAAAATATCTCACTGTGTTTTAGGAGCCAGGAGTGGGTTTCGCAGATTCTTTTTCCTGGGAGCATTTCTTGCTGGAGAAGCCTATAGAACAGTAAAATGGACTGACTTGCACACCCTAGCCAAGTTAGAAAACTTTTTTTTTTTTATGAGACAGAGTCTCACTCTGTCACCCTGGCTGGAGTGCAATGGGTGTGATCTCGGCTCAATGCAGCCTCTACCTCCCAGGTTCAAGCGACTCTCCTGCCTCAGCCTCCCAAGTAGCTGGGATTACAGGCACCTGCCACCACAACTGGCTAATTTTTGTATTTGTGTAGAGATGGGGTTTCATCATGTTGGCCAGGCTGTCTCAAACTCCTAAACTCAAGTGATCTGCCCGCCTCGGCCTCCAAAAGTGCTAGGATTACAGGCATGAGCTTCATAGGATTTTGTTTTGTTTTTCTGTTTTTAAGAGATGGTGTCTTGCTATGTTGTTCAGGCTGGTCTCGAACTCCTGACCTTAAGTGATTTTCCCACCTTGACCTCCCTAAAGTGCTGGGATTTCAGGCATGAGCCACCGAACCCAGCCTGGCTTGCTATTTTTGTGGCTTATTTTATTTGAAAACATTGTTTAAAAACGGAGACTAGAGGACCTTAAACAAATGACATTTCTGAAAAGACCCTCCTTTGTTTTACTCGCTACTTCAAGCCCAGAAACTTGGAGGAAGGTTTTTGTAAAGAAAAATGTGTTGCTTTTGGACTTTAGTTAGTTAGTTTTTTATAACTGGAAACTGAGGCTGAGGCTTTAAACATGACTTTTTTAAAGTCATGTCTACATTTTACAGCAGAATCTTTTGCTTCTAATTTCATTCTTCTTTATAACAGAGGGTTTTAGTTTTCTTAGCTTTTGCCTGTTACTTTGTTTTATATTGGAAACTGTGCAAGGAAACTTGAAGCAGTAGCACATATTGGAAAACTTTTTTTAAAAAGCCACTTTAAAATTATAGAGACAGGCTTCAGACTGCATATTTCTGCTAATTTTGTTTTACTTTAAAGCTGAAGCTTTTAATTGCTTGTTGTGTATTTATACCATACGGTATTTCAGTGTGGATAGTGGCTAAATTCATTCATCCTTTATTTTATTCAAGACATATTTACTGAAATAAATTCTGTCCCAGACACTCCTCCAGGCTTTGGGAAAGAGCAGTGAGAAAACAAAGTTGCTGGCCTGATGATACTTGGATTCAAGTGGAGTCTCGGTAGAATATTCTGTTTGAAAGTAGGGGACAAGGTCTGTGGCTGGTCGGTAGATTTGGAGAATGAAGCATATGAGAGTCTAGTTATGGGTCCAGCAGGAGCTGGGGGAAGGGACTATAGCTAGGAAGAGTGGCCTAGAAACGGGACGCTCAGGCTGGGGGAAAAGACGGAGGCTGGATTTGGATCATTGGATTGGGGGCTAATAGGATTAGAATGTTACTGTATGCCATCCAAGGGATGAGGGTGTTAAAAGAAAAACTTCAGACAAATTAAATTTAACAGACTTTAATTGAATAAAGAACAATGCATGAATCTGGCAGCTCCCTGAAGCAGAATAGGTTCAGGGATACTTTGCTGCTGCTGTGTGGTCAGAGAGGACTTATGGACAGAGAAGGAAAAGTGATGAACAGAAAACAGAGATGAGGTGCAGAAGCAGCCGGATGGGTTACATCCCCACGTTTGCCTTATTTGAGCATGGTGTGAACACTTGGCCGCCTTTGATTGCACAAAACCCTGTGACTGGCACAAGAGTAGGTTGCAGTCTGTATACACATCCAGTTAGGTTACAGTTCAGTATGTATGGAGAAATCTTTAGGCCAAACTTAAAATATGTAAGGAGGCAGCTTTAGGTTAAACTTAATTTAACAAAGGGATAGAATGCACCACCATTTTTCAGATAGTGTGCCTGTAATGCTGACTAGACAATCTGAAAAGAGTCCCACTGTAAATATGTAGAAATGCCTTTCTTCCAATACACATATACACACATGTATATGGCAGGGGGTGGATTCATTCACACATTTTTATTTCATTTGGCAAATATTTACCCTGTGCCAGGCACTTATCTAGGCTTTGGGATATGACAGTGAACAAATAAAATCCTTGGCCTCATGATGTATTGGTTCAAGTGGGTGTATATCAAAATAAATACCTTTAAAAATGCATAGGCTGGGCAACATAGAAAGATCAGGTCTGTACAAAAATTTTTTTAAAAATTAGCAGGGTATCGTAGTGTACACCTGTGGTTCCAGCTACTCAGGTGGCTGAGGTGGCAGGATCACTTGAGTGCAGGAGTTCAAGGCTGCATAGAGCTGTGCTTGCACCACTGCAATCCAGCCTGGGCAATAGAGTGAGACTTTGTCTCTTAAAAAAAATGCACAGCTGAGCTAGAATCAGGTCTAGACATTAAGACAAAATATTAAGCTAATACCATTGCTTTGCTGGAATGTCGGGCTCAGTAGTATGGGGAGTTGATTTTAATGATTGGGTTTGGGTAGGAGAGAAAACCCTGAGCCCATGCAAGGAGAGATTTGTAACTGAGACTCCTCTGTAGAGTCATGCCCCTTAAATTGGACCAGAAAAAAATTCGCACACTTGTCCAGAAAGACAACAAGGAAGCTTATATATCTCAGTGTAGAGGAAAAATTCAGCTCTATGGATTCAAAGCCACAGAGCAGAACCTCACCTGAATTTGTGAATTGAAATTGCTACAGCCAAGTCTTCTGGAAAAACATTCAGAAACTTTAGTAGTAGCAAATGTAACACTGCCCTAAAATTATGTTCCTACCACCCACACCATAGAAGATTCTCACAAAAAACCAATCCTGACAAAGATGAGCTCATTATATCTATACAATGTAACTCACATGACATGACAAAATAAGTGAGAGTAAACAGAAACAAAGAGTAAATGTACAGCTCCCATAACTAAGTTTAATGGAATGTCAATCTGAGAACTACTCCTTTAAAAAATTAAAGACAAATCATGTCTTTAATTTTTTAAAGGAGTAGTTCTCAGATTGATATTTTGTCACTTAGAATAATATGTACTACTACTTGAGTGAGCTCTTTTGGAAGTTATATCAACTGCTAGTGTTTGCTTCTTAGTAACTGAACTGAATTTACAGTTCTGTCCTAGACATTTTGCACTAAAGTAGCCGAATCCATTCTTGTGTGTTTTTGTTAATGTGCTTTGTACCACTGGTGAGTGCTCCATGGTTTCCTTACCTGCTGCCACAGAATGTTATTTTACATCCCTATGGCTATTGCCAAGGCTACAAAAAAGAAAAGCTATATTTGTATGCAACACTAACCCTTTGACTGCTAATGTATGTTTCTGCTTGCTGTGCCTTGTTATGGCTGCTTTTTTTGTGCTAATAAAGTATGTTTGGTGTTCTCAAAAAAAAATAAAATAAAATAAAAAATAAAAATAAAAAATTAAAGACATGAGAAGCAAACAAAGCCCTTAAAGAATGAACAGGACCCTGTGATGCAAGGCAGGCAGATTTGTAAAATCAACCAATCGGAAGTCCCAGAAATAAAGACAGACATTTAAGGTTAAAAAAAAAAGAAAAACAAAAAAAAAAAAAAACATGGAAAATGGGATGAGGCATAAGCAATGAAAGAATTAGAGAACTGGAAGATTAGTATGAGGAAAGTATCTATAATGCAGCAGAAAGAGAAAAATACATGGAAATATGAGAGGTTAAGAGATATGGCAGTTAAGAGAATGAAAATTAGAGACACAAATAAATTTTAAGAAGAAATAATAGAGAGAATTAGGAAATAACATGCAAGAAGATGACTGGGTTCTTTCCAGAATTTAAGAAACATGTGACTCTTCAGACCAAAGAAATAAATGAATTTCTGCTTAGACAACAGTGTTGCAACAAAGACTAATTATTCTCATCATAGACAAAGAGTACATTTTTTTTTTTAACTTTTAAGTTCAGGGGTACATGTTCACGTTTATTATATAAACTGTAAACAAACTTGTGTCATGGGAGTTTGTTGTATACATTATTTTGTCACTCACATACTAAGCCTAGTATCCACTAGTTATTTTTCCTGATCCTCTTTCTCCAACCACCCTCCATCCTCAAGTAGACCCCAGTGTGTGTTGTTCCCCTCTATGTGTCCATGTGTTGTCATTATTTAGCTCTCACTTCTTAAGTGAGAACATGTGGTATTTGGTTTTCCGTTTCTGCATTAGTTTGCTAAGGATCAAAATCTCTAGCTCCATCCATGTTCCTGTAAGGGACACGGTCTTGTTCTTTTTTATGGATGCATAGTATTCTTATGCAGGAAGTGAAGAATATCATCTACAAAGGAATGAAAATCAGAATGACAGACTTCTCAGTAACAACCATGGAAGCCAGAAGACAAGGCTTCCATGGTTGATATGGGTCCATCCTAATTCTCACTCAACATTGAGGTCACAATTTTTTTTTTTTTTTTTTTGACGGAGTCTCGCTCTGCCGCCCAGGCTGGAGTGCAGTGGCGTGATCTCGGCTCACTGCATCTTCTGCCTCCCAGGTTCAAGCGAGACTTTCCTCCCTCAGCCACCCAAGTGGCTGAGACTACAGGCACCCGCCACCATGCCCAGCTAATTTTTGTATTTTTAGTAGAGATGGGATTTCACCGTGTTAGCCAGGATGGTCTCGCTCTCCTGACCTTGTGATCCGCCCATCTCGGCCTCCCAAAGTCCTGGGATTACAGGTGTGAGCCACCATGCCCGGCCTTTTTTTTTTTTTTTTTTTTTAATTGAGACAGAGTCTTGCTCTGTTGCCCAGGCTGGAGTGCAGTGGCTCGATCTTGGCTCACTGCAGCCTCCACCTCCCGGGTTCAAGCGATTCTCCTCCCTCAGCCACCTGAGTAGATGGGACTACAGGTGCGTGCCACCACGCTTGGCTAATTTTTTGTATTTTTAGTGAAGACGGGGTTTCACCATGTTAGCCAGAATGGTCTCTATCTCCTGACCTTGTGATCTGACCATCACAATTTTTAAAAAATAAATAAATAAACACAGAGAGAACTACCAGCCACATCTTCCCAGATGAAATCACTAAAGGAAACACTTCAGGAAGAACATTAAGCACACACACACACAAAAAAAAGAAAAAAAAAAAGACACAGAAAAAAAGCACTCCAAATGAAAAAGGAAGCATAACTAAATCCTGTAGCAAGTTTTTATCTTTAAAAGACATAAGAAAACACTATGAACAACTTTAGGGAAAATAAATTTTAAAAAGTAGACAAAATGGATTATTTCCTAGAAAGATGTGACTTACAAAAATAACTCTAGAAAAAAATAGTAAGCCTCAGTCCAGCTTCGCAGGTATGTTTTATTTAAATGTCTTAAGGAATATTATAATTCTTTAATAAAAAGTTTAAGGAATATTATAATCCCAGTATTTTACAAACTGTTACACATCAGATAGAAAATCAGATCTTGTTTTCTACTATTTTTATGAGGCAAAATAACCTTAATACCAAACTAGGCAAGCACATTAAGAAAGAAAAGTTATTAATCAATCTCCCTCTTATACATAGATACAAATAAAATATGTCACAAACCTAAGAATAGAACTGTTGTAGATATATATTTTAAAACCCATCAGAACCAAGTAGATGTCTTCTAAGGAAAGCAACATAATATATCTTTATCTTTAAAAGACATAAGAAAACACTATGAACAACTTTAGGGAAATAAAATTCATCGTATTAATGAATTTGGAGAAAAAATAGATTCAAAATAATTATTCTGCCGAACTTCAACACCCATTTTGATACAATCTGTAGCACACCAAGAATAGAGAAATCTGCCTTAACTTGCTAAAGCATATCTATTAAAAAAAAAAAAACCTACAACAAACATCCAAATTAATGCTGAAATTTTTAAAATATTTGCTTTAAAGGAAACAAGATGCTTCATCTCTGTTTTTAGTTAACATTTTATTTTGGTTTGTTAGCATGATAAGACAAGGAAAAAAATAAAAGGATAAACACAAAGAAAAAAACAAAATTATTATCAAATGCATATGTTTGGCTGCTTAGAAATTCCAAGTGACTATGCTGAAAGGTATTGGAATTTATGAGTTTATCAGTGATGACAGAAACAAGATAAATGCACAAATAATTAATAGCATTCTAAAATACCAACAGCTTGCAATTATAAAATATAACTCAAAACAGAGTTACAATTTGTAATAGGAACAAAAATTAAAGTGTAGAATAAATGTAACAAAATATGTTTTTAAAAAAGAAAATTATAAAGATTTTTAAATGCCATAAAATACACTCAAAATAAATGAAATTGAAGATTTATTATTATATAGATCACAACTGTCCTTACACGAACCCCAGTGAC
The DNA here is from genome assembly GCF_000001405.40 of Homo sapiens. NCBI lineage: Eukaryota > Metazoa > Chordata > Mammalia > Primates > Hominidae > Homo > Homo sapiens. The sequence goes on along the minus strand of NC_000008.11, from coordinate 12,846,041 downwards.
ACTCAATAAATTCAGTGAAGTTTCCATCATCATCTGAACAGTATTGCTTTTATTTGTTTATTTTGTAGAATTTGATGAGCTGATCCAAAAATTCACATAAAAAATAAAAAAGCAAGACATTAAAGAAAAGTAAGAAGAATAGAAAATTCACACTACCAGACATCTGGATTAACAAATAAGGTTTTTGTTTATTAGAGCCATGTGATATTGTCATGGGAATGAACATGTAGACTGTTGAAAGAGAGCAGAGAAACAGAACTCTAATGCTCCTTTGCAAGTGTCTGTAATGACACAGGATATACTATATGAATCAACCAGGAAAGGATGCAGCGTTGAATAAATGATGCTAGCCAAATGGAGAAAGCTAAATTAGATCCTTACTGTATCCCAATCAACAAAACAAAGATAGATTGAAAAATCATCGTGAAAAACAAAACTGTGAAACTTTCAGCAAAAAACATAGAACAACTTTATGACATCAGAGTGTAGAAAGATTCCTTAAGACCTCAATATCACCAGAGTTTCTGTGCAGAGGACCCAGGCTCCAGCTGTGGCTACCACACAGGGTTTTCATACCAAAAAAATAAGGCGAATTAAGCCTGTTTAAAGAAAAAAAGAAAAAGGACCTCAAAAGCCCAAGCATAAAAGAAAAGATTTAAATTTAAACTTCTGGTGACAAAAGATGTTCAAAAGTGAAAAGTCAAAGCATGAACTTGGAGAAGCTTTGTGCAATCTAATGACTAACAATAGATTATAGAGGTTGTAAATCACCTTACTTAGCTTTGTTAAAATGCCATCTTCTCAGTGAAGTCTTAACTGACCACCCTGTTTAAAACTGTAACCTTCTCACTTTGCTATTTCCTAGCTCCCTTCCTTGCATTATTATTATTATTATTATTATTATTGGGTTTGTTTATTTATTTATTTATTTATTTATTTATTTATTTTGAGACGAAGTCTCGCCCTGTCGCCAGGCTGAAGTGCAGTGGTGTGATCTCAGTTCACTGCAACCTCCACCTCCCGGAGTTCAAGTGATTCTCCTGCCTCAGCCTCCTGAGTAGCTGGGACTACAGACTTGTGTCACCTTGCCCAGCTAATTTTTGTATTTTTAGTAGAGAGGGAGTTTCACCATGTTGGCCTGGATGGTCTCGATCTCTTGACCTTGTGATCTGCCCGGTTTGGCCTCCCAAAGTGCTGGGATTACAGGCATGAGCCACCACACCCAGCCTCTTGCATTATTTTTTTCCTATGCTATACAGTTTACTTTTTTATTTATTGTTTCTTTCTCCCTACCAGAACATGAACTCCATGAGGGTAGAGATATTTGTCTGTTTGGTTTACTGCTCTATTCCTGGCCCCCTACAATTGTTTCAGGACCATGTACATTCTCAACACATATGTTTTTAAACAAAAATATGTATTTATGTTTGTATTCAGCAGTTTTTTTAAAGTCCTACTAATAAGTAAGAAAAAGTCAAATAACAACATAAACACGGACGAAATATATAAGTAGAAATTCAGAGAAGGAAACCCAAATAGTTAGTAAACGTGAAATATTCAACTTCACTAGAAATCAGCAATTAAACTAGTAAGTAAGGAAATTAGAGTCACCAAAAGTAACGCGTAGGTTCACATGTCATGCCAATGATGTTTAGGAATAGGAACCCTTAGTACTCGTTAGAAGTTTGAACTGGTACCACTTTGGGGGATAGCTTGGCAGTATCTGATAAACTGAAGATTACACACTGGGAATTTCAGTAATTTCACTCCTGAGTGTATACTCTAGAGCAGTGGTTCTCAGAGGGGTGAATTTTACCCCCTAGAAAACATTTGGCAATGTATGGTGACGTTTTTAACTATCACTCTGTGGGGGTGGAGGATGTTACTCACATCTAGTGGGCAGAGGCCAAGGATGTTGCCAAACACCCTACTATGCACAAGACAGACCCACAAGAGAGAATTATCTAGTCCAGGCCAGGCTCAGTGGCTCATGCCTGTAATCCCAGTGCTTTGGGAGGCCAAGGCAGAAGGATCACTTGAGGCCAGGAGTTCAATACCAGCCTGGAAAACATGGTGAAACCCCAAATCTACAAAAAAATTAGCCAGGCATCATGGCACATACCTGTAGTCCCAGCTACGTGGGAGGCCAAGGTGGGAGGATGAGCTGAGCCCAGGAGATTGAGGCTGCAGTGAGTTGTGATCACGCCACTGCATTCCAGCCTGGGCAGCAGAGTGAGATCGTTTCTGAAAGAAAAAAAAAAATTAGTCCAAAATGTCAATAGTGCTGAGGTTGAGAAATCTTCCCCCAGAAGCATGATCAAAAATGTTCATCACAGCACTATTTGTCATAATAATAATAAAACAGAAACAGACATAATTCTTAAGGTGGAGTGTCATGCAAGATTCACTTGAACAAATTACAAATCAAGTATCAACATGATACACCTCAAGGTAAGATAGGAAGGAGAAAAGACAAATTGCTAATGGATATGTACAAACATAATTTTTATAAATTTATAAGCCAAAACAATGCCATAGGCAATTCTCACAACAACTTGGCCCATGATCGAATACAATTGGGCATAGACACCTGTCCTTCTCAACAGGCCCTCTTGGTTTCACTAACGTTATGGAAACAAGGCCTCATGTTTTATCCAGATTCATTTTGTTTTTGAGAAATAAAACATGACAAATAGAGTCAGAGAACAATCCATGTTTTTCCATTCCATCCCTCCCAGAGGTAACCATGCTACTGATGTTGGAGCGTATCATTTCCATGTATTTTTCTTTTTTACTTTTATCGTGTATGTATGTAACAAAAAACAAACCTTGTTTTTTTCTTTTATTTTTTCTTATATTTCTCTGTACTTGAATAAGGTAAATTGTTCTCCCACAGTCTTATTTATAGCATTACTCTTTTTAATGAAATTTTTTGTTCAATTATAAGAAAATAAATGTAGCTTGAAAGGTTTTGTTGAATAGTGACCCTTGGATATTCCAGAGGTGAGAGGTAAGATACCCTGACCTTCTTGCTCCATCCCTTCCCTAGCTTCTGGCCCCCGAGTGATCATTCTTTGGCAACAAAAGTTTGGAGAGGGCTGGCAAATAAATAAGCAGTGTCACACGTGATGATTCCATCTGTAAATCAAAGAACCATTTTCTAATCCTAACTACTAGGGAGGCTGAGGCAGGAGACTCTCTTGAGTCCAGGAATTGGAGATCAGTCTCGGCAACATAGTGAAAACCCCATCTCAAAAAAATTCTTTAAAAAATTATTATTAGTTTTTAAAAGAATCATCTTCTCACTGAGCACAGATTTCAAAAAAGAAGTCATTGAATAGAGGCCATTTCAGCCACATCCACAGAAATAAGTGCAAAAGGCCTAACACTAGCAGGACAGCCTGGAGCCCAGGTTACAGGATCGCTGCCCTGCCTTGAGCCACTTGTAGGATGAGGTCCTTTTGCTCAGTCTTCATTGGATGGGCTCCAACCTAGAGCCCTGTTGGACTAAAGTTTTCACTTTGGGCCTACTGTGTCTTCAGGGAGGCAGTCATAAGAGAGATCATTTAAAATCCCAGGCACAGTCTGCATTTTAAAGAATGACAAGGAATTTAATCTAAAATCATCTCTTTCTCTTTAAAGAGGGAAACACCCCTTTAAAAGTTTGGTGAGAGGAGGAGGTTGAGAGCTGGAGAATGTCTAAAGGCTAAATCATCCAGTTATCCCTGTTCATCAACTAAAAGAATAAATGAAGAGTCAGCACCACATAGCAGCACAGCTCAATCAAAAACTGTTTTAAGAGTTTACGATGTATAAGATACCATACTAGGAGCTTTGAGACATATACAGAAGAACTAGCTGTGGCCCCTGATCTCACAGAGTTTACTCTGTATTAGACAGAAATACATGTGAAGGTAAAATACCAGTAGCATGCACTAGAGAGAATCAGAAATCTATTTCAACACTTTAAGAGATATCACAGAACATCTACATACGTGATCCACTCTTGACTAACTGGCAGTGGTAATAGCTTGATAGTGACCTGGTTATTATTTTGATGACTCTTCAGTGCTTACTTTGTCCTAGGCATCATATGAAGTGCTTTTCTTTCTTTCTTTCTTTTTTCCTTTTGAAGATAGAGTCTCACTCTGTTGCCCAGGCTGGAGTACAATGGCATGGTCTCAACTCACTGCAAACTCCGCCTCCTGGATTCAAGCGATTGTCCTGCCTCAGCCTCCTGAGTAGCTGAGATTACAGGTACACATCACCACACTCGGCTAACTTTTGTATTTTTAGTAGATACTGGGTTTCATCATGTTGGCCAGGCTGGTCTTGAACTCCTGACCTCAGGTGATCCACCTGCCTCGGCCTCTCAAAGTGCTGGGATTACAGGCATGAGCCACCGCCTCTGGCCTGAAGCGCTTTTCTAATGTAACCCAGGTGTGTCCAAGTCCTTCAGCTTGCTGTAGGTCTGTTTCCTTTAATATTGACATAAAATATCATGAGCCTCTATTCCTCATGACATGCAAAGGCCAACATGTCCCACAGTATTTGGGGAGCTTTCTGAGTATGTGCATGAAGGGTTAAACATGGGAGGTGGGTGTTATACTCTCCTGTCTCCTCTCCCCTCTTAAAAAAATTAGTGTACCAAATTCATCTAGTTGGTAAATGACAAAGCTGGAATCCAGACCCATATATACTGACTCTAAAGCCTTATCCACTTGACCACCCTATTTATCTCTGGGACAGAAAGCAAGGGCTATAGGCATTCAAGAAAGGGAAGATACTGAAAGGGTGCAGAGGAAAGATTTCAGCTGGGAGGAAATACACTTAAATGAAAACTAGTCAAGACAGGACGAGATAAAGATTCATAATGAGGAAGTAAAGAACTGTGGCTATTTGGTGAGGTGTAAAGAATATTAAAAATGACTTCAGGCCTTCTTGTTTGGGTAGCAAGCATTCTTCATTCAACCAACTGATTGTTATTGATAAGTCAGAGACTGTGTATGTCAGGTGTTGTGCCAAGTGCTTGCAATAGTAGCAGGAATAGAAAAGTTAGGGATGAGAAGATAGGGAGTCTGCAGTCAGACTTAAAGAGGTTGCAGTTCTGAGATACTTTCCAATGCAATGTCCAACAGGCAGCAGGAAATACCAAACTCATTTGCCTGAAAGAGGAAGGCACTCAGAGAACACCAGGGGGCAGCACGTGCCCAGCAACAAAAGTGAAGCAGGCCTAGCTAGTGTCAATTAATATTTTGCATCTGAAACATATTAAAACAAAACATCATTTCCTTAGGCCAGTACTTTTAAAAATTTAGAAGTAATGTTAATTCACTAAATGCTTGTCTAAGCACAAAATTTCTTTTTTTTGGTTTGTTTTGGTAGAAGGTTAAGTGTATTAATATTGCTTAGCTTTTACATAACATGATTTATTAAAATAGTGCAAAAATATGCATATGAGTTGGGCAACAGTCTTCCAACTGGACACATATTTCTAACATTATTAAACTACCGGCTGGGCGCGATGGCTTACGCCTGTAATCCTAACATTTTGGGAGGCCAAGGCGGGTGTATCACCTGAGGTCAGGAGTTCGAGACCAGCCTGGCCAACATGAGGAAACCCCATCTCTACTAAAAATACAAAAGTTAGCCGGGCGTGGTGGTGTATGCCTGTAGTCTCAGCTACCTGGGAGGCTGAAGCAAGAGAATACTTGAATTTGGGAGGCAGAGGTTGCAGTGAGCCCAGATCATGCCACTGAACTCCAGCCTGGGTGACAGATCGAGACTCTGCCTCAAAAAAAAAAAAAAAAAGCAAGAGGGAAAGAAGGAAGGAAGGAAGGAAAAGAAAAATCATACATTACCATGTTCACAGTTTATAAGCTAACAGTTACCCATATGGGCAGGGACAAAAATAATGTAACCGAAAATTTTGAGGTTAGATTATTGTTCCATGAGGTGAATGTTTTGTTACATAATAAGCACTTTATGTTCCTATGTGTTTCATTTAGATTTCTTTCTATGTTTAGCATAGCCCATGTTTCTCTGCCATCTCACCCCACCTTCCCTGACACTAAGTGCTCTTAATAACCCCTTGCTTTCAGGTTGTTACATCTTTCTCTCACAATTAGTTCTCTACTTTCTCACTTCATGTACTCACAAGTCTCATTATAACACCACAGTGCTCTATTATTAGGGAAGGAATCAGTGAGAAAGCTCAACTTTGAACCAACGCAGTGAAAGAAGACCCACTTAGAACAGAGACAACACCCCCATGCCTCCAAGCTAAGAGTTTTATAGATGCTTTAGAAAGATGCAATTGGTAATTAATGTGAGACTCACACTATGTATATGACGGTTTATATGTCTGTGATTTGTCTTTTGATGCATAGATTTGTCAATAATAGTTAATTTCAAACTGTGAATTCGTTCTTCTCAATAAGTTGACTTGTTATCTTTATATAATTCCACATTATTGAAATTATTTAGCTATTGATCCATAGGGCATCCATCAAAGTAAATAAAAACAAAAAAATATTTAGAAGAAACTTATAAACAATCCATCCATCAAAACAGGTGTCTGTTTCTGGAATTTAGTTGAACTCAAGAAGGTAGAAAAAGAAGAGGTGTCTATAACATAAAGGAAAACTGGCAATAAAAGGGGAAAAGATGAAAGAAAATAATTAGGGAAAACATGATCCTCAAGTGGAAGGACATTTTGTAAAACAACTGTCAATATCACGAAAGACAAAGAAAGTCTGAGGAACAGTTGCAGTACCAGGTTAAGGAGACATGGCAAGGAAATGTGAGGTACGACCCTGGATTGGATCCTGAAGTGTGAAAAAATTGCTATAAAAATTATTGTGATAATTGAGAAAATTTAAATATGGACTATATATCAGATAAAGTATTATATCAATGTTGCATTTCCTGAATTTGATCCTTGTACTGTGGTCGTAGAAAAGAATATTCTTATTCTTAGGAGACAGCGGTAGAAGTATTTAAATGGAAAGGGGCATGATGTCTGCAACTTAATATCAAATAGTTTCAGAAAAAAGGTATACAGAGAGGGATAGGGTGAAAAATCAAACAGAAAATGTTAATGAATGTTGAATCTAGGTGAAGTTTCGAGGTATGTGGAAGTTCTTTGAACTATTCTTATGACTTTTCCATATATTCATTGCTTTTCCATATATTTATATAGAATAAATATATTTATATTTATTCCATAAATATATATAGCATATATATTTATATGACTTATAAACCATCATATACATAGTGTGAGTCTCACATTAATTACCAATTGCATATTTCTAATGCATCTATAAAACTCTTAGCTTGGAGGCATTTATAGGTACTTTAATTTAAAAGTAATAAGGATAATAATAGTGGTAATAATTCAGAGCCACTTGACCAAGAGCTTCACACTAGCTACATTTTTCTGCTTCAAATGAGTCTCCTGTGGTTGGACACCTTTGTCTTATCATCTGTGATACCTATAGACATAAGCATGCCAGTGTCTGTGTACAGAGTTTACGTTAAATATCTTTCATTTTAATTGATTTGCATATTTATTTAATACATTATTAAATATTGTTTTCACAGAAAAATTATCAGTACAGCATGAAGAACTTCTTTTGTTGAATCATGGAATGTAAGTTACCAACTTTGATATCCCAGAACTGATGCAAGGCAGGTGAGCCCCACAGTGAGGCTCAGCCCACAAGGGTTCTTGGCTTTGCCCAGGAAAGAATTCACAGGCAAACCGGAAGTAGAAGAAACAGCTTAATTGAAGCGTCAGTGTTCCCCCTCTGGTGGTGTTACAGCTCCGTGACTGCTCCTGCAGAGCAGGGCAACCCCCTAGGAGAGAGTAGCAGCTCAGGGCAGTTTTGCAGTCATATTTATACTCACTTGTAATTGCATGCCGATTAAGGGATTATGCAGAAATTATGGTTTATGCAGAAATTTTTAGGGAAAGAGTAATAACTTTTGGGCCATTGGGCCATTGCCATGGAAAGGAGTGGTAGCGCTGGGGTGTTGCCATGGCAATGGTAAATTGACATGGCACACTGGTGGGTGTGTCTGATTGGAAAGCTTCTCCCCGCCCGCCCAAATCCTGTTTTACCTAGTCCTCAATCTGGTCTGGTGTCTGAGCCCCACCTTTGAAGTTGAGTCATGCATCCTACCTCAGAACCGCAGAATACTTTAGTGCACATTTCCTACAAAACCACAATTCAACCAACAAAAATCAGAGAATTAACGTGGATACATAATTGCTATCTAATCCTCAGACCCTGTCTCACGAGTTGTCCCAATAATGTCCTTTATAGCTAATGGATCCACTTTAGAACCATAAGATGAATTTAATTGTAGGTCTGCTCGTCCTACTTCACTCTAGAACTGTCTCTTTGACTTTCTTGACTTTTATGACCTTGGCACTTGAGAAGATAACAAGAAGTTTAGTTGGTATAGTGTGCCTCAATGTGAGATTGTCTGTGGTTTCCTCATGATTGGATTTAGGCTAGTGTCTTTGGCAGGATCGTTACAGAAGTGAAGCTGTGGTCTTCTTATCATCCACTATTGGTAGGACACTATTTTAACATGTGCTCTTACTGGGAATATTTGCTCTGGTCATTTGACTAAATCTAGTGTCTGCCAGACTTCCCAAGATAAAGTTATTCTTTTATAATAAGCGTTTTGTGGAGGGGTACTTTGAGAATAAATATCCCCTTGCTTATCACATTTACAAATTATTAATAGCAGTATGGATTCATAGTTTTCTATTTTATTTAGTAGGTTATAATTCACTAATATTATTATTTATTTTGAAATGCAAATTGTCCCAGATTTGGCCAGTAGGAGCCCCCTCAAGTTGGTCCTCAGTCCCTTTGACATGTCCTCATCATTCCCTGAGCACTTTCCTTTCTTTGCTGTATTTTGTTTTCTGAGATGGAGTCTCACTGTTGCCCAGGCTGGAGTGCAGTGGTGTGATCTCAGCTCACTGCAACCTCTACCTCCCGAATTCAAGCGATTCTCCTGCCTCAGCCTCCTGAGTAGCTGGGATTACAGGGACCTCCCCCACTACTCCTGGCTAATTTTTGTATTTTTAGTAGAGATGGTTTCACCATGTTGGCCAGGCTGATCTCGAGCTCCTGACCTTAGGTAATCCACCCACCTCTGCCTCCCAAAAAGCTGGGATTATAGACATGAGCCACCACGCCCGGCATCTCTGAGCACTTTTTAGTTTCTGACACAAGAAGTTTCTGTCTCATCTTACACTTTCTCTATCCAAACCCTGAAATAAACCAGTTTTATCAGGAAACTCGTTCTTTTTTGGTGGACAATGGTATTGAGATGACCAGATCTGGGTGCTAGTGATACAGAAGGGGGAAGGAAGCTATTTAGGCAGATAGTGAGGGGAAAGAGTCTTTGGCAGAACTTCCTTTTAACAAAAGGCAGCCTAAGAAATCACTTATTTTCTGACAAAGAGCAGCCTGGAAGATCAGGCTGCAAACATAAATAAGGAAGCTGGAAACTTGCACTGGGAGGATGCCAGCAGCTGCACAGATAGAAAGGGCTACCTGGGGCCAGGCACGTCCACCATGGGGGCTTCTCCTTTTTTTAGCACGTGCACAGTAAGAAAGAAACAGGCAACATGGAGTAGCTCAGGCTGAGTACCCGCCTGCATAATAAAAGGTTAGGATGAAGGCTGTCAGAGATTCATGCCCTATGCAGATGGCACACCTGGTTCTAACAGGTTTCTGTGCCCTATTTAGATCAGATACCACCTCCCCACCAAGTCATCTATAAACACCCCTGCATTTCACTTCAGCACGGCAGCCCTTTTTCCGGGACCCCTCTCTGTAGTGGAGGGCTGCTCTCTTTATTTCTCCTATTAAATTTCTGCTCTAAGCCTCACCCTTGGCCTGTCCCTGTCCTTGATTTCCTTGGCTGTAAGACCAAGAACTCTGGGCATCACCCCAGACAATGAGGCCGCTTCACTAGGAGTCTTGTTCACTATTTTTGGAGCATCACTTCACCCAGACCCTGGCAGTGGTCAGAGCCAGGAATATATGTAGATCTATTTATATGTCTTTATCTACCTCTGTGTATATTAAAAATCCACGTGTGGCTCACGCCTGTAATCCCAGCACTTTGGAAGACCAAGGTGGGCAGATCACGAGGTCAGGAGTTTGAGACCAGCCTGACCAACATGGTGTAACCCCATCTCTACTAAAAATACAAAAATTAGCCAGGCGTGGTGGCGGGCGCCTGTAATCCCAGCTACTCGGGAGGCTGAGGCAGGAGAATCGCTTGAAACTGGAAGACGGAGGTTGCAATAAGCCAAGATCATGCCACTGCACTCCAGCCTGGGTGAAAGAGCGAAACTCCACCTAAAAAAAAAAAAATTTTCCAAGTGTTCACACTTATACTGCTCATTCCAATCCACGAGCACTGGGTTCATTTACTTTTCTCCCCCTCCCTAACAGTAAGAAATCTGTCTCTTGTTACCCTCAGTCTATTTACTTGTTTTATCAATTCCCTGGTGTGTCAACACTGTGATTCCTGCCACCACCCACTCCCCCATAAGAATGTGTCGTTCCTCGTCACACTTGGGCTCCCATACTCCAGGATGTGGCTGCCATCTCTGCCTCCCTCCATGGACTCCCCTGGAGTTTCTTAGAGCTCTGACTCCCCAGGTGGCTAACCTCCTGCACAGATGCCTTCTCCCCCATCCTGGGCTCCAGCACTCCCACATCAGGCCACCTGTCTCTGGAGACATTCTTCCCACTCTCCTGAAGTTCTAACACCATTCGGGACATTATCCATGCATGCACTTCCTCCTCCCAATGCCCAAGAGTGAGAGTTCATTCATCTTCCAGAAGGCTTGTCTATTTGTCACCGTTATAAAATCAGATGAAAATAACAGGGAAAGTGAAATTTACATGGAGGGAATACTGCAACTGAAAACACGTCAAGGTATTTACAAGTTTCAATGCAGCAGGCTTGACTTACTGAGTTATCAATATGATAACCCATGAAGCTTTCAATTCTCTGAGCTCCAATCCTATGACATTTGTTGAAGTATTGGAGGCTTGGTAGACAGCATGGGATTCTGAAGCCAAAAAGACAGAACCTGCTCTTCCTCCCTTCCCAAGATTGTGGAATGATTTATCAGCATCCCAGATAATATCAAGAATTCATAGAATGTGCCTCAAAGCCTCCTCCATTTTAGCAAAGTCATCTGCCGATTTTGTTTTTGTTCTTAAACAAGCCTTCAGATGTGCCATATCTTCTCTTATCACTGAATGGCTCCTGTATTGAGCAGTTCTCTGCCCAGTATTTTCTTGAATGATTTGGGTCACCCTGGCACGATGATGATGGCACGCTGCATTTGTCTCTCCTCTTTTCTCTGACTTTCAAGAATCTGTAGGCAATTTAAATGGTGTGGAGGATGCCATTGACATGGTGCCTTTCTGGCCTCCACTCTCAGCCCTTGATCCCCATCTCAACTTTCAGCTTTTCACCAGAGGCAGCATTGTATGCAGGAAAGAAGGTGGGTTTTGGAGGCAGTCAGATATAGTTCGAAATCTGTTGAAGTGAAGCTTCGTTAACTTATCTGTAGAATACTGTCAAAATTTATACGCATTTTGCTAAATTTCTGTGAGGATTTGGGACAACATCAATATAATGGGGAACATAATTTGACCATTTTGTATGTGCTTTTTTTCTTTTTTACTTCCCGCTTTCCAAGTACATGGCCTTGATTCTAGTACATTCAAGGCACACATCAGCCTGAGAAAGGGGGATGATTTCTATAAAAGGAACGCAAAACAAAATTAAGAAACAACAGTGCAACAGCTAATATTCAATTTCTGTCATTGAAACTATGATTTGTGTTCTATCAAAAAGATACAGGCACTACCATGTTCATCACAGCACTATTCACAATAGCAAAGATATGGAATCAACCCAGGTGTCCATCAACGGTGGACTGGACAAAGAAAATGTGGTACATATACACCGTGGAATACTATGCAGCCTTAAAAGGAATGAAATCATGTCCTTTGCACCAGCATGGATGCAGGTGGAAGCCATTATCCTAAGGGAATGAATCAACACAGAAAACCAAATACTGCATGTTCTCACTTATAAGTGGGAGCTCACGCTTGTAATCCCAGCACTTTGGGAGGCTGAGGTGGGCAGATCACCTGAGGTCAGGAGTTCGAGACCAGCCTGGCCAACATGGTGAAACCCCGTCTCTTCTAAAAGTACAAAAAACAAATTAGCCAGGTGTGGTGGCACATGCCTGTAGTCCCAGCTACTCAGGAGGCTGAGACATGAGAATCACTTGAACCCAGGAGGTGGAGGTTGCAGTGAGCAGAGATCACACCACTGCACTCCCTCCTGGCAACAGGCAACAGAGTGATACTCGGTCTCAAAAAATAAATAAATAAAGTAAGTGCAAGCTAAGCGTTGGGTCCTTATGGACATAAAGATGGCAACAATACACACTGGGGATGATTAAAGGAGGCAGGGTTAAAAAACTACCAGTTGGGTACTATACTCAGTACCTGAGTGACAGGATGAATCTCACCCCAAACCTCAGCATCATACAATATACCCAGGTAACAAACCTGCACATGTACCCCATGAATCTTAAATAACAATTGAAAAATTAAAAAAAATTAAACCCCTATGGTTTAGTTGAAAAAGGCAAAACATTTAGAAGTTTAAAAACATAAGAAGTGTACTTTTAAATGGAGCAAAACAAAAGCCTATTGGGCGAGGCTTCTGCCCTCAAAAAAGATTAGCTGAATTCATTTTTTTTTTTTCGTTAGCATTGTAGGTTAAACTGTAGAGTTTTATGTAAGGCACGAACAGCAGAAAGAAGAGGAAAGCAACTTGCCCTTTTCCAGTCCTGAAACAAAAATGTAAAGGAATAGAGGGTGAGAAGGGAGAATTAGATGGAAGGAGAGCCAAGCCCAATTCTTCCCTGCAAAGTGTATTGTACATGCTGAGTTCATGCACTCTTGTCTTGTTGCTTATTGAGGTCCCAGGAAGGAGGATACCTCCCAAGCAGCCCCATACCAAACAGAACATCGTCCATCATGGTCAGGCAGAGAAGTGCCTGGAGTTGAGCTCCTCAGCTCCTCTTCCTTTCTACAAGGTAAGGACACCGAGTCCAGGGCCTGCAGGGCTGCTCAGATAAGGCAAAGTGATCCACAGCAAAGGCTGAGGATACATCATCTGGCCAGGTGACCACATGGAAGAGAAGGCAAGTTCAGGAGTCAACAGGCAGTGAGACAGGAGGAGACTCCTGGTCAGCTTGTGGAGGTGGCTGGCGCAGCCCAGAGCGTTGCCCAGAAAAATGGCTCATGCTTTCATGAGCCCAAAACAGCAGGGTAGGAAGCCGTCGATCAAGGAACATCAACCTGGCGGCCAGCAGATGTTGCCAGATCACACCCCAAATCCAGCACGAGATCAGGGTCCCTCTTTACCCCAAACCCAAAAGGCTGTGTGGTCTCCTCTCAGCGATTTCTATGCCAACTGCACTATCTTTGAGAGCAGGCAGGGAGAGAGGGGGTGTTTGGAGAGACCCCTTTGCTCTTAGCTTATTTCTTCGTTCTCTTACAATTTTTATCTAAATTAAATTTTTTAAATCCAAAAGTATTATTAGATTTTCTTAGGTTGGGCTGTTTAAACCACAATAAAGATTTAAGTTTTGCTTCATCCCCCAGAGAGTGGGGGAAAGGTACATCTAAGAAAGGTCTCACAGTCTATGAAGACTAAAGCTGTTCGTACCTGACTTGTTCCCACGACACTTTTAGGTGCAACTCAGACCCAATGACTTCCACCAGAATAAACAGCCAAGAAACTGAAAACAGGGCCTGAACACAGCCAAGTCATGTTCCAGGAATGGTTATTAACATCCCATCTGTCCCTGGATCTCTCAGCCAACTGTGAGAATGCCACTAGTGGCCAAGGATAGGAGACCAGGGAGGGCCAGTGACTTCCATTTACTTCTTTATTGATCATACCCAGTGAATTCACCTCTTTTCCATTTTTAAGGACCTGATGTTAAGAGCCTTGAATTTCATGAAAACAAGAGAAAGTATTAGGGAAGTTTTGCATGTGCTAATCTAAGACTTTCTGCTACTCTGGCCATGGTAGGACAGCGATATCAGCCATTTCTCATTCCCATGTGTCCCAGAAGATGACAACAGGGAAAAGCCTATATACCACATCTGAGTAGAGACTTAGGTTTTTATTCTTTTTTGTTTATGCATTTATTTTTATTTTATTTATTTATTTTTTGGGGAGGGTCTTATTCTGTCTCCCAGGCTGGAGTGAAGTGGTAGAGTCTGGCTCATTACAACCTCCGCCTCCCAGGCTCAAACGATCCTCCCACCCTAGCCTCCTGAGTATCTGGGACTGCCAGCACATGCCACCATACCCAGCTTATTTAAAAAAAATTTTTTATAGAGATGGGGTTTCACCACGTGGCCAGGCTGGTCTCAAACTCCTGGACTCAAGCAATCCACCGGCCTCGGCCTCCTGAATTATGGGGATTACAGGTGTGAGCCACTGCGCCCGGTCTAGACTTACATTTTTAAAAGAGCCTTGAGCTCAAGTGAATTTTAAAGACTTGGATTAAAGGAAGAAAACAAATCACAAGGCAAAACAGGAGAGGAAAGTGCACCACCTGGAACTGTATCATAAAACATCAGTGATTCAGCCTGGGAAGCTGCCCTGCCAAAACAGTGTTTTCAATGTGCTTGGAACATAATTTGTGTTTAATTTTAAATGAAACTGATTAGAAGTATATCTATATTTTATTTACCAACAAGGCCAAATGACTCACTAGTGTGAGCTGTGTGTCTGCCCAAGCTTTGCATGTGCCAAAGTCTGTATAAAAAGATTCCTAATTCGGAAGAGACAATGGGAATTTTCTGACTGGCAGCTCTCATGTTGGTTAATTAGATGGTATTAAGAAGAAAAAGGTTGGCCACGTTATCTTGAAGAAAGTATTATTAGAGATGGCAGTAGATCCTAAAACATTTAATACCCTGTGTTGTAGTCTCTAACGTGCCATCTGGAGTAGTTACTTAGGGGAAATTACAATAAATTGATAGAAATATTAAAAAATTGCCTCAACTAACAAAAATAAAAGCTCTCTTGAGGAAAAATAGCATTTTAAGTGTAATTTGTGAATCATGATTTGACAGATGACAAATATAGGTTTTAAAGTCCCACAAGACTTGTGTCTCTCATTAGAATCACCACCATATATGTACTATTAAAACTCAAGGGCCGGGAGTCTTGGCTCACGCCTGTAATCCCAGCACTTTGGGAGGTGGATCACCTGAGGTAAGGAGTTCGAGACCAGCTGGGCCAACATAGTGAAACCCTGTCTCTACTAAAAATACAAAAATTAGCTGGATGTGGTGGTGCATACCTGTAATTCCAGCTACTTGGGAGGCTGAGGCAGAACAATTGCTTGAACCCAGGAGGCAGAGGTTGTGGTGAGCCCAGATTGCGCCATTGCACTCCAGCCTGGGCGACAAGAGCAAGACTTTGTCAAAAAAAAGTCAAGTAACTTCTCCAAGACCCATTTAAAACACACACAACCTATTAGAATGGCCCAAATCGGGAACGCTGACAACACCAAATGCTGGTGAGGAAGTGGAGCACCAAGAAGTCTCTTTGCTGGTGAGAATGCAACATGGTTCAGACCCTTTGGAAGACAATTTGGAGACTTCTTACAAAACTAAACATACTCATCATATGATCCCGCAATTATGCACCTTGGTATTTACCCTAAGGAGTTGAAAAGTTGTGTTCACACAAAACCTGCACACAGATATTTATAGCAGCTTTATTCCTAATTACCAAAATGAGGAAGCAGGCAAAATGTCCTTCAGTGGGTGAATGGATACGTAAACTGTGATACATCCAGACAATTGAATATTATTCAGTGCTAAAAAGAAATGAGTGATCAAGCCATGAAAAGAGATGGAGGAAACTTGCATGCCTATTACTAAGTAAAAGCAACCAATCTGTAAAGGCTGTGTACTGTATAATTCCGACTACATGACATTCTGGACAAGGCAAAACTAGAGACAGGAAAAAGATCAGCGGTGTGGTTACCAGGGCAAGGCGGGAGGGAGGGATGAACAGGCTGAGCACATTTTTAGGACAGTAAAACTACTCTGTAGGATACTATAATGACAGATACATGTCACAATCCATAGAATGAACACTACCAACGGTGAACCATAATGTAAACTATGGACTTCAGGTGATAATGCTGGGTCAATGTAGATTCATCAGTTGTAACAATTGTACTACTCTTGTGGGGGATGCCAATGCAAGGAGAGGTTATGTGGGTCCTAGGGCTGGGAGTCTACAGTTTATCTCTGTACCTTTCCCTCTGTTTTGCTATAAGCCTAAAACTGCCCCCAACAAATTGTCTTAAAAAATAGCTATCAACTCACAAATCTCATACATATTTTTCTTTATTTTCTGGGTTAAACAAAGAAGGAATATTCTGATGAATTACTTACTTTGTTTTTAAAGTCCCAGATAAAGAAAATTATATTATGACAACCTTGTTTCAAAAAGCTTCTCATGCTCTCTACCAATTAGATTAAGATAAGCAGAAAGACTGAAAAACTTAAGACTTCGTTCTCAGAAATAATAAACAACGGTGAACACACCTGCTATTTACTTACTTCTTGCCAAGTGCTACAAAACACCTGATGGAAAATGAGGGAAAAGTGCTGGTCTCACAAAGGTCATTTCAGCTTTATCTGGGCCCACTGGCAAGTAAACACCAGCAGAATCCTTTTGGACCAAGGACAGCAATATGGTAACTTTACAGTGAAAGCTTTCCATTTTTTCCTTCAGAAATGTCTTTTTTTTTTTTTTTTTAATAAGTGGGACAAAATGGAGGTTAGGAGATAAAACTCTCTTGTGACATGATTCATTTCTGGTTTTGCTAACAGAATTGCTCATCCTTTTCTGTTTGAGAAAAAGCATTTTATCATTCTGAAGCCTAGAGCATGCTTGGAAAAGAGGAATAGTTCTAACCTCAGACTCATAATTTCAAAGCATAGATCCTGTAATCATATCCAGTTATGTTTTGAAATTCAGTTCTCTTATGAGTAAATAAATAGGATTTGGAAAGTTTTGTTGACAAAAAAATTGTAAGACAGGATGAAAGCGTCTTTTAAATTAATGATCATGTGATAGCACACTGCAAAGAAAAAAGCCCAGATAAAACACAAGAAATAAAGACAAATGGAATAATTTTGGCATAGCCAAATTACCTGCTACAAAGAGGAGTAGCTATGCTTTAGGTGGAAAATAAATGAGGCACATTCTGTCCAAAACAAAACTTTTTGAAGGGAATATATTTCATTGAAGTTTTTAAAGTGCGGCTGAAGCTATTATCTAATTTTATGGATCCATTAAAAAATGCCTACGAGAGAACCCTGTGGACTCCCTTGCCTTTTCTGTATCATATTTAGGATCATATATCATTCCTTCTGAAGGGGGAAAAAAACCATCTAGCTGGTACAGGATAATCCCTCGATTAACCAGATAATTAAGCAGCTTCGAGCTGGATTCCGTAGTGCCAGTGACATAGCCCCTGGTGTTTACCCTAAAACACCTCCTGGACTCCATTACATCAGTCATATGCAGAGTCCCCAGGCCTTCCCACTCCCATCTGTGGGTAACTCAATCACTGACTTCTGTGTCACAAATGTTACTCCATGGTCAAAAGCACTCCATAGTTAGAGCGGGTTCTTTTTAGGGCATGGGATACCATTTCATGCAAAATGTACTTTGATATCTTCAAAGATTAAATGCTGTTTTATCACTGATTTGAAAGTCTGAAGACGTTTAAGAGCGCTTATGATCTGGTCTTATCATCTCTTTCCAGCTTTTCTACAACTCCCTCTCCCATCATCCCACACTGTTACACAGCTGGAATACTAGGGCGTATTTTTTTTTCTTGTTTGTGTGTTTGCTTAATGCTTCCACATAATTTGTTTCATTTGCAAAAATCTGCTTCTCCTCTAATTCTGATTATTTATGTCTCATGCACCCTTCCTCCAAGCAGCATTTAAATGGCATTTCCTCTGTGAAGTCTTCCCTGGATCTCTGTCAACTCCTGGCTAGACATAATCTCTTCTTTCCTTTTGCATTCTCATAGCAGTTAGCTAGTACTTCTCTTATAGACAGATGATCATATTTCACATAGTTCACATTTGTTATTCAAATGCAACTCTTATTTTCTCTAATAATAATAACAACAATGATAGCATCTACCACTGTTTTGAGGGCTTACTATTGGGCCAGCACTACCTAGCTGGTGCTTTATTCCTCACAGTAACTCTGTCAAGCAAATATTACGATATCTGTTTTACAGATGCACAAACTGAGGCTCAGAGAGCTTAAAGCAGTGTCCAAGTCCACAGAGCCACCATATGCTGGGATTCAGTAAGTCCCCAGTCCAACTCTAGAGCCTATTATCTCAGCCACTGCTATATTGCTAGATCCTGAAGTTCTTTAAAGGAAAAGGGAGGGAACTCACATTTACCAAACACCTAATCTCTGCATGGCACTGCAGCAGGAACTTTCATGCATATTATCTGATTTATCTGTGAGTGAGATGGTATAATTCACATTTTGCAATTGAGAAAACCAAGCTTCACCATAAATACATATGTTTTAAGGGGAGCTGACTGGATTAAGATATTTGTGGTGCATATAACTGATGAAAGATTGATAATCAGAATATATAAACATGTCCTACAAGTTAATGAGGAAAATAATAACTACCCTATAGGGAAATGGGCAAAGGAAATGAACAGGCAATTCATCAAAGAAGGAGGCAGAATGAGCCAAAATCTATGAAATGGTGCTTAGCTTTACTAGAATTTAGGAGAATACAAATTTAAACGAGTTACAATTTCATACTCATCAAATTGACAAAAATTAAACAATCTAATGGTCCCCAAATGTTAAGATAATGAGAATTTTCATACACTGGAAGTGGGAATAAAAATTGATACAGCCATTTTAGAGAGCAATTTCACTTCTACATATCGTAGAAGTGAAACTGGAGGTTTGAATTGTCCCAAGATAAGTACAAGTGTGTTCACTCCAGTATTGTTTAGAAAATATAAAACTATGATATTATAATATAATGGAATATGTTACTAAGAAAAAAGAATAATCTATATGCATCAAAAATAGATAAATCTTGAAAGCATAATGAGATGACACAACTAGAGGGCACTTTCTGTGAATCAGAAAGTGGGCTGTCACCAGAAATCAAATCTGCTGGTGGTGTGATCTTGGACTTTCCAGGCTCCAGAACTATGAGAAATAAATTTCTGTTGTTAATTTTTTTAAGTTGTGAAAGTGTTGACCAGCCTGGCCAACACAGCAAAACCCTGCGAAAAATACAAAAAAATAGCCAGGCGTGGTGGCACATGCCTGTAATCCCAGTTACTCCAGAGGCTGAGGCATGAGAATTGCGTGAACCCAAGAGGTGGAGGTTGCAGTGAACCGAGATGGCGCCACTGCACTCCAGTCTGGGCAACAGAGGGCCACTTTGTCTCAAAAACAAAAACAAAAAACCCACCACAAGCAGCAACAAAAACCCACTTATGGAAACAGAAGAGGAGGAGGAAACAGAAGAGGAGGAGAAAACAGGGAGGAGCCAGTCTTGAAGACATCATCACTCTGTATTTATACCTGATTCTAAGAGTCCCAGAGAAGCATCCTGATTATTTTGGGGCCTATTTTTAAAACAAATGAACTCATGGATTTTTGTCTGTTCCTCATGCCCAATTTACAAAATGCATCTGTGTGATGTTTTCATTTGATGAAACAGGAGATGAGTTCCCCTGGCTCCCAACTGTTGATGTTTGTAAGTGGATGGCATCTGGCTTATTCTCACCATTGCCATCTTAGAGCTACTGCAAGTCCAAGAACCTGATGCCCAGAATTATTAAGCAAATTTTTGGTGCACATTCCTTCAAAAAGAAAATCTACTGCACCTCCCGTCACTTGACTAAGTGACAGAAATTGATGGTATCAGGAAAACATTTAGTGAAATGCAGCTTAAGTCTATGGCCTAAACTACAAAAATGCACTGACTTTATATTAGGAGTTAGCAAAGCACAACAAGTTTTAACAAGATCTGAACAGACTGGAGGTTTGAATTGTATAAACATATTTTGGTGCCAAAAGAAAACATTGTAGAGTGGTGTGAGCACCTCAAAGAATAGACGGTTCTCCAGGAAAGGAGAACCTAGTGCCTCTCCTGAAGGGTAGGGTTGGGGAAGGGTTTAATACCTGGTTTAACATTTTCAAACTCTCTCTTCCTTGATCCTTTACTTATTTTAAATTGGTTTGCCATTTTGTTTGCATTTGATTTAAATTTATGTTTGTTTGTTCTACCTTTTTCAGTAAAATCCAGTACAAATAAACATAGAGAAAAATTGGAAGGCGCTTCTGGAAAGTACTTATTTCAACCTTCTCTCAGCCCATCCCAGTGAAGTTTCAGGGGATTAAAGTCTTCCATCTAGCCAAGAACAGGACCATCAAAAATTATACTATGTAAGTCTCTCTACTGATTTGTGTATGATATAGACTTAATTTGAACAAGGACTGTATTAATTGAAAAAAGAAGTTGCAATAGTGCATTCTGGTGGCAGGGAAAAGACTATATGTGGAAGCTGCAATCTGATCTGATCTGCTCAAAGTTAGTGACAGTTAAAGGGATTGTACATTGACTGTGTATCTATGAGCCTCAGTGCTTTGCCCAAAATGGCAGAGATACTTCCTCTTCTCATATTCCCATGTTTGCTGAATTATTAACCTAATACCACTGTATGTTGTCTATTACTCTGTAAAAAAATTACCTCAAAATTTAGCAGTAGAAAACCACAGACCTTTATTACACATAGTTTCAAAGGGTCAGGAACCCTGGTGTAGCTTAACTGAGTGGCTCTGGCTCAAGGACTCTCATGAGGCTGTCATCAAGGTATAATCCACGGCTGCAGTCTCATCTGATGACTTGACTGGGTATGTAGGTTCTGCTTTCAAGATGGCACACTCACATGGCTGTTGGAAGAAAGCTTTAGCTCCTTGCTGACAGGTGGCAGAAAGCCTCAGTTCCTTGCTCCATTAGGCACTCTATAGGTTGTTTGAGTGTCTTCATGATATGATAGCTGGCTTCCCACAGAGGGAGTGAACTGAGGGAGAAAGCAAGGCTGAACCACAATATCTTTTATAATCTAACCTAAGGAGTCACATGGCATCACTTCTGCAGTGTTCCACTGATCATCCAGACCAATCCTGATATCGTCTGGGAGGGTATTATCCGGAGAGTGACAGACAGGAGGCAGAGATCACTGCAAGCCATCTTAAAGGCAGGCTACCACAGCTACCCCTCCAGGTAATGAACTGTTAATATTTGCTTTAAAACTCTGAATTCCTGTTTCAAGTAACCTCTTTTCCCTAGTGCATTCAAGTTTATATTACCCTTGGGAATTAAAAAAATTGAAAATGTATAAATATTAGTGCTGGACTTTGTGTTGCCCCTCCAGAAGTATGTTCAAGAGAAGAGTTTCTTTTGGAGGGCAGGGGAAATAGTCTGGAATCAGATTGTGATGATACTTGCATAACATTATGAGTATATAATACTAAAACCATTGAACTGTGCACTTTAAAATGCTTAAAATAAGTTATGTGAATTTTATCTCAAAAAATGACTTAAAAAGAGAGGGCATGAATAGTATTATTATCAAATTGGCTGGCTTAGAAAGACTTAGGGTAGCTTTTAGCTCTTTCTGCTCTATTTGTTTTGTCAGCTCAAAATTTTAAGTATGATTAACAAGACACTATTAGGTCCTGGGAAAATGGATTCATGGAAATAAAGCTCATGATAGGTTGGAATGTGCTGGTGCAGTGTAATGACAAGGGTTTTCAGAGCACGTTGGCATACATTCTTGTGATCTGACTCCCATGATCCTTCCACTAAAACAATAATTATGGCATATTTTATTCTGGCCTAACAAGTGTTGAAAATGTTAGTAATGGACTTATGTATTGTTTGAGCAGTTCTCCCAAATGCTTTTTTTTCGGGGCATTTTTCACAATTTGTGATTTCACTTGGCAATTGTTTTGCATTATGTTGTAGTGTGTTGTCAGTTATTCGGAGAGACACCACAGTTTTTTGTCTTACATTTAATACTATTTATGGCTATGAGACCTGAGTCTGCCAAAGCTTCTTGAGCAGTTTTAGCTGCAACGTAAGCATCATCCTTATAAGTAAATAGGAAAACAAAGTCAATATCAACTAGCACTGATTGTCTCCATATACAAGAAATCATGTATATTGCATCATTTAATATTAAGCAATTGTCCTGAATAGTTGTTAGTCTTGCCATTGAGCTTCAGATTGACCTTTCCCAGAGGTCAAATAACCAGTTAAAAATATATCACCAAAACTACAATGCTCAAATACAAGATATCTGTCCACTTTGAAGCAATTCAGTGTATCATAATCAAATTGAACTGCAATTAATAATATTGAATTCATTCAACTAGATATGTACAAAGATTATATGTCAGCTGGAACTCTCCAAGAAGCCATTGTAGGATAAGCTGAAATGGCACAACTACTTAGAGGAAGGAGAGAAATAAACAAACAATTTTAGGTGCCCTAAACCACATTTCAAAATCATTTAGCTTAGTAAGAGGAGCTCTTTGAAACAGCAACTTATAGATAGATTACTTTGGAATATTGCTAACCAGAAAACATCAATTGTGGAGAATCACCTTACAGGAATACTAACATTTCATAGTAAATAGTTAAAAAAAAGATTTAATCTTGAAAAGTAACCAGGGGAATTGTAAATATAAGCTTATTTTATCTTATATTTAATAAAATATTGGTTTTCATTGCATGTATATATTAATTCTTTAAAATGAACAAACAATAAAGGAAATGTTTATGTATAAAGTTTTGGGGTGCATTGTCTTTCTAAAAATGTAGGTTGGCCCTTTTACACACCTTTCCTTTATGTGCCTCATTGATGCAGTGTGATGGTAAAGAGGATTATTTCACTAAAACATTCTAGGATTTGACCTGTTTCCCAGGGGCCATTCTTAATTCTCTGATACTGAAATCACATCATGCAATCATTGGCTCTCTTTTCCTCAGTTGTAAACTGCTGTTACTTTGTCAGGTCCTCATTATCAACAGATATGTGTATGATTTGAGCAGTTTCCCGAAATCTGTTTTTTCAAGTCAACTTTTGCATGATTGCTGATTTCACTTGTCAATTGTTTTCCATTATGCGGCATTGTGATAACAATTTTATTTCCAAAATCTAAAAAGAAAATCAGTGACAATCTCCCTAAGTGGACAGACAGTTCATTCGTGAGGGCTTTTGTTCAGTTGACATTTGCTTCCCTCTACAACCTTGTAACTCAAATAATAAATAGTGTGATATTGAGGCCATCCTCTTGGTAAAAGATGATGTGGCTTCCTGGCTTCTCACAACCCCAGTGGTATCCACCTCGACCATGGTACCCACCTGTTTTTAAGAGAATTATTCCTTACCACCCCCATTCCATTGCTGATGTGGTTTATAAAACAGCTACCTTACCTTTCTGGCCTCAATTATTTGTTTACCTGCAGAGACCTTTCTCAACATGGCCTGTCATAATATCGTATCTTCCCAGCCGTTTTGATTTTTGCAGGGAAGTGGACTTATATCCAAGGTCATGACAATCAAAATTTCCCTTACAGATTGTTTTTAGAAAAGAGCATGAAAGGGGATCCCTTTCCTCTCAGAGTTGATGAGCTGTCACCCGTTGTGTCTGCTGCAGCTTGGAGAAAGGAGAGGTGAAGTAAGAGACAAGCTATCATGCTGAGCAAAGCAGAGGCAGTAAATGAAGAGGAAAGTGGACGACATTTGAGTCCCCTGTGCTAATCATTACCAAGGCCACCTGCACTCTGATACGGAAGTGCTGAGAAGGGAAGAGCATGGTCCCTTTGAATAATATGGAAAGGGGAAAGGGAAGTGCTGGGTAGAGGAGGGCGTGGTCCCTGGCTAGGGCTCCACCCCCACGGACCTAGGTGAGGACAGGCACTCCTGCCTTCCTGCCCAAATGTTGCATTTCCCAAGACGACCCTGGCCTGCCACGCCCCCACCCTGGGCCTATGAAAACTCCAGACCCTAGCAAGGCAGAGACGCAGGTGGCCAGACATGGAGAGAAGCACATCAGCAGAAGACAAGGCAAGCGGCAGGCAGGCAGAAGAGCACACCAACTGACTGCGGCATGCCCGCAGGCCACTGGCTGGTGGGACGAGGCAGAGTTTGGCCAGGGCAGTCAGAGAGCTGGGGTGCCCAGTGGCCCAACTCCAAGGGAAAACCATCTCCCTCATAGTTCCCCATTGGCAGACAGCTATTTCCACTCAAAACTTTGCACTCATTCTCCAAGCCCGCTAGTGATCCAGTTCTTCAGTAGACCAAGGCAAGAACCGGGAATACAAAAAGCCCTCTGTCCTTGCAAGGAGGTAGAGCGTCTAATTGAGCTGGTTAACAAAAGCCGCCTATACATGCAAACTCAGAGCACCCTGTAACACATGCCCACTGGGGCTTCAGAAGCTGCAAACATTCACCCCTACAGAGTGCGGGAGGGAGTCAGAGCCCCACAGCCTGCCTGTCTGTATGCTTCCCAAGAGGTGTGAGCAGCAGGGCACTGAAGAAGCGAGTCACTCCCCATGTCTCATGCCCTGTGAGGGGGACAAGGTAACTTTTCCCGTTTCAACTCCATCCAATAAATTTCGCTCCTTGTCTCCCCCTACTCAATCTAGTGTGAGTTGAATTCTCTCTTGTAATCTAAAATTAATTATGGGTCCAAGTGTTAAGGCCCATTGGTTGCATTGCAGTCAACAGAATAAACAGCAGAATAAGGGAAACTCCGAACTTCACTGTAGTGTCTTCTGGGATCCAGTATCACTAGTATCACTAATAATAATAAAAAAAGCCACCAGGAGTGATAAAGAGGACGTGCCTGGGAGTTAGGAATTTGAGTTTCTAGATCCAGTTAACTCTTCTACTAACTCACTTGGGCTCATAAGAAGGTCACTTTTTCCCTCTAAGGTTCACTTTCTTCATATGTAAAATTAAGCCAATATTCTCTTCTTACCTTATTAAAGATCAATGCACCTCAAAGTGTCATGAACACGATTCTAATACGTGCTGCAATGATTAAATGCCGACTCAATAATTTGAACTGATTGTAACCTAAGGGATTATTTTTTCAAGCCACATCATTATACTGATCAGGCCATTGGAGACACAAAAACCACCCTTCCCATTTACCAAATTCTCCCTTATCATTCTGCGATCCACCACTCGCTTCGGCAGCACGTATATCATTCTATGATCCAGACAAAGAAGGAAGTGAGGAAAGATTCACAGTAAATGGGGGTGGGGAAGCATGCAACTTTCAGACAGGTCCTGATCATCTCATCTCATCTGTGCCTCTGCCCACTGCTTTTTGTTTTCCTCTCTCTTACCAAGTGCTATGGGCTCAACATGTCCCCTAAAATTCATGTGTTGGAAATTTAATCCCCAATGCAAGAGTTCTGGGAGGTGGGGGGTTTTGGGAGGTGTTTAGATCGTAAGAGCTCCATCCTCATGAACAGATTAATGCCATTAAAAAAAAAAAGCTTGATGGAGGGAAAAACTTGACCCCCTTTTGCCCTCCTGTTCCTCCTGCCATGTGAAGACCCAGCATTTCTCCCTCGGGAGGATGCAGCATCAAGCTGCCATCTTTGAAGCAGAGACCGCACCCTCATCAGACATGGAATCTACTGGCACCTTGATTTTGGACTTCCCAGATTCCAGAACTGTAAGAGAATAAATCTCTACTCTTTATAAATTACCCAACCTCAGGTATTTTGCTATAGCAACCCAAACAGACTAAGACATTACGTCCCGAGCAGAATTGTGGGTATGAGATGAAAGCATGACTCCATTTGTACATGTTGGTCAAAACTGGAGGGTCAGCACAGCAGATCTTCTCAGTCCTCCCGAGGCCTGGTTAGTATTTTCAGTCTCTTGAAGACCTCTCAGATGCCTCTTACAGGCTCTGTTTTTCAGGTTTTCTATGGTGACTGGTTAAAATAAGGGAGGCACTGACTCTTGAGATTGGAAGTCTCTACCATAAGTTAGATTAAATGCTTTTGTTGTTTTTGTTTTGTATTAATATCTTCTATTTGCCGGAATCCTAAAGTATCAGGCTGCGTGTTGTGGCTCATGCCTATAATCCCAACACTCTAGGATGCCGAGGTTGGCAGATTGCTTGAGTCCAGGAGTTCAAGGCCAGCCTGGGCAACATGGTGAAACCCCATCTCTACTAAAAATACAAAAATGTTAGCTGGGTATGGTAGCACATGCCTGTAGTCCCAGTTGCTTGGGAGGCTGAAGTGGGAGAGTCACCTGAGCCTGGGAGGTCGAGGCTGCAGTGAGGCTAGACTGAGCCACTGCACTCCAGCCTGGGCAAGCAGAGTGAAACTCTGTCTCAAAAAAAAAAAAGTAAATAAAAATAAAATATCTTAGGTAGAATCATAAATTAAGCAGCAATAATAAAATGTTCATTAATCAAACAGATGTTAGTCAAATGTAGTAAAATAGGAAACAATCAGTTTTGAGTATTTATTATTGTTTAAAAATTATTTTATTTAATGGTAAGTTTACATAACTTAATTTTCAGTTATGGCTATTTTTAACAATTAGACTGCAAAAACTAGGCTCTCATGAGGCACTGCAAGCCTGCATAGGCACACGACTATTTATGACCCAGATATTACACGTCTAGGTATATATCCACAGAAATAGGTACATGTGCTCTCAAAAGACGTGCACAACAATTTTTATTGCAGCATTTTCCATTATGGTCAAATAGTAGAAAGACTCTAGAGGCCCATTAGTGGTAGAATGGAAAAATAAATTGTTACATTTTCATAGCACAGAATATGAGTCAGCAATAAAATTGAACAAATGACTGCTTCAGCACACTCAAGGAACAGAATATTGAGCCAGGTACCAAAGAGTATGTACTGTCCGATTCCATTTACGGAAGTTTGGAAAAGCGGCAAATTAATCTACAGTGATAGAAGTCAGAAAATGAGCTTGTTATGTTCTGGAGTGGGGTAGGGGAGGGGAGCGACTGCAAGGTGCCTTATAGGAGTGCTGGCAAAATCCTATTTCCTGTTCTAGTTGTGGTTTCATGAGTGAGTGTCTGCATAAAATTTCATGGAGCTGTACGCTTAATGTTGGCACGTGTCTATGTTATGCTTCATAAGAAAGTTTACATTTTAAAAAATCACTTCGGGAGTTATCGTTCTTTGTTCTCACTTCCCATCCCGCCCCCCACCCCCAACTAGAGAATGTAATGTGATATCCGGTCCTGCAAAAAAATACACTGATTTTAAGAAAATTTTTGGGAAAAGTGAAGATGAGAGGCTGCTTATGGTAGAATCCCTGGATGAAAGGGAAAACGTGGCCTGGCCCTTATGTGGAAACCTCTTTCCCAGAGGGTGAAAAATGCTTCGTTATAATGACCTACTCTCTAAGAGAAATGCCTAAGTAAGATCACATTAAATTAAAGTTTAGGGAAGATAACAGAAACCACCAAGAAAAGTCAGGGGATGCAGTTTTTATTGATGTTCTGGGAAGGCCAGAGAGCATGGTAAAACGGTGTGGGATTATCGTACCATAAGGGAGAGGAGGCTGCTTCAACAAATGTGCTCAAACGCTGTCGTCTTCTTCTGTAGTACACTCTGATTTTTCAGGGTCGGTGATTCTGCCCTTCGAGGCTTCGTCTGATTTTAATGTACTGTATTATGAAAGCATTCTTCCTTGTCTGAGGTTTTCTTGAATACGTAAACGTATTCTCCAGTGTTTTGGCTTTGTTACTCATTGTGCTGAGAACAAAGTCACACTCCAGTCATTAAAATGATACAGGACATTCTGAAATGGTAAAGAAATCAATCAGCCGACTTCATTTTAAATAGTGGAAGATTGCACAGGAAATTCCAGAAGGTCAGAGTTAAAAGGCATTTAAGTCAAGTGATTAGTTGAAGTACAAATAGAACACAGTATTTGGAAGCCTGCCTTGTTTTTCCAGTGTTCATTAAAGGGGAATCATATCATCAGTATTCATCCTCAACTCCACTCTTCTCAATATTTTAACTATCAAGAATCCCTATTTAAAATCTCAATCTCCCTTTAACCCCATGCTTTATAAGATTTTGCATATCAAAAAATTGCATGTTATAAGTAACTTATTTTTATTTATTTGGATTGATACATGATTGCCAAAGAGAACATTTACCCAACATGACATAACCAGTATTACTATTGATAAACAATGTAGTAAATTCTATCCTCAGGAAAAGGATGAACATTTGAGTTACCCTGCACTAAGTAAATGAAAATATGATATGGGGAACTTCTGCAAAACTGAACTAGCCTGCAAATTCCCATTACTATCACCAGTTCTTCTAAAGATGAAGTCACTGGTTTATAAACCATGGCCCTACTATTCCCTTATTATCATGTTAAAGGCACATACAACTGAAGCTGAGTAATTTTAGATTAATTAATATGTAGTTGGTCTTTTTTTTTAGAAAAAGTCTTCTGCTGGCATTTTTCAGTCTTTTTCTCCAAGTTGAAACTCTATTAAAGAATGATTATTGAAGCAATATGGACATTTTCCCATTACCGGATGCTTCAGATTCAATTTGAGAATTGGCTGCACTGACAAGGACTTTCCTCATCATCTAACATCACTTAGTAGAGAGTGCAAGGGCAGCAATATAAACAAAATTATGTCTTTGTCTAGTAGAGAGAAGAAGGAGGTAGAGGTCAAAATCATTGTCTAAAGTAAGGTGTGAGATCATATGCCAAATTTCAATTACCCACATTAGCCATGTTTCTCTTTGAAGACAATAACACTTCTATCATCATTGAAAGGCTACAGAGCACTTTTCTATATCTTTGTTACAACCCTTACAGGGAAGTCAAGGAGTGTATTGTTATCCTTGTTTATATATATAGAAATGTAGCCTAGAGATTTGCTAAGTGCCCACTAAGGCCTTCGGACTCCTAACTCAGAGCTCTGTCCATCATGACATTATGTTGCCCTACAGAAAATTAAGGAGTCTTTGGTGTTACTATGGATTGAATTGTGCCCCCTCCAAAAAGTATGTTGAATTCCTAACCCCTGTAAGAGGAAAATGCCATGTGAGGAAAGAGGCAGAGACTCAAGTGGTGCAGTTGCAAGCCAAGAAATGCCAAGAATCAATGGCCACCACCAGAAGGTAGGAGGAGGCAAGGACTGCTGACACCTTGGCTTTGAACTTCCAGTCTCCAGCACTGTGAAAAAATAAATTTCTGCCAAAATCAGTCACATGGCCTTCCTTAGCTGCTGGGGAACTTGAGAAAGGTAGGGTACATGCAGCCATGCAGTTTATGATACTTTTTTGTAGAAACCCTAGAAGATGAATACAGGTGTAAATGCTTAAATTTCAGTTAAAGCCAAGAAGCATGGTGTCAATTATTTTCCTGTAATGAAAATGTGGCTCACATAAATGAGCCTGGAGATTTCTCCAAGCACTGACATAAGCACAGAAATGGGTCCTTTCTGCAGAACTACGTCTCCATCGTGGTTGTAGCTTTCTGTATCCCCCCATCAAAGATCTTCCTCACAGGAGATGAAACCTCAGTGTGACTCCGACTCCCTTGAACTCACACCCTTTCCTCCACAGGTGATCTAACATTTTGTACATGTCACTCTTAGCTTTTGTTGGAGACCTGAGAGATGCATCAGTGTCAATGCAGAAATGACAATATTGTTGAAATCAATGCTTACTGATTAGCAAACTCCAGACAGGGAGCAATTATAAACAATAAAATCAGGAAGAAAAATTACCTTCTTCCACTAATGCTACAAAAATAAAACACTTAACTTCCCCAAAGAGATAGTCAACAAATATTTGCTACTGAGACCAGGAGAGTGCTTTCAAATCATGCTTCACAAAAATATAACCCACCAACTACTTAAAAAGGGGGTTTGGTGGTCCAATACGTTTAGGAAATACAGCCTTCTCTTGTGCTGGGATATTCACTATGCACATTCCCACATTGCTTCCTCTGAGAAATATTGTAGTTAAAAACATAGACAAAAACATCTTAGCTAATATTATACTTTTCTGTTACTCTTTTCTCTTATAACAATTATTAATATCTAGGAATGTACTTTGGGAAACAATGGGCTGTGCTATTCCTAAATTTCACCAAGTAGATGATCTGATGCAGGAGAAACTGTGAACTATTTACTGTGCTACATGTAAGGTGGGCTGACCAGAATGGCGCTGCCCCACTCAAGAGGCACACGTGGAAAGACTCACTGGCTTATCATGGATGAGGTGTGAGGCTTATGCAGTTGAGGAACCTTTTAAAGAAAAGAATATAAGATGACCATGTGACCCCAATGTCGGGGTTCCTCCTCAGGCTTTGGAGTCATCCTGGCAAGTGAGGGTTTTGTTTTTTTTGTTTGTTTTTTGTTTTTTTTTAAGGCAGAGTTTCGCTCTTTTTGCCCAGGATGGAGTGCAATGGCGTGGTCTTGTCTCACTGCAACCTCCGCCTCCCAGGTTCAAGCAATTCTCCTGCCTCAGCCTCCCGAGTAGCTAGGATTACAGGCACACACCAACATGCCCAACCCAATTTTTGTATTTTTGTAGAGGCGGGGTTTCACCATGTTGGCCAGGCTGATCTTGAACTCCTGACCTCCGGTGATCCACCTGCCTCGGCCTCCCAAAGTGCTGGGATTACAGGCGTGAGCCACCACGCCTGACGCAAGTGAGGGTTTCTAAAGCTTCTGCTCCATTAGCTTTGTGGGAAATCCACCTTGGCTTAAAATATGACTGGGTTCATGAAATAAAATTAAAACTCAAATTAACGGTGGTATAAACAATATAGAAATGTATTGCTCTTTTATCCCAGAGTCCAGAGATAGGGTTTCCAGGACTGATATTGTCACTGCATTGCATGAGGTTTCTTCTGGGACGTTGCCTTTGACACCAAGTCCCTGGTACGAACACCAGGGTTGAGGAAGGGCTGGAAGAATGGGCGTGTTCCTAACATGCTCTGTGAAATGCACTTTGAATTTCTTACATCCCATTGGCCAGAATTAGTCACATGGCCTTCCTTAGCTGCTGGGGACCTTGAGAAAGGTAGGGTACATTAGCTAAATATCAAGGGTTTGTAGAAGAGGAAAATGAGTATTAAGGCAGCTAGCGTTTTCTGCTCCCTCTCTCTCCCCTCACTCCTCACTCTCTCGACTTTTAAATGTATGAACTCAGAGCTTTATTATCTAGCATTAATATCTTTGCATTGAGGAATGGATGCTCCTAAAATCATCAGAATGGGCTTATACTGTATGTGCTTTTAGAAAATAAAAGGCTTTTGAGAAGAAAGTAAAATAGAAAAAAGAAAATCATGGACTGCAGGGATTCCCAGATTCTTCGTAAGCGAACAGTATTCTTCATTTCCCTGTGTGGTCACGGAAGACCTGATTGAGCGTGAGGCCAGGGAGATACCAAGTGAGAGGAGACAGGGAGTGGGTGCCGCCAACTGCTGGCCCTCGCCACCCACCCCTTGGAATCAGCAGAACTTGAGGGCTGAAGGGAGGGGAACTGACTCCATTTTCCTTAAAGCACCTTAAGCCTTTTATTTCGTTACCCCCAGGAGGAAGCAGGAACGTAGACATTTTTTTGGAAGAAGGTTTTTAAAAGAAAATCTGTACTTGGATTGTTAAAAAGACAGAAACGAAGGAGAGAATGGTCTGAGAAATTTGAGTAGGTTGATTTCTGACTATCTGAGCTATATATTCCTATCAACAGCCTGAGCTCTCAGCTCAAGAGCCTGTCAACACTTCAGCAGCAGCAGAAGATTCCCGGGAAGCATCTCTGGGTGTTTGGCAGGCTCCCCCGGGGCCAACTGCCTGGCCCTTCAGACTGATGGGCTTGGAACTGCTCTTTAAGGAGTGCACTCCTGGAACAAAGGGGCCTTGTTTGTCTCCTCTGTGTTCTGGAATAATCGCTGCCTTTAAAGATGTTGTAGAGTGAATGTGATGCAAACTTTCTGTACTCACATAAATTTTTTTTAATTTTATTTTTTTAAACTGAGCTTAAGGCATGTGGTTGAAACAAATACACACTTACAAAAGGGGTCTGTCTGCTCCACGGGGGTGTTAGATGCCATTCCTAACCCTCCTGGGGCACAAACTTGCACCAGTAAAACAGAAGGCATGAGATATGGCCTATAAGGAACTGTTGTTACCTTTTGTTATGAATGATACTTCAACAACCTCTTACTGGTTTGTTGAGTCTATTCAACTACCTTGATTAGATGTGATCTACAATAGAAAAACCAGATTAAGTCCAAAGAAAATAGTTCTTAACCAGGTGGAGGAAAAAATTTTGGAGAGGTCTGAACTTCAAAGGCTAAGCAAAAGTTAGGATGAATGATTAACAGTTTATAATACTTCACTAAAGTGAAGAATTAATTTTAAAAATACATGTGATGTATACATAAATATAAAGTTAGGTTATCTGGTATTTTGACTAAATACATGTAGTGTTGTACAATACTAATTAATTTATATGGTTCTCTTTTTTAGGTAAGTAGTAATTAATAATTTAGCATTAGGGTTGGTGCAAAACTTATTGCAGTTTTTGCCATATATGAGCTGGTGAAGCGGCATCATTGGTCTGTAATACCCAACGTTTGTTGCCTTGCGCCAAGGGAATCAAGGACGCAGACACACAAACAGTGAGGTTAAGAGTGGAGGTTTAATTGGCGAAAGAAAAGGAAGAGTTCTCTCTCCTGCAGAGAGAGAGAGGGGCACCCCAGCAGGTGTTCCGGTTCACAGCCAAGTGCATAAGATTTTATAGATGAGCTTGAGGAGGCGGTGTCTGATTTATATAGGGCATGAGAGATTGGTGAGACCAGGTGTGCCATTTGCATAGCTGGCCACCCCACCCTAATCTTTAATTATGCAGTTGGTTCTCTACCTGGCCAGCGCCATGTTGCCTGTTTCTTTACTGTACACATGGTGACAAAGAAAAGCGAAGATGGAGCCTCCATGTTGAACCTACCTGGCCCCCAGGTAGGCTTCCCCTATTGCAATGCACAGCCGCCGTCATTCACCTGTGCAAGCTTCCAGCTTGGTTATCTATGTCTGCAGCTTGATTTTACAGGCTGCTTTTTGTTAGAAAAGAAATTATCTGGGGGCTGCTTTTTGTTAAAAGGGAAGCCTTGCCAAGGACTCCCTTACTCTCACTCTCTGCCTAAATAATTTCTTTTTAGCTCCTGTATCACTGATAGAGAGTCAGGTCTGTTTTGGCAGATTAAGTCCATTCCGTTGATCAGACATGTATTGACTTTGTATATTGTGCAAGACAGCTGGGTGGGGATGGAAGAGATAAAAAAATGGGCAGCTATTGTTGCAGTCTCAGCAAGTGAATAATCAATGGGAAGGGATAACTTAGGTCTACAAATAGATATAATTTACCATATTTTGTCATCAATGCTAAAATATAGCTACAGGCAGTAATAGTAGGCTCCCTTTTTGGTGACCGATGGATACTTGCCATTATACTATTTAATTTATATTATGTCCATTAACATGACATGACAAGTCCCTATATGATATTTTAGGAAACTGAGTAACAACAACAAAAAAATAAGTAATTTGCTCAAGGTCAGAGCTAAGAAGCCAAGGAGCCAGGTTTCAAATGCCGATTGCCAGATCCTTGCTCTGGGGCACACTTTGGACACGCAAATAAAGGCTTAACTGTTTCTGGCACAGAAACAGAGTGTCTCATAGAAGTGGCATCTGAGCTGGGTCTTGAGGGGTACGTATGTTAATGATGGAGTGAGGAAAGGGAATCAAGTCATCAAAGACACGGAGATGGAAAAGTACAGAGATTGTTTAAGGACCTGAAAAGAAGTCTGACTTGGTAGCAGCAGAGTGAGAGTAGAGGGAGATGAAACGGAGAGGCTGAAGCCAGCTGGGAGTCAGGTGGCCGCGCAATGATGTCAAGTCATGGGTTTCTAGAATTGTGGGAAGGCCCAGGGCAAATCACAGGGCAAATCACAGCTCTGTCGACTGGTTTCCTCTGTAAAATAGAAATAGAGTAAGATCATAAACTCACGTTCCAACTCTGGATTTATGCTTTCCTGTCCAGGAACATTTAGTCTCCCCTTCCCACTTCCCACCTCGGTCCATGAGGGAAGCAAAATGTGTCCATTCTTCTGCCCACGCCCAGTCCTGCACTAACTCCTCCCCAAAGCAGAGTAAGTGGTTTCCTGGTCGGTGAGAACATGAGAGTGTCACTGCACTGGGTTTTACCCATGGTCGGAATTGCTGAAATTCCTGAGTGGTTAAGGACAAACCCACCCGAGTCACTCTACTGCTGTTTCCTGTGTCCACATGGTAAACTCTCAGCTTCTGGCCAAAGACCTTGGTGGACCCTGCTGACTTGCTGTAAGATCTTCTTACATGTTTTTTTTTTGTTTGTTTGTTTGTTTTGAGGCAGATTCTCACTGTCTTGTCCAGGCCAGTCTGCAGTGGCACAATCTTGACACAATCACTGCAACCTCCACCTTCTGGGGTCAAGCAATTCTCATGCCTCAGTCTCCTGAGTAGCTGGGATTACAGGCATGCACCACCACGCCCGGCTAATTTTTGTATTTTTAGTAGAGACAGTGTTTCACTGTATTGGCCAGGCTAGTCTAAAACTCCTGATCTCAAGTGATCTGCCTACCTCAGCCTCCCAAAGTACTGGGGTTACAGGCATGAGCCACCATGCCCGGCCTTCTTATATCGTTTTTGATGTGTTTTGGAGCATAAGTGGGCTTCCTGATAATCTTAGAGTCAGGCACAGGGACTTAGGCTTCCTTACTTCAACTTTATTATCCAAATTCCTCTTGCTAGAGAGCGTTGCATTGGGATGATTGAGTCCTTGCCTAGCTCTTAATGAAGTGATATTTTGTTTTCCCATTGGCAGTTGTTCTTTGTGTGTATAGATTTCTTGGTTAGAAACTTCTAGGTTATGGAAGAGGAGAAAGGGAAGGAACAGGAGCGGGTAGGGGAGAAAGAGGAGGAGGTAGGAGCAGGAAGAGCAAAGGGAGAAGAAGGAAGGGGAGGGAAGACAGGATACTCATTCCCCAGCCCAGGAAAGGCAGATGCTTGAGAGCCTGATGTCTGTGGGTGGTTGTGGGGAAGACTGGTAAAACTTCCTGGCTTCATATTTTTTTAGTTTCATTTTCAAAAGAAGGAAAAATTGCCCAAATTCGATTTAATTCTACAATTATGGGGCACTCACTACATGCAAGAAACTGTTCTAGAAGTTGGGAGTAGGTTGGACATAGATAGGAAAGAGATAAAAAAGGTTCCCTCTATTTAGTTTCTTAAGGAACTAAAGTACAAAATAGTTTGTCATTGAAGTTAAGCAGAAGAATTCACGTCTTCTAATTTACTGCAAACTCTACAAAATATCAAATGACAAACTGACTCATGAGAGCTCTTAGAAGTGAGAACTGGGTGTCTTCCAGGGGGTTATATAAGACAATAGCATTTATAAAAATGAGCTTCTTTTGTAGTTTTTCTTGATTCTGGAAACTTCAATTACCCTTCTCACTTCTGCTAACTTTTAAAAATCATGCAGAGATGTTATCCAACAAATGCCTGTTTAAGCCAAGGGAGGTCACTCCTAAAGCAACCATCCAAAAGACCTGCTCTTTTCAAATCTCTTCACAGATAACAGAAAGCAAATGTTCAAAATAATTATAAACAAAGGAACAAGTAAGAGATTTCCAGAAGCGAACACTTTTTAAACTAGATCTGAGAAAACACTATTTCAATAGTTAAGATTTATCTCCATCTGGGAACATTAATCCTTAAAACAGCCTGCCTCTGATAAAGCTTTTCTTTCCCGCTGAAAATGAGAATATGCAATGTTCTTTCTCACTGTTCAATAGCGTTTTTGCCTCCTTCTGGGTATACTATGCCGTAGGATATAAACGTCATTCTTTTTATTACAGAAAATATTTCTAAACTTCTACAGGCATATCCCTCCCCCCTCCCCCCACCCCACAACAGTCCCCAGAGTGTGATGTTCCCCTTCCTGTGCCCATGTGTTCTCATAGTTCAATTCTCATCTATGAGTGAGAACATCTGGTGTTTGGTTTTTTGTCCTTGCGATAGTTTACTGAGAACGATTTCCAATTTCATCCATGTCCCTATAAAGGACATGAACTCACCATTGTTTATGGCTGCATAGTATTCCATGGTGTATATGTGCCACATTTTCTTAATCCAGTCTATCATTGTTGGACATTTGGCTTGGTTCCAAGTCTTTGCTATTGTGAATAGTGCCGCAATAAACATACGTGAGCATGTGTCTTTATAGCAGCATGATTTATAGTCCTTTGGGTATATACCCAGTAATGGGATGGCTGGGTCAAATGGTATTTCTAGTTCTAGATCCCTGAGGAATCGCCACACTGAGTTCCACAATGGTTGAACTAGTTTACAGTCCCACCAACAGTGTAAAAGTGTTCCTATTTCTCCACATCCTCTCCAGCACCTGTTGTTTCCTTACTTTTTAATGATCGCCATTCTAACTGGTGTGAGATGGTATCTCATTGTGGTTTTGATTTGCATTTCTCTGATGGCCAGTGATGGTGAGCATTTTTTCATGTGTCTTTTGGCTGCATAAATGTCTTCTTTTGAGAAGTGTCTGTTCATATCCTTTGCCCACTTTTTGGTGGGGTTGTTTGTTTTTTCTTGTAAATTTGTTTGAGTTCATTGTAGATTCTGGATATTAGCCCTTTGTCAGATGAGTAGGTTGCAAAAATTTTCTCCCATTGTGTAGGTTGCCTGTTCACTCTGATGGTAGTTTCTTTTGCTGTGCAGAAGCTCTTTAGTTTAATTAGGTCCCATTTGTCAATTTTGGCTTTTGTTGCCATTGCTTTTGGTGTTTTAGACATGAAGCCCTTGCCCATGCCTATGTCCTGAATGGTAATGCCTAGGTTTTCTTCTAGGGTTTTTATGGTTTTAGGTCTAACGTTTAAGTCTTTAATCCATCTTGAATTAATTTTTGTATAAGGTGTAAGGAAGGGATCCAGTTTCAGCTTTCTACTTATGGCTAGCTAGTTTTCCCAGCACCATTTATTAAATAGGGAATCCTTTCCCCATTGCTTGTTTTTCTCAGGTTTGTCAGAGATCAGATAGTTGTAGACATGCGGTGTTATTTCTGAGGGCTCTGTTCTGTTCCATTGATCTATATCTCTGTTTTGGTACCAGTACCATGCTGTTTTGGTTACTGTAGCCTTGTAGTGTAGTTTGAAGTCAGGTAGCGTGATGCCTCCAGCTTTGTTCTTTTGGCTTAGGATTGACTTGGCCATGCGGGCTCTTTTTCGGTTCCATATGAACTTTAAAGTAGTTTTTTCCAATTCTGTGAAGAAAGTCATTGGTAGCTTGATGGGGATGGCATTGAATCTATAAATTACCTTGGGCAGTATGGCCATTTTCACGATATTGATTCTTCCTAGCCATGAGCATGGAATGTTCTTCCATTTGTTCGTATCCTCTTTTATTTCATTGAGCAGTGGTTTGCAGTTCTCCTTGAAGAGGTCCTTCACGTCCCTTGTAAGTTGGATTCCTAAGTATTTTATTCTCTTTGAAGCAATTGTGAATGGGAGTTCACTCATGATTTGGTTCTCTGTTTGTCTGTTATTGGTGTATAAGAATGCTTGTGATTTTTGTACATTGATTTTGTATCCTGAGACTTTGCTGAAGTTGCTTATCAGCTTAAGGAGATTTTGGGCTGAGACAATGGGGTTTTCTAGATATACAATCATGTCGTCTGCAAACAGGGACAATTTGACTTCCTCTTTTCCTAATTGAATACCCTTTATTTCCTTCTCCTGCCTAATTGCCCTGGCCAGAACTTCCAACACTATGTTGAATAGGAGTGGTGAGAGAGGGCATCCCTGTCTTGTGCCAGTTTTCAAAGGGAATGCTTCCAGTTTTTGCCCATTCAGTATGATATTGGCTGTGGGTTTGTCATAGCATTAGGAGATATACCTAATGCTAAATAACGAGTTAATGGGTGCAGCACACCAGCATGGCACATGTATACATATGTAACTAACCTGCACATTGTGCACATGTACCCTAAAACTTAAAGTATAATAATAATAATAATAATAATAAAAAATAAACTTCTATAGGCATATTCTTAATATATTTTTTCTGGTTTTAATGTTTTCTATGGTAATTATGAGATTAATTTGTTGTTTTCCAAGTAGCTCTGGTGTTCTGTTGACTCTAGCCCAAATTAATTGTTTCAAGAAGAAACTAAAACCAAAGAATTTTGATAGGATAACTGAGAGAGAGTCACACATATGCGAGACTATGGAAAATAAAGTTTGGGGAAGGCAAAGGCAGATTTGTAGATTTCACTGCTGAGTTTGGTTTTTTGTTTTTGTTTTGTTTTGTTTTCAGACAGAGTCTCACTCCTGTCACCCAGGCTGGAGTGCAGTGGCACAATCACGGCTCACTGCAGCCTCAGCCTCCTGGGCTCAGGCAATCCTCCCACCTCAGCTTCCCGAGTAGCTGGGTCCACAGGAGTGCACCACCATGCCCGGCTAATGTTTTTTTTGTTTGTTTGTTTGTTTGTTTGTTTGTTTGTTTGAGACAGAGTCTCGTCTCGCTCTGTCGCCCAGGCTGGAGTGCAGTGGCACGATCTCGGCTCACTGCAAGCTCCGCCTCCCGGGTGCATGCCATTCTCCTGCCTCAGCCTCCCGAGTAGCTGGGACTACAGGCGTCCGCCACCACGCCCAGCTAATTTTTTGTATTTTTAGTAGAGGTGGGTTTTTGCCATGTTACCTGGGGTGGTCTCAAACTCCTGGGCTCAAGCAATCCTCCCACCTTGGCCTACCAAATTCCTGGGATTACAGGCATGAGCCACCACAGCTGGCATACTGCAAAGTTTTTGACAGTAGACTTCAAGATACACCCGTTCACACGTTTTTTCCCCATTTTTTTACTCCTCTCAGAAGCCAAATCTCCTAGCAAATAAAGAAAACAAGCTAAACACTGAAGTGCAACTGCCACGACTTTTGCACACTGTGTGGGGAAACACAGTAAATACAGAAAGGGAGTAAATGGATTCTAGTGGGAGAGCATCGAGACATGTGAGTTTTTCCAAAGCATGCCTTTACCGGTTTGCATGGTGGAGATAATCAGTGACATTGTACCCTGTGCTGCAGGAAAAGTACGGCCTTTTGTACTTACAATCCCCCCCATCAGAGGAGCAAATACAGAGGGACTCTTGCAGTTTTCCTGGGTGCAAATGATGGCACTAAAGACATAGTAGGGTCTGGTTCTTACAGGGGTGAAAGAAAACACTAAAGTGGAAAAGAGGGCCTGGCATGGTGGCTCACGCTTGCTCTCCCAGCAGTTTGGGAAGCTGAGACGGACCACTTGAGGCCAGGTGTTTGACACCAGCCTGGGCAACATAGTGAGACCCCATCTCTGCAAAAAAATTTCTCAAAAAACTAGCTGGGAGTGCACACAGTGGCTCATGCCTGTAATCCCAGCACTTTGAGAGGCCGAGGTGGGCAGATTACTTGAGGCCAGGAGTTTGAGGCCACGCTGGGCGACATGTCGAAACTCCGTCTCTACTAAAAATAAAAAAATTAGCCAGGCGTGGTGGCACACACCTGTAGTCCCAGCTACTCAGGAGGCTGAGGCAGGAGAATTGCTTGAACGTGGGAAGTGGAGGTTGCAGTGAGCTGAGAGAGCACCACTGCACTCCAGCCTCAGTGACATACTGAGACACCATCTCAAAAAAAAAAAAAAAAAAAAGCTGGGCATGGTGGTATATGACTGTAGTCCTAGTTGTAGGAGGATTGCTTGAGCCCAGGAGTTTGGGATTACAGTGAGCTATGATTGCATCACTGTACTTTAGCCTGGGTGACAGAGCGAGACTCTGTCTCTAAAAAATAAATAAATAAAAATGAATAGAGTGAAAATAATAAAAAATATTAAATGGAAAAGGGGAACATCTTCCACTGCTATCAGAGAACACCTGTGGTTCAGAGAGTGTGTCTGTGCCATTTGGGGTGATGAAAATCTCGGATTAACTCTGATTATGCCTTTAGGTAGAGAAACAGAAGCTTGAGAGAATTAGGTTACTGTCCTTGCTACCTTCCAAGGTACCATGGCCCAAGTCCATATCTATCCATGGCAAGTAAGGGCTCTGGCATCCTGATCTTTTTCAGCAGCCCCCAGGGAGAGATATGATTCATGATGATTCCCAAAGGGCCACTCTTTCTACTAAGATTGCACATCAAGTGGTCTCACCCTCTTTAAAGGCTGAACTGAGCTTTTTCTTGGTCCGAGTCCTCATGCCTACCAGCTGGCACCTCATTGTTCCTAAGGGAACTCTAAGGACTCTGAGGGAGCTGCTCTCTTGCTCAGCGATGAGTCGGTCATGCATTGAGGTCACTCGCGGCTGCATCCTCAGCCCATCCTTGGCTTCCTTCTTGACGCCCTAGCTCTTCAGTGGCCTGGCTCCTATACTATTCTCCTAGAGTGTTTCTTGTTCTACACTGCAGCCTCCTTCGTGGCTGGATTGTTCTGTTTTTGACCTCTTTCCTTGCAGTGACTCCTATCCTGTCAATGCCCAACTGCCCACCCATAAGCGCTCTTTATGAATGTCTGGCCCGCTTTTAGTTTGCCAGATACCATGAACTTTTACTTTGTATATTGTCTGGTTTTCTTCTGAGGGCTAACTCTTCGTTTCTAAGCGCTCCCTTTAAGCTGATATCTCTGGGTACCATTTGTTCCTAAAATAGCTGGCCCTTGACCCTACTTGCTTGTTCAGAAGCATAGCCTTCCGTAATGCTGTGGGTCTATTTGGATACTTAGTCTTTTCTTTTTTCACTTTGGCTCGTTTTACAGCCTCTAAAGTCTTGTTCAAGAAGACTAAATCCAATAACTGCAAAGAGCACTTAAAACTGATTAATTGGGGTTCTGTCTACAACTGTGTTATCAAGTGTATCATACTCTTCTGCTTTCTCTCAAATTAGCATTGCTTCTCATGAATTTATTCAAATACATAAACATTTGTTTATGTTTGATTTTCATAAGTCTTACATTTTCAAGCAGTTGGTATTTTTTTTCATAATGACACCGGCAGATAAAGCTTGAGACCTTCCTTGAACTAATAAGTTGTTAGCTTACAACTGAGCTCTATGTAGGATTCTTATTCTTTAATTTGCTAATGGCCTATCATAAGAACATAGGATTTGAACTGAGTCATACCGGGATTAATCCATATCAGTGTTCAGCTGTGAATAGTTACCTCAAATAACAGGCAGTGAGAAGATGCAACTGTTCTTCCTAATATACTTTAAAAATAATTATATCTCAGAATGCTAGTAGCAATTGATGCCTCTATTAGTCATAAGTTAGTCCTTACCTTTTATTATTCTATCTGTGTTTCCTAAGATAACTACCTCTGCTGTAGACAACAGTCACTCTCTTCTGTTGTATCACATAAAGAGAAATAGGTACAGAGAATGATGGAGAAAAAAATTGTATTCTTTATGCTAATAAAATATAATAAATGTATGGCTTGATCTACAAAAGCAGACATAGATAAAAAATTTTAAGTATTTTTATATGTTTGGTAGCTTTGGTGTGATGTATTGGAAAAAATATAGACTTCAAAGTCAGACAGGTCTAGGTTTAAATTCCAGCTCTGTCCTGTACTATCTTCATGACCTCTCTGAACTTCAACTTCATTGTGTAAAAAAAATTAATATTTATCTTGAAGGTCTGTTGTTAGAATTAAAAGTAATAAGGCCGGGCGCAGTGACTCATACCTGTAATCCCAGCACTTTGGGAGGCCAAAGTGGGTGGATTACTTAAGCCCTGAGCCCAGGAGTTCAAGACCAGCCTGGACAACAAAGGGAGACCCTTGTCACTAAAAAAAAAAAAAAAAAAAAAAAAAAAAAAAAATTGAGTTTCGTTTGGTTTTGGCAACATATAGGCAAAACTGTCATAGGGAACATGGTCCCGACCTGTACTCTCTGACAGTGGGCACTAGCCACCTGGGGTTATTTATATTTACACATTTACATTAAAAACTCACTTCCTCACTTGTACTAGCCACAGTTTATATGCTCAATAGCCACATGTGGCCAGTGGTTACCATATTGGATAGAGTGGATGGAAGTCATTTCCATCATTGCAGATCATTCTGCTGGGCAGTGCAGGTCTAGACCTGGAGATTCTTTATAGGCTTTATTAATAATGTCATAAAGGTCATAAAATGTCTAGGATCAGGCAGCCCTTCTGGGTGCTGGGAATAAGACATGCCTATTTCTGGGTCCCTTTCCCCACCAAGTCAATTGTCTTCCCAGTCCCTGCCCCTTTACCTCATTTTACAAATCACCAAGGCAAATTTTCCATTCTTAAGCCATCTGCCAGTAACCTGTCTTGTTTCAAGGTATCTGTTCACTAAGCCCAGTTGAGGTAGCCTTTGTGAGCATAATATAAAACCTTTTATGGGAATAACCGAGTTTCAAATTCAAAGTAATGACTGAGATGCCTCTCCTTATAGGATTTCAGGGGGAAAACTGGGGGTGAGGATTGCTACACACTGATTGTGTCCTTCTAAAATTCATATGTTGAAACCTAAACTCCAAGGTGATAGTATTAAGAGGTAGACCCTTTGGGGGTGATTCAGTCATGAGGGCTCTGCCCTCATGAATGGGGTTAGTGCC
Source organism: Homo sapiens (assembly GCF_000001405.40). Taxonomy (NCBI): domain Eukaryota; kingdom Metazoa; phylum Chordata; class Mammalia; order Primates; family Hominidae; genus Homo; species Homo sapiens. Next base: position 12,803,061 of record NC_000008.11, on the reverse strand, counting down.
CTTATAAAAGAAGCCTGAGGGAGCTTTTCTGCCCCCTCTGCCATGTGAGGACACACAGAAGGCACCAACCAAGTGGAATGGGCCCTCACTGCACAGTGAATATACTGGTGCCTTGACCTTGGACTTCCCAGTCTCCAGACCCATGAGCAGTAAAATTCTGTTGTTTATAAATGACCCAGTCTAAGGTGTTCTGTGGGGTTTTTTGTTTTGTTTTGTTTTTGTTTTTGTTTGTTTTGTTTTGTTTTGTTTTTGAGATGGAGTCTCCCTCTGTCACCCAGGCTGGAGTGCAATGGCGCGATCTCAGCTCACTGCAACTGGCTAGGTTAAAACAAAATATTTCTTAGAAGGATCATATTTTTGGAGATAGACAAACATGGCAGTTATATTAAAGTAGTATATTGTTTGGGGAGTTTTTGTTTATTTATTCAGCATGTACAATGCTAGTTCAGTCCATATACTAGTAGTGAATGGTTAAACAATAAAACCTTGAGGTTCTGCTGCTTGGCAAAGCATTTAATGATGTTTGACTTGAGTGTCAGTCAAACATCAAGTGTTAATTGACTTACAGAAGTAAAGGGTCATAATCTCCTCAGATCTAATCAGGAAATTACTCTTTCTGACTGAAGTTGCTAAGTTTAAATGCTTCTACTGCCATAATAGGGCAAACATTTGAGTCAGAGAGAGAAATCCAAGGTCACCTAATAGAAGAAATTTTCCCATTGTGTGGCATGCATTTCAGAGGGATCCTTTGAGGAAATCAACCCCTATAAATACCCCTGGCAAAGACTGTATCTAAAACCAGCACCTTGAACATTTATAACACAAGAGACTGTTTTCTGCACTTAATACATAAGAGTGACAATCTCGGTATAAAACAGCCTGAGACCAGAATTGCACAGAAGACACATAAAAAAGATCAATAGAACTTGGATATGAGAGTTCTGATCAGACTAGAACAGAAACAATTCTATTTGTCACACCGAAGGGAGAAAGTTAACAAGTCATCATTCACTGGAAAGGAAGGATTATATATTGGTGATGTTGCCAGTGATACTGCATTGGGATGGACCCTTCAACCAAGGAGGTCAAGAGAGCCGGAGCTCTAGATCAGCAAACTCAGTTCTTGTGATAGTGAGCAAAGAATTGCAAACTAACACCAAAATGCAAGCTCAAAGCAAAGTTTATTGAAGCATAGTAATGCGCTCTCAGAGGGACAGTGGGCTGATCTCTGTGAAGTGAAATCAGCCCCTTTTCACAGAGCTCAGCGTGCTTTTACGGGTTTTATGGGGAGGAGTCGAGGCTTGGGCTGTGTTTTAGTGACAGGATGATATTATTTAATTGGCAGTTTAAGGTTATATCTCTGACGTTAAACTGCACATAATTTTTTTTACCCATAATTCATTTAGGAAAGCTCACTCAAGGGGGCAAACACACATGTAAATTTTATTGTAATGACTGTGTAGTGAGGACGAAGTTACCTGGGGTTACAGCCTAGATGGACTGGGCATTCATGACTGTAGGGGATTTTTATCTGTGCCCAGTTCTTCTTCCTCCAAGATGTGCTGGCCACAGACTTTACCAGAAACTCCATCCATTAAGGTAGAGTTAGGGTGGTCGTGGGGGCTGAACATAGGTGGGTCAGGGCCTGGGTTAGTGACAGCCCTTCTGCTATCCTCTCTCACCCCTTCCCAGCTGCACCTAACAATATCTAACCACCTAACAATATCAGAATTCTTACTGTATATTAAAGATGGCCGAACGAAATTGTTAATTGAATTTTATGATTAAATGTATATAGCTCATGATCTACAGTGTGAATTAGTCTTTTTCAATTAATTATTTGTTTCTTTAAATTCTAGTTAACAGTTATCTCATATTCAGAGATAAATAGATCTCCTATTCATCATTTCTAGTTATAGATAGATATTTGGATTGGCTAGACTGAATTGATACTTGGATTTGATATTGTGTGCCCTAAATTGTAATGGAAATGGGCACTGTACCAAATTGTACCAAATATATCTTTTTTTTTTTTTTTTTTTTTTTTTGAGACAGAGTCTTGCTCTGTCATGCAGGCTGGAGTGCAGGGGCATGATTTTGGCTCACTGCAAACTTTGCCTCCCGGGTTCACGCCATTCTCCTGCCTCAGACTTCCAAGTAGGTGGGACTACAGGCACCCAACACCTCGCCCGGCTAATTTTTTGTATTTTTAGTAGAGACGGGGTTTTACCGTATTAGCCAGGATGGTCTCGATCTCCTGACCTCATGATCCGCCCGCCTCAGCCTCCCAAAGTGCTAGAATTACAGGCGTGAGCCGCCGCGCCCGGCCCAAATATATCTTAATAGGGCTTGTTGCTGTTTCACCAGCAAATACATTGAATAAGCTGTTGGGGAGAATAGAGATGTGATACACTTCCAGAAGTTAGCAGTCTAGAGAAGGGGACTTATATAGAAAGACTTGCCTAAAATAAAAGTATTCCAGTTTTCTATAAGTACAGTAGCTGCTATTCTAAAGCAAATCTATTTTGTGGAAAGCTAGTTTGTTAAGCAGCTAATTCACAAAAAGCCATTTCAGCAAAAATCAATTCACTGTGATCCACTGTTACATTACTGAGGGTTTTTCTTTTTGTTTTAGTTTCTCCTCAGCATCACAGAGTCATCTTATCATGAATTTCTCAACTCGGCTTAGTTGGATGTGAATTTCAAGTGGTTCAGTTGGCTTTTAAATTTCAGACACTAGAAAAAACTTCTCTTAAGGTACAATGGTGATGGGAGTAGCAGCCCATCTAGAGAGGCCACTGCCATGACACTGACTGTAGTGGGGAGGCACTGCCAGGGCAGGGCTGCACACTTCAGGGAGCCAGCAGGAGCCTTCTGGGCACAGCTGCAGCTGCCCAAGCTCTGGCTGTAAACCTGGGCATCTCTGCCTGGGAATGCCCCCCAAGCCCTGTAGTCTCAGGGGTGTCTGCTCACGCTGCCTGGCCTCTCCCTGCTCCTGGCACCCACTCTGATTTTGAAGCAAGGTTGGGGCCGGGCTTGGTTGCTGTTGCAGCCTGACCAGGTGTGTGCACACCAAGGGCAGCACTGACATGCCAGCCCCCTGCCACCTCGGCCCCCTCTGGACTTTGGGCACCAACGAGCACAGGAGGGAGGCTAAGGGGGGCTGAGGGCAGCTTGGGGCTGGCCTGCAGGTGCCCCTTGACATGAACAGCCTGGGCATCATGAATGGTAGCAGGAGGCAGAGAGGCTTCCGGGCAGAAGGAGGTGGGTCCCCAGTGAAGCCCCACCTTCAAGCTGGGGAAGACCTGAAGCCTGGGGGCCAGGCTGCTGGTCCCAGGGACCAGAGTGGGAACTTGTGGTGCTTTTTCCGGGCCCACCTGTGGCTGCCCATAGACCAATCAGCACGCACTTCCTCCCCTCTAAAGACCATAAAAACCCCAGACTCAGCCAGACTTGGGAAGATGATGGGACAACCAGCCGCAGAGAGGAGCTACCCAGTGTTGGTCTCCTTGAGTTGTTCTGTCACTCAATAAAGCTCTTCATCACCTTTCTCACCCTCCACTTGTTCACGTACCTCATTCTTCCTGGATGCAGGACGAGACCTTGGAACCCTGCAAATGGCAAGGCTAAAAGAGCTGTAACACAAACAGGGCTAAAACATGCCCCTTGCTCATTGCAGGTGACAAAGAGAGAAGAGAGAAGGAGAGAAGAGCTGTGGCCCTTCAGGGAGTCCAGACCTAAGAGCTCCCCACACCAGGGCCGTGACACCCCTTTTGGGGCTCTGCAGTTCCTGGTGTCTCCAAGCTTCTGGGTGCCACCATGTTCCCCAGTGCCAGCTGTGGAAGCTGCTTGTGGTACACCTGGTCCAGCCACAGCCTCAGAGGGAGCCAGTGCCCATGTTAGCAACTGGAGCTGCCTGCCCTGCTGCAGCTGGTGTGCCTGGCTATGTGCAGTGGCCAGACCCCATGCTTGCTCACACACCCCTTGCCACTCCACACCTGGCTCACCCTTGGCAGGCCTGGGGGATCCAGGCTGGTACCATGAGCTGAGTGCAGCCTGTCAGGCCAAGCGGTGGAATGAGCCCAGATGGCCCCAAGCAAAACTCAGGCAAAGGCACCACTGGCCACAGAGGTTTCCAGCTGGCAAAGTGACACCCCAAGGATCCTGTAACAGTGGGACAGGATGAGCCCAACTTCACTGCAACTTACTCTCTTCTTTATTTTTGAGAGTTTATGTCCTATCCCAGTTATTTCCCATGCATTTGCTTCCACTTCTCTAAGCAAAACACTAAAAGATCTGGTTTAAGATATCTGTCTATCAGTATTCTTTGGGTTGATTGGTTAGCCAATTATTCAATGAACTGGCTTTTAGCAAATGGGTGATCCAGTGAGATGGCCATTAGTTAAATGATGACTTAGGGAATCGAATACAGTCAGTTTCACTTCTTTCTCATTTTCAAAGTGATGTATGGGCCATCACCAAGAATAATACAGATCACCCATGACTTGTTCATACAAGCACATTGATTTCCCCATACCCTGTTTCCTAAGTGTCAATCTCACACCAACTTCATGGTTTTTGCAATATCCTCATAGAACCTATACTATTATGTATTTAATATTTTTCTTGAATCTGACACACCCGTAATTTTTCATTCATTATTTTAAAGGGAACTTTCATACTGTTGTACTGAAAACTGCCAGACTATGCCAATCCAAAGTATGCCAGTGTGACATGAGGATTATTTTGAGCTGAAGGCACTTGAAAAAATAGTAGGTATGACAAGGACCCTCTGATCTTCCCTCTTTCCTCCTAAAGGAAGAAAATAAATCCCCATATGGAAGATGTCCTTCATATACCGCAAAGAAAATAACATTCTTATCACTAGAAACGGGGAGTCAGAATTGAGACCAATCTGTAGAAACCTTGTTAAACTAATCCTTATCTTCCTAGTTACTTTTCCACCATAACTGACTCAGCCCAAGCCCCCTCCATTTGTCACACTTTCATAATTTACTCCTCTTTGTCCAATTCTATATATGTGCTCTACCCCAACTGCCTGTTTGGGTCTTATGAAGGCTTCTGTGTCATGTAAAACTTATTTTAAATAAATGTGTATGCATTTCTCCAGTTAATCTGTCTTTGGTCAATTTAATCCTCAAGCCCAGCCAAAAACCCTGAAGGCAGAAGTACAATTTTGCCTCTCCTTCAGTACTGAGCAAATTATCTGTGCATTCATAAGTTTGACATTCCCGTTATGTATTTTTAAGTGCACATAAAACATATTAACTATATGGATAGAAAGTGTTCATCTTTGAACTACTTAAACTCAACTCCCATGTGAATATACACTGGGTAAACAGCTGGAATAAAGAAATAAAGAATATGATCACCTAACACCTTGCATAGCAGCTGTCTGCCCCACAGTAGTATCTCTCTGACCAATAGTTCTTGACCACAGCTGCACCCTGCCTCTTCCCCAGACCAAGTGAATAAGGATCCCTGGGAGAGTGGGACCCAGATATAAGATTTATAAAAGCTTCCAGTTGATTTTAATTGCAGCCAGAGTTGAGAATCACTGTGCTAAACCATATTGTGTCCGCAATTGGTGGGTTCTTGGTCTCGCTGACTTCAAGAATGAAGCCGCGGACCCTCGTGGTGAGTGTTACAGCTCTTAAGGTGGCATGTCTAGAGTTTGTTCCTTCTGATGTTCGGATGTGTTCTGAGTCTTTTCCTTCTGGTGGGCTCGTGGTCTCGCTGGCTCAGGAGTGAAGCTGCAGACCTTGGCGGTGAGTGTTACAGCTCTTAAGGCGGCGCGTCTGGAGTTGTTCCTTCCTCCCAGTGGTCTCATGGTCTCGCTGGCTTCAGGAGTGAAGCTGCAGACCTTCGTGGTGAGTGTTACAGCTCATAAAAGCAGTGTGGATCCAAAGAGAGCAGTAGCAAGATTTATTGCAAAGAGCGAAAGAACAAAGCTTCCACAGCGTGGAAGGGGACCGGAGGGGTTGCCACTGCTGGCTTGGGCAGCCTGCTTTTATTCTGTTATCTGGCCCCACCCACATCCTGCAGATGACTAGAGTCCAGTGGTTTGTTTTGACAGGGTGCTGGTTGGTGCGTTTACAATCCCTGAGCTTGACACAAAGGTTCTGCACCTCCCCACTAGATTAGCTAGATACAGAGTGTCCACACAAAGGTTCTCCAAGTCCCCACCAGAGTAGCTAGATACAGAGTGTGGATTGGTGCATTCACAAACCCTGAGCTAGAGACAGGGTGCTGATTGGTGTATTTACAATCCCTGAGCTAGACCTAAAGGTTCTCCACGTCCCCACCAGACTCAGGAGCCCAGCTGTCTTCACCCAGTGGATCCTGCACCGGGGCTGCAGGTGGAGCTGCCTGCCAGTCCTGCACCGTGTGCCTGCGCTCCTCAGCCCTTGGGTGGTCGATGGGACTGGGCGCCGTGGAGCAGGGGGCGGCGCCCTTCCGGGAGGCTGGGGCCGCACAGGAGCCCACGGAGGAGGTGGGAGGCACAGGCATGGCGGGCTGCAGGTCCCAAGCCCTGCCCCGCGGGAAGGCAGCTAAGGCTGGCACTGCTCGGGGACCCAGTACACCCTCCGCAGCCGCTGGCCCAGGTGCTAGGCCCCTCATTGCCCGGGGCCGGCAGGGCCGGCCAGCTGCTGCGAGTGCGGGTCCTACCAAGCCCACGCCCACCCGGAACTCCAGCTGGCCCGCAAGCGCCGCGCAAAGCCCGGGTTCCCGCTCGCGCCTCTCCCTCCACACCTCCCTGCAAGCTGAGGGAGCCCGCTCCGGCCTTGGCTAGCCCAGAAAGGGGCTCCCACAGTGCAGCGGTGGGCCCAGGCAGAGGAGGGTCCGAGAGCGAGCGAGGGCTGTGAGGACTGCCAGCATGCTATCACCTCTCAATATCATTCTGGTAAGTTCCATAAAGGCGTGAACCCAGACAGGTTGTTTAATGCTCTATCTCCTGCCTTTAGTACAGTAGCTGCCCGAGTCAGTGTTGAGCTAATTTATATTCTAAGAAGACTGGCAAAAAGGAGCCAATATCTCCATCTGGAGAGCAAAATAATCACTTATAATTCTGCATTAAGGTGGAGATAAACTGCTAAGACAAAGAATAAGAGGGCTGTCCTGGAAGGCTGTGCTTAGAATGAAGGGGTTAGGAGTTTCCTTCAATTGTATCTTTTGATTTTTTTTATGTTTCCTCTTTGCTACTCTTCACGTTTGTGGTCCAAACAGGATCTTTGAGACCTAACCTCTGTTTCGAATTTTCTCTTTGTCCTGAAGCATAGTGGCTTAACTTTTAGCTGCCTCAATTCCCTCATTAAAAAAAAGAAAAATCAAATCACTGAGCCAGTTAATAGATGTGTTAGCCTTCTATGCTGGAGTTATGCTCTGCAAAAGGCCTGGTGAATAATAGCTTGCTTTAAAAGTGTATCCAGTGCATGTATATGTTTTTAGGAAAGATTCAGAAAATAGCGTTCACGATAGAGAAACTCTCCCTCCCTTTCCCCTACACTACCCAGGCTAAGCATACTAGGAGGAACACAATGTGAGCTTTCATTGTGTTGGCAAGGATGTTTATAAATGTAAATGTGTGTGTGTTTACCCAAGTAATTTAAAAATAACGGAAGTGAACTAAGTAAGTGCATGCCATGCTTACCAAGAATATTAGGAAGCAAAGGTCCTTAAATATCTGAATTAGCTCTGACACTGATTCAGGAAAAAACTGGCTCACAACTCTTGCGTAAGACTTATGTAAGAGCTTAGATGTGGTGCCTGAACTATTCCAGTTTTCTACAGCATGGGGAAAAAAGCAAAGTATGTTACATTGTTGATACTTGCTCAGTTCTTTCCATTTCAACAGCTTCGTTGCTTAGAGAAGTAAAGCATCTCTGCTTCTTTTTTTTTAAAAAAAGTTTAAGTTTTCTAGTGTTTGCTACACATAGGTAGATGTAAACTAAAAGAACAAAACTATGGTATAGGCAGTAGGTAATTTAGAAATTAGGTAGAGATTTAAATTTGTTCATACCGAGACAGTAACGAGTTGTCAGTTTGTGATAAAACTTTAAACTCCAAGGCGACATTCCACACATAGGTGTTACAGATTTTCCCACATCTTATAAAATAGCTTCTCAATATTTAGAGCACAATTCATCATCTTCATCATTATATGCTGAAAGTGATTTTTGTCAAATCTAATTTCCAGATATTTTGACCAAAATAGTAATGACGATCATACATGACTCAGATAGCCTGGTCTCTACCATAAGCTTTTGCTTGGTTCTCATTTAAAATACACACACACACACACACACACACACACACACACACACACATTCCTCGTGGGACTATTTGATATAGAGAAAAGAAGAATTTTACAGTCAAACCATTCAATATAAGTACAGATACCAGTACCATCACTTACTTGCTGTAAGACCCAAGAAAATTAATTAATCTGAGCTTATTTTCTCTATTGTAAGATGGGAATAATAACATGTACTTCTTAGGGTGGTTGTGAAGATTTAGATGTAAATAATCAGCGTGTGTTAAGTGCCTACTATGTAACAGGCATGGTCTCAGCGCTTTAAAAAATTGTTGAATCCTTATATCAAGAAGCAGGTATTATTGTTACCTGGGATCTTGAGTTGGGATGGACCCTTCAGCCAAGGAGATCAACAGAGCTGGAGCTCTAGATCAGCAGTCTCGGTTCTTGTGATAGTGAGCAAAGAAATGCAAACTAACACCAAAATGCAAGCTTGAAACAAAGCTTGTTGAAGCACAGTTATACACTCTCAGAGGGAGGGCGGGCTGATCTCTGTGAAGTGAAATTGGCTCTTCTTTACAGAGCTCAGTGCTTTCATGGGGTTTGTTGGGAGGAGTTGAGCTTAGGCTGTGTTTGAGTGACAAGTTGATGTTATTTGATTGGCATTTATAGTTATATCATTGAAATTAAACTGTGCGTGTTTTTACCCATAATTCGTAATTCATTAAGGAAAGCCCACTCGGGGGGGGGCAAAACCACATGTAAAGTTTATTATAATGATTGTATAATGAAGACAATGGGGAAAAGGCCTCAAAGGCATTTCAGTGACCTTCATGGTAGCGCCTTCCATTACAGGCCTGAAGGCCCAGGAAGAAAAAAATGGTTTCATGTGCCAGGCCCAGAGCCTCACGCTGTGCAGCCTTGGAACACTGCTACCTGCATTCCACCTACTCCAGCTCCAGCCATGGCTACAAGGGGCCCAGGTACAGCTTGGACAGCTGTTTCAGAGGCTGCAAGCTGGAAGCCTTAGTGGCTTCCATGTGGTGTTAAGCCTGTAGGTGCACAGAATGCAGGAGATGAGGCATAGGAGCCTCTGCCTAGATTTTGGAAGATGTATGGAAAAGCCTGGATGTTCAGGCAGAAGCCTGCTATGGGGGTGGAGCCTTCAGCCTAGAGAACCTCTACTAGGGCAGTGCAGATGGAAAATGTGGGACTGGAGCCCCCATACAGAGTCCCCATTGGGGCACTGAATAGTGGAGCTGTGAGAAGAGGGCCACCGTCCTCTAGACCCCAGAATGGTAGACCCCCAGCAGCTTGCACCCTCAGCCTGAAAAAGGCGCAGGGACTCAACACCAGTCTGTGAGAGCAGCTGCTGGGGATGAACTCAGGAAAGCCACAGGGGTGAAGCTGCCCAAGGTTTTGGGAGCCCACCCCTTGTACCAGTGTGCCCCAGATGTGGGACATGGAATCAAAGGAGATTATTTTGGAACTTTAAGATTTAATGAATGCTCTGCTGGGTTTCCGACTTGCCTGGGGCTTATAGCCCCTTTCTTTTGGCCCATTTCTCCCTTTTGGAATGAGAATGTTCACCCAATGCCAACACCCCCATTGTGTCTTGGAAGTAACTAACTTGTTTTTGATTTTACAGGCTCATAGGCAGAAGGGATGTTCTTTGTTTCAGATGAGACTTTGAAGGGGATTTTTGAGGGAATGCTGGCATGAGTTAAGACTTTAGGCAACTGTTTGAAAGGCATGATTGTATTTTGAAATGTGAGAAGGACATGAGATTTGGGAGGGGCCAGAGGCAGAATAATATGGTTTGAATCTGTGTTCCCACCCAAATCTCATGTTGAAATGTAATCCCCAATGTTGGAGTTGGGCCTGGTGGGAGGTGACTGGATCATGGGGTTGGGTCCTTCCTGAATGGATTAGCACCATCCCCTCGGTGCTCTTCTCATGATAGTGAGTTATTGTGAGATCTGGTTGTTTAAAAGTGTGTAGCCCTTCCCCTATCTCTCTCTCTTCCTCCTGCTCTGGCTATGTGAAGTGCCTGCTTCTTCTTCACCTTCATCATGATTGTAACTTTCCTGAGGTCACTCCAGAAGCTGACACCACCATGCTTTCTATACAGCTTGCAGAACCATGAGCCAATTAAACCTCCCTTCTTTATAAATTACCCAGTCTCAGGTATTTCTTTATAGCAGTGTGAGAACAGACTAATATACAACTGGGAATGACTATAATTATTCTCAAAAAGACAGGATAAGTGCTTAATTTTTTCACTAAAACATTTCAGAGTAAGTTGTTGGCATAATAGTAGCCTCTGGCTACTATTCTTTTTCTTTCTTGTTTTTATAGTATCATGTGGACTCATGAATTCTTACTTATTCATTGGATTACAATCAATTACAGTCATTATTGTTTTGAATAGTCGTAAATTTGGCCAGTTGGAGGCCCTTCAAACTCACTGTGTCCTTTTTAATTTGTTCTACTTTTATTTTGAAAAAATTTCAAACTCACAGCAATGTTGTGAATATAATACAAGACTCCTCATTTCCTCACCCAGTGGTTAACATTTTATGACATTTGATTTGTCATTCTCTCTTTCTTTGTTGCTTTTTTTCCCTTGAACCATTTGAGTAAATTGTAGTTATGAAACCTTATTAACTCCAAATACTTCAGCCTTTCCCCAAACCAAAGTATTCTTTTATATAACCATAAAACAGCCACCAAATCTGATAATAAATAGTATAATATTATCATCACCTCCCATCTGCTTCATCTGATTCTTCACTCAGAAAGAAACTTAGTGCTCAGATCTTGATGGAAAGAAGGCAGCCTGAAATGTTACAATATGCATGCTAAAACTGAAATATCTGTTTCCTATGACATGTTTGTAATTCTAGCAACTTTCTCTAGAACTGGGATATTATTTCACCAAATATTCTTAGATTAAGGTGTTACTGAGGAAGATAGTTGAGAGAAATCAGTCATAAATCTAGACCATTATTTTTGTTTTTCTCCAGCAAAATGCATTTTTCCATGTAAAGATGTGGAGAACCACAAATAGTTATCAAGATTTACTTAAGAGCAAGAGTTAAAAAAGAAGACCTCTAAGCAAATACTCGGCCTTGCTGACTTTAAAACAGCTTTTAGTGTACTTTTTTTATTTTTAGAGCTTCAAGTTTAATTAATACTTACATTAAGTTTTCAGCTATCATAAATGGCGCCACATCTTGGACTGTGCACAGAATAGCTGATTTGCAAACACTGGAAGTCTGGATGTTGGAAGTCTTCAAAAAAAGTCTTTAGCTCTCTGAGGTCTAAAAAAAAATCTGAATATTGGGCTTGTTTTATCCTTTGACCTTAATGACAATTTTATTTTGTTTTTTACCAACACATGCTGCTTTAGAAAAGGTTATTTTATTTAGTTTTTGAAAACTGTATTTTAAAATTTGAACTATGAGGTGGTTTGATTACTTATTAACATATCTTTTGAAATTCTTAAATTACAACCCATGCATATATTACATTATTGTGAAATATTATGGTGATTGCTTCCTAATTCAAATACTTCGTTTGTAAATAAAATAGTTACACGCCACACATTCTAGGGCTATCCCATGTAAAACCCCTCACATGATTTTAAGTACTAGACATGCAGTTAAAACTTAAGATTTAGGGATTTGTTCTTTTTGTGGCCAGAAAGCATTTTGCCTTCTGTTTTTAGTTGCCATAACAGGAGTAATATGGTTTGGCTCTGTGTCCCAACCCAAATCTCATCTTGTAGCTCCCATAATTTCCACTTGTTGTGGAAGGGACCCAGTGGGAGATGATTGAATCACGGGGTTGGGTATTTCCTGTACTGTTCTCGTGATAGTGAATGGGTCTCAGGAGATCTGAAGGTTTTATAAACAGGAGTTTCTCTGCACAAGCTCTCTCTCTTTGCCTGCTGCCATCCCCCTAAGATGTGACTTGCTCCTCCTTGCCTTCTGCCATGATTGTGAGGCCTCCCCAGTCATGTGGAACCGTAAGTCCAGTAAAACTCTTTTTTTTTTTTGAGGCAGAATCTCGCTCTGTCACCCAGGCTGGAGTGCAGTGGCGCGATCTCGGCTCACTGCATGCTCCGCCTCCTGGGTTCACGCCATTTTCCTGCCTCAGTCTCCCGAGTAGCTGGGACTACAGGCACCCGCCACCACGCCCTAATTTTTTTGTATTTTTAGTAGAAACAGAGTTTCACCGTGTTAGCCAGGATGGTCTCGATTTCCTGACCTCGTGATCCACCCGCCTCGGCCTCCCAAAGTGCTGGGATTACAGGTGTGAGCCACCTCACCCAGCCAAACTCTTTCCTTTGTAAATTGCCCAGTTTTGGGTATGTCTTGATCAGCAGCATGAGAACAGACTAATACAAAGAGTATACCAAAATCTTGGAGTATCCCATCTTCCCTTGTACCTTTCTTTACTCCATGTCCTTACCCAAAGATCATAAACATAATCGCATCCACCACAATTCTTTACGTGCAAGAAGAAACTGCCCTGCTGGCTTCTGTTCAGGAGACTTTCTCTTGAGCACCATGAGCTCAAGTGAGTTTACCCTTACATGCATAATTCGTCCCCTAAATCTCCAGTCCCTTACACTCCCAGGGAGAATGGGAGAGACACGGCTCTTTTCCTATGATGTGCTCGCTGCAGTACTTTTAATGTAAGTTGCCTCTTAGCTTTTTATCTTCTGGTCTGTAGGTTGTTAAACATTTTATAACCATTCCCAGTCTCAGGACTGCCAGATAATTTTTCTATCTGAGGTGTAAGATGAGCCAAATTATTCTTCCTTTATAAATATTTTAAAATATATTTGAATTCACACAAAGACATAGCAAACGATATCTTTAACATAGAGTACAAATACTTCCTCAACATATATTATATACATATTACTTAGCAATATAATTTATTTGGACTTCAGGAATGAGGAAACCAGTTTAAGTCTCTGTTTAAAAAGACTTGTTGGGCCAGTGCGATGGTTCACGCCTGTAATCCTAGCACTTTGAGTGGCAGAGCGGGGAGGATCACTTGAGTTTAGGAGTTCGAGACCAGCCTGGGCAACATGGGGAGAACATAGGGCAATGCAGCTCAGGAGGCTGGGATTACTCAGGGGGCTGAGGTAGGAGGATCACTTGAGCTCAGGAGGTTGAGGCTGCAGTGACCTGTGATCATGCCACTGCACTCCAGCCTGGGCAACAGACACCCTATCTCAAAAAAATAAATAAAATGTCTTGCTATGTGTTCCTCTGTGAGTCCTATTTTTTGCAAAAGACGTTGGCCCATTAAGAAAACATTCCATCTAAACCCTAAGTAATAATCTCAAGTCATTGCTCAAGTTAAATGACGCTTCACATCTCGTGAAATGTATTTGTTTTGATAGCAGACCCATGGATCACATGCTGTTTATAACGCTTGGTAGACTGCAGAAGAGAGTGATATACAGGCAATATGACCCATGTAACCACAGAGGAGAATTGGTCTTTTCTCATCTGCACACATATGACCCAACCATGCTGTCTTGCACGTATTCTAGCTTGCACTTCTTTACTTCCTGGATGAAACAATGATTACTTTTACTTATTTATGACATCCTATCTCCAAAAAGAATCTAAAGCAGCTGGCAAAGTTGATTAATAGCCGTTGGAAAAATAGAGCCCAGGGCCGAAGTTGGGTTTATCAGGAAGAAATTTACACCACACTAAGCATAACAGTTGATCAATGCCAGGAGTGAGCTAAAAATTGCATGGGAAGACTTATTGATGCTCATTATGTAATTTTTTAGCAGTGCAAATACAAATGCACTGTAAAATCTGCAAAATATAGCAGGTTAATCAACCTAGACCATTTGCAATTATGAAAATGTTGTTGACAGCTTCAAAAATAAAGGTCATTTGTGTAACAAAATATACAAAGCTTGTCTTTGAATAAGAGCCACTCCTTACCCGAATAGAAATTAGGTCCAACTACAAACAAAATTTTCCCATAAAGGAAAATGTGAGATTTGCTGATTTGTTTTTCTCTGCCAGCCTAAAGAATGATGATGCCAGGAAGAATTTTTTTGGAACATGTGTACAAACAGGCAAAGATCCCCCTGAAATAAGGCCTAGAACTTTGGCATCATACAGTATTTCCCAACGTAGAATCCTTTATTATGAGGGCATTGAGCTGTTTTGAATTTTTTTCAGAAGGCATATTTTAAAATACATCTCAAATCTGAACATCCTAGTCCAGTCTCCACCATTTCTTACTTGGACTATTGCAGTAGTTTTTCAATTGTTCTTTTTTCTTCCATGCTTTCAGCACTACTGGCAAGCAAAGTGTTCACTGATGAATGAACAATTACATTTACCCACAGACTGAAATATGATGTTATTTTGTTTTGACTGAAATTCCAACTCACTGTGAGAATACTGGTAAGTTCATATAAATCAAAAGTTCTAATTGGAAGTCATTTATATGAGTGTATCATTACCTTTTTCCCCTAAGAATTCTTTTAGACTTTTTTTTAATGACTGCCTTGAAATTTTAGTACAATAGATGCACTGTGCTTTATGTATAAAAGAGTAAGGTGGGCCCAGCGCAGTGGCTCACGCATGTAATCCCAGCACTTTGGGAGGTCGAGGCAGGTGGATCGCCTGAGGTCAGGAGTTCGAGACCAGCCTGGCCAACATAAGGAAACCCCATCTCTACTAAAAATCCAAGAAATCAGCTGGGACTGGTGTTGGGCACCTGTAATTCCAGCTACTAGGGAGGCTGAGGCAGGAGAATGGCTTGAACCCGGGAGGCGAAGATTGCAGTGAGCCGAGATCGCGCCTTTGCAGTCCAGCCTGGGCAACAAGAGTGAAACTCACTCTCGAAAAAAAAAAAAGAGTAAGATGTATTCACTCATACCAGAAGAACCAATTTTTGCTTCCACTGAGAATACATGATCTATTAAGTAAAATGGGGAAAACTAATGTATTACTTAGCATACTATAGTTATTCTCATGGAGAAAATCTTCCTAAATATGGGGTCCATAAGAGAAAAATAGTGGTCCTAACTGATTTTTTATTGAAGTCAAGAACCAGATAAATAGCTGTTAACTCTATCATCTTTCTGGGGTATGTCTTCTTAATGCCAGTTGTATTCCTTCTTCCATATAGTTGAGAAACTATGGAAAATACAGGAAATGTACTGCACACAGAGCCCCTGCCTGTAGTTCCTGTCTAGCTTGCTGGCTATATTGGTTGATTATATGACTGCTATCTGTACCTGTTTACAATTCATAAGACATTCAGGGCTTTGTGGCTTTTTTTCCTGTCTCCTACATGAAGGGGCTCAGACCACAAGCATGCAAAAAGTAAGTAATCAAAGGCAATAATAAAACAACACAGAACGAAACTATAAGAAGATACAAGGCCAAGGCAGTATATAATTAAGGGTCAGGTGACTAATCCAAGAGTTAATGATTTTCAAAGTGCATCTTGTGGAACCTCCAGAGAGGCATCCCAGAGGCTGTCACAGAGACAAAGAAGGGTCCAAATTTAGGTCCAGGAGTAGAGTTTGTCAAGATGTAAGACTTAAGGTCTCCCACCATCACTCAACCAGAACCCTTCACTTTCATACATTTCTTGTGTTGGCGTTTTGCATGTTTTCTTTAAAGAACAATGTAATGATTTAGTCTGTTCTGTGAAGTTTTTTCTATGTTTGAACTGATTGAATTTAGAAAATTGTTTTCAGAGATATGATTTTTTTTTTAATATTGGCACACTTAATGTTAAAACTATTTGATCAGAAGATACTTAAATGTCAGAATCGACCACTGTTGTGAGAATCCAAAGATAATACCAGTGCTCTGAGGATACTTATTGTGCTAGTCTTTATGGCAATTGTTTCCAAATGTTAGTATTTATCAGAATCACCTGGAGGCCTTGTTGAAACAAGGGTTCTGATTCAATAGGCCTGGGTGGGGCAATTTGCTTTTTACTAGGTAGTAAGACTTGGCACCAACATAAATAAAAATGGTTTAAAATCACTACAAAAGAAGCCCAAAAGAATTTTTTTCTAAATACTCAAGATTTATCTTCTACACCTGGGGATCCCTCCTGCTCACTTTCGTTTTAGCCATGGTATTAAAATTAAAATACAGGTGCCATATAAGCATCAATAACTAATTTTGAGTTTGTAGGTTCTGTCATATGGTCAATTCCTATTAAGAATCAAAAGACTATGAATGCCTAATAGAGGTGCAAATAGTTCTCTTCCCTATACCACTTTTTTTTTTTTGAGACAGAGCCTTGCTCTGTTGCCCAGGCTGGAGTGCAGTGTCACAATTTCAACTCACTGCAACCTCTACCTCCTGGGCTCAAGCCGTCCTCCCACCTTAGTCTCCCAAGTAGCTGGGCTACAGGGGCATGCCACCTATACCTGGCTAATTTTTGTATTTTTTGTAGAGACAGGGTTTCACCATGTTGCCCAGGCTGCCCTTGAACTCCTGTGCTCAAGCAATCCTCCCACCTTGGCCCCCCCAAATTGCTAGGATTACAGGTGTGACCCACTGAGCCCAGCATCATATACCACTTTCTGCAAGAATATAAAAGGCAGAACAATACCACCCTATGTGATTAAGACAGTTGACTAGAGGTGTCCGGCACTAATCTCCTCTTCAAAGAAGGACCAAAATGGTGAGTAGAGTATGCTGAATAGAGTATGTAAGGGAGAACACTAGAATTCAGCAGGGAAGTGACAAGGACCCTCTGAGGAGGGAAACTCAAGATGATAGCCTAGAGAGGGCAGCAGAGCAGCTGGCCAGAGCCAGGAGGGGTTCCCCATTGTGAGGATTCCCTTTGCAAGAGATCTCCAACAGTCCACATTCCCATAACACACACCTGCAATCGTAGTGACAGGAAAGCCACTCGGGCCTCAAAAGCCCAGTGCTTAGTAAAGGGAGCTGCTTTGAGTCCATGTGATTACATTGTCCTGAAGAGGGAATTCACACTGGGTTCCACTCACCCTACAGAACACAGGCTGCTGCCACATGACACCATTTTAAGAATGGAACAAACACCAGGCTACATCCTGCCCTGGGGTCCAAGAACTCCTACATTTCCACATCCCTGAGGCCCAGCCAACATTCCCCTCATATCCACTTAGAGGGCTGCAGCATCATGACACCAGCTGGACCCAGCAGTGTGACTGCATGCCAGAGACCCAAGCCCCCACAGTGCCCTACACTCTGGGAAACAGGTGGTCTTGCATATTAGGGAGGCTGCCCCTAGGATTTATGGAGCTGAAGCTTGTACTCCCCAAAGCCTGAGAATCACCTGCCAGGGGCTGCCACCACCACCAATTACCTTGCCCCCTCCAGCAGCAGGGCTGCCACAGACCCGAGTGTGCCTCCGAGAGACTCAAAAGCCAATCCACCACTGGCACCTGCACGTGCTGCTAATGGACCCTGGAAATGATCCTTACCAGGGCTCACTGATGCCATAGTCTGTGCTCATGTGCACAATCCAGGGTCCTGAGAACCAGCCCATCTAGCACCCCAGGCTCCAGAAAAGTCTCACCACAGCCTTCATAAACAACTGTAACCTAAGCTACTAAGAAACTCACAGACACCACTGACAATGATACAGTCAAAGAAATCATATAGGAACTACACTATGACACCCACTGCAACCAAACCTAATGTGCTCTACCCAACTGACAGTATAGATATGTCTGCAGGAAAAAGTCTTTCACTGTGAAAACTACTGCATAAAACTGGAAGAAGTGACTGTTACACCAGATGTGTAGATATCAGTGTATGTACACAAAAAACATGAACAAGCCAGGAACATGACACCACCAAAGGAACATAGTACTTATCCAGTGACAGATCCTAAAGAAAAAAAACATAAAATTCTTAAAAAGGATTTCAAAATATTATTAATATAGTTGTATTAATAATAAAATAGTATTGATGTTAATGAAAATATAATTATTAATGAATTGATAGATAATATTAATGATTAAAATATTATTTTCTTAAGGAAACAGTGAGGCATAAGAATACAAACAAAACAAAGACATTTTAAAAAAGAATTCATAATGGGAATGGAAAAATTCAAAGAGATAGTGTATTAGTCCATTCTTGTGCTGCTACAAAGAAATACCTGAGACTGGGTAATTGATAAAGAAAAGAAATTTAATTGGCTCACAGCTCCACAGGCTGTATAGGATACATAATGGTGGCATCTGCTTGGCCTTTGGGGAGGCCTCAGGAAACTTACAAATATGGCAGAAGGCAAAGGGGGAGCAAGCACTTCGCATGTCTGGAGCAGGAGGAAGAAAGGGGGAGATACTACACACTTTTAAACAACCAGATCTTGTGATAACCCACTCTCATCATGACAGTACCAAAGGGGATGGTGTTAAACCATGAGAAACTGTCCCCATGATCCAATCACCTCCCACCAGGCCTACCTCTAGCATGGGGGATTACAATTTGACATGAGATTTGGGTAAGGACACAGATCCAGACCATATCAGATAGATATTATTAAAAAGAACCAAACAGAAATCCTAGAACTGAAGAATTTGATGATAAAATAAAAAATATAATTGAATGCTTCAGTATTAAACTAGATCAAGCAGAAGAAAGAATTTCTGTACTTGAAGACAGGTCTTTTAAAATAACCCAGTCAAACAAATAAACAAAAAGAATAAAAAGGAATAAAGAAAGCCTATGTGACATATAGGACAACATCAAGGGAACAAATATTCAAATTATGAGCGCTCCAGAAGTAGAAAAGATGAGAAAAGGCATAAAAAGCCTATTTAATTAAAAAATAGCAGAAAACTTCTGAAGTCTTGGAAGAGTTATAGAAATGCAGATAGAGGAAGTTTAAACATTCCCAAATAGATTTAACCCAAAAATGTCATCTCCAAGGCACATTATTGTCAAATTGTCAAACGTCAAAAAGTAGAGAGAGAATTCTAAAAATAGCAAGTAAAAAAGCATCAAGTCACACATAAGGGAATCCCCATCAGACTAATATCAGATTTCTCAGCAGAAACCTTACAGGCCAGAGAAAATGGGATGATAGACTCAAAGTGCTGAAAGAAGAAAACTGCTAGTCAAGAACACCAAACTGAGCAAAGCCATAATTCAGGAATAAAGCTACAAATGAAGTCTTTGCCAGAGAAGCAAAATGTGAGGGAATTTATCACCACTAGACTAGCCCTATAACAGATGCTTAAGGAAGTCCTACAAACAGAAGCTAAAAGATGGTATCTACCATCAAAAAAAAAAAAAAAAAAAAAAAAAACATGAAAGCATAAAACTCACTGGTAGAACAGATACACAAGTGAGAAGGAGAAAGGAATAAAAGGTTATCACTACAGAAAACCACCAAGTTGCAAAGATAAACAAGTGAGGAAAAAGGCCACAAAGGATATATGAGACAATGAGAAATCAACTAACCAAATAACAGGAGTAAGTCCTCACCTATCAATAACAATCATGAATGTAGACCATTTAAATCTCCTATTTAAGAGATACAGACTCACTGAATGGATTTAAAAACGGAAGACCCACCTATATACAAGAAATGCACTTCACCTGTAAAGACACACACAGACTGAAAGTAAAGGGTTAGAAAAAGGTATTCCACACAAACGGAAACCAAAAGTGTGTGGGAGCACCTAAACTTATATCAGACTAAATAGACTATAAGTCAAAAAAATAAATAGAAAGAGACAAAGAAAATCATTACGTTATGATAAAGGGATCAATTCAGCAAGAGGATATAACAATTGTAAATGAATATGCACCCAACACAGGATCACCTACATATTAAAAGCAAACATTATTAGAGATAAAGAGAGATACTTACCAATACAATAATAGTTGGGGACTTTAATATCCCACTTTCATCATTGGACAGGTCATGTAAGCAGAAAATCGATCAAGAAACATAGAATTAAGCTGCACTATAGACTAAATGACCAAACAGACATCTACAGAACATTGTATCCAACAGTTATAGAATATGCATTCTTCTCATCAGCACATGAAACATTCTCTAGGATAGATCATATTTTATGCCACAAAACAAATCTCAACAAATATAAAAAATAGAAATCCTATCAAATTTAGGAAATTTCAGAAAAAAATTGATAAATTCCTGGACAGACATAACCTACCAAGATAGAACTAGGAAGAAACAGAAAACCTGAACACACCAATAACAGACCAAAGTAACAAGGTTGAATCAGTAGTAAAATGCCTCCTAACAAAGAAAAGCCCAGGACCAGATGGCTTTACTGCTAAATTCTACCAAACATTTAAAGAAGAATGAGCAACAATTCTTTTCAAACTATTTCAAAAAATTGAAGAAGAGGGAATTCTTCCTAACTCATTTTATGAGGCCACCACTACCCTGATAACAAAACCAGACCAGGACACAACAAATAAAGAAAACATAGATGCAAAAATCCTCAACAAAATACTGACAATCTGAACCTAACAACACAATGAGATTATACATCATGACCCAGTAGGATTTATCCCAGTGATGCGAAGATGGTTCAACAAATGCAAATCAGTACTTGTAATTCTACACTTCAACAGAATAAAGGACAAAAAATGTATGATAATCTCAATAAATGCAGAAAAATAATTTGATAAAATTCAACATCTTTCATGATAAAAACTCTACAAACGTTATGTATAGAAGGAACATACTTCAATAAAATAAAGGCCGTATATGACAAACTCACAGCTACTATACTCAATACAGAAAGGCTGAAAGCCTTTCCTCTAAGAACTAGGGCAAGACAAAATTGCCTTTCACTACTGTTATTCAACATGGTACTGTAAGTCCTAGCCACGGCACTTAGGCAAAAAAAAAAAAAAAGTACATAAAGGGCATCCAGATTGAAAAAGAGGAAGTAAAATTGTCCTTCTTTGCAGACAACATGATCTTATATGTAGGAAAACCTAAGACACCACCAAAAAACTCTTAGAACTGTTAGAAAAATCTAGTAAAGATGCAGGCTGCAAAGTCAGCATGCAAAGAATAGCAACAATTCTACACACTAAGAATGAACTGGCTGAAAAGTAAATTAAGAAAGCAATCTCATTTATGACGAGAAAAGTAAAATACCTAGGAATAAATGTGAAATACATCTACAATGAAAACTTAGAGACACTGATAAAGAAATTGAAGAGGATACATACACAAAAATGGAAAGACATAGCATAATCATGGATTGGAAGAGTTAGTACTGTTAAAATGACCATACTATGCAAAGCAATCTACAGATTCAATGGAATCCCAATCAAAACACTAATGACATTTTTCACCAAAATAGAAAAAAATCCTAAAATTTGTATGGAATCACACACACACACGCACGTGCACACACACACACACAAACCCTAAATAGCCAAAGCAATCCTTTGCAAAAAGAACAAAGCTGAAGGCATCATACTGTCTGACTTCAAAATACATACAAAACTATAGTAACCAAAACAGCATGGTATTGGTATAAAAAAACAGACACATAGACCAATGGAATAGAATAGAGAACATAAACATAAATCTATGCAGTTACAGCCAACACATTTTCATCAAAGGTGGCAAGAACTTACATTGGATGAAGGACACCCTGTCAATACATAGTGCTGGAAAAAATGAATATCTATATGCAGAAGAATAAAACTAGACCCCTATATCTCACGACATACAAAAATCAACTCAAAATGGATTAACGACTAGTGCAGAAGACCCAAACCTGTAAGACCACTAGAAGAAAACATAAAGGAAATGCTTCAGGACATTGCAAGATTTTACGGGTAAGACTTAAAACAAACAGGCATCAAAAACAAACAAAAGAAGACAAATGAGACTATATAAAACCCAAAAGCTTCTGCACAGCAGAGGAAACAATCAGTAGAGTGAAGAGACAACCTACAGAATGGGAGAAAATATTCAGAAACTAGTCATCTAACGAGGGACTAATATCCAGAATGTACAAGAAAAGTTAAAAAAAAAAGGTAAAAAACCCCACAGAAAACAAATAATCCAATTTAAAAATGGGTAAAGGAGCTGAATATATGAATATATATATATATACATATATATGTGTATATATACGTATACATATATACGTATATATATATATTTTGAGATGGAGTCTTGCTCTGTCGCCCAGGCTGGAGTGCAATGGTACAATCTCCACTTACCACAACTTCGCTTCCTGGGTTCAAGCGATTCTACTGCCTCAGCCTCCGGAGTATCTGGGATTGTAGGCACGAAATATTTTTCAAAAGAAGACATACAAACAGCCAACAAATATGTGAAAAAAAATGCTCAACAACACCAATCATCAGGGAAATGCAAATCAAAATCATACCCATATATCATCTTACCCCAGTTAGAATGGCTATAATCAAAAAGACAAAAAATAACAAATACTGGCAAGGATGCAGAGAAAAGGGAATTCATACACTGTTGGTGGGAATGTAAATTAGTATAGCCATTATGGAAAACAGTATGGAGGTTTTTCAAGAAACTGAAAATAGGAAGACCATAGAATCCAGTGTTCTCACTGCTGGGAATTAATCTAAAGGAAAGGAAACCTCTATATCGAAGGGAAAACTTTATTCCCATGTTTTTTTGCAGCGCTCTTCACTATAGCCAGGATATAGAATCAACCTAAATGTCCGTCAAAAGATGAAAGGATAAATGTGGAATATATACACAATGAAATACTATTCAGCCGTAAAAAACAATGAAATTTTGTTATTCGCAGTAACATGGATGAGCCTGGAGGATATCATGTTAAGTGAAATAAGTCAGGCACAGAAAAATAAACACCACATGTTCTCACTCATATACGAGAGCCAAGAAATACTGAGCTTATAAAAGTGGAAAGAAGAATTGTAGTCATTAGAAGCTGGGAATGATAGGAGGAGGGAGAGGATAGGGAAAGAGGTTAATGAATACAAAGTTACATTGTACTGCTAGATAGGAGAAAAAAGTTCTAGTATTTTGTAGCACTGTTGGGCAAATATGGTTAACAATAATTTAGTTCATATTTTCAAAAAGCTAGAAGACAGGATTTTAAATGTCCATAACACAAACAAATGATGAACGTTGGAGGCGTTTGTTATTTTTATCTTTATACATTTCATCATTACACATTGTATACATGTATCAAAATATCACTCTGTATTCCATAAATATGTACAATTGTGTGTCAACTGAAAATCAAAGGAAAAAATAGGCCAGGCACAGAGGCTCACGCCTGTAATCCCAGCACTTTGGGAGATCAAGGCGAGTGGATCACCTGAGGTCAGAAGTTTGAGACCAGCCTGGCCAACATGACGAAACCCCATCTCTACTAAAAATACAAAAATTAGCCAGGCATGGTAGCAGGCGCCTGTAATTCCAGCTACTCAGGAGGCTGAGGCAGGAGAATCACTTAAACCTGGGAGGTGGAGGTTGCAGTGACATGAGATCGAGCCACTGCTCTCCAACCTGGGCAACAGAGCAGGACTCCATCTCAAAAACAAAAACAAAAAAGGAAAAAATAAACAAAGCCAATACTATACTATAAAATAACACATCTGTCTTTCATTACTCCTTATTTTTTATGCTGCTATAATTTCCTTCATGACATTGTTACCAAATGTTATTACATATACTTATATTTGTTTATCTTCTATCTTTCCCTCTGTCTATAGTGAGAGGAGGGCGGGGACTTGGTTTTGTTCACTGTTGTATCTCCAGTGTATAAACAGTGCCTACCAGTTAGTACACACTCTATAAATACGTGCTAAGTTAAAAAAAAGACTAATTTTGGTATTACTTTACTTGAATTTCTCATAAAATATTATGGAAGGCACTAATATTTTTAAAAATATAACATTTATGATTTGTTTTTCTGAGTATAAAATAAATTCATGTTAGAAATGGAAAGATTCAGAGAAACACAAAGAAAAAGAGATCACTAGCAACCCCACTGTAATTTTTTTAAGATTTATTTTATTTTATTTTACTTTGAGTTCTGGGATACATGTGTAGAAAATGCAGGTTTGTTACGTAGGTATACATGTGCCACGGTGGTTTGCTGCACCTATTGACCAGTCTTCTAAGTTCCCTCCCCTCCCCACTGTAATTTTTATCTACAGTATCTAGTGTTCCCTTTCTCTCTGCTCTGTGCGTGTGTGTATTTAAACAAACGAGATTGCATTACATTTTACGAGTTGCTTTTTGGAATCTTAATGTATTGGGAGCATTTCAATGTTGTTTGATATTTTTCTGTAGTACCATTTTATTGATTGCACAGTGTTAGTCCATATGGGTAGAATAATTTATTAAATTAAAATCCGCCTTTTATGTTTTCCAATTTTTCACAGTGAAAAAAATCATGAGAAGTATCCTCATAGGTGAGTCTTTTCACACATCTGCACTAGTGAATATCTGAATTTTAAAAGCCACTCCAGACCTACATAGGTGATGGTAAGCCATTTTGACAAGAAAATGTCATAATCCGTCATTGTTAGCAAATATTGACACATTACAAGTGAACATAACATTGGTTTATATGGCGTTAGGTAAATATTGTTTCCCTGAGATAACTTGTATCTAAGAACTTCTTGTGTTATATCTATAAGGTTTATGAGAATGTTTAAGATGTAATGTATTTCTGTTATTGAATTTCTGCTTTTATCTTTATGAATTCTATAATTTTGTTTTTCATAGTTTTGTTTTACGTTTCTTTTAAACTTCTTCATTTGCATAAGTGATAAACTTATCATCTCCATAAACCCTTCATAAGTTGAAAATCTCGTAAGTCGAAAATGCATTTAATACACCTAGCCTACCAGACATCATACCTTATCCCATCCTGCCTTAAAGGTGCTCAGAATACTGACATTAACCTACAGTTGGGAAAAAATTAAAATTCAAAGTACGGCTTTTACTAAATGCATATTGCTTTTGCCCCATGATAAAGTCAAAAACATCGTAAGTCCAGCTATCTTAAGTCGTGAATGATCTGTAGAGGTTAAATTGGGAATTTTGACCATTCGATGTTGCTTTTGTTACTTTTATTTTTTGTACATTTCCATCTATTGTTATAACTAATAAGGTTAGTCTAACTTCTGACATATTTTCTGACATCTTTCCTTATGCCTTATCATGTGGTCTCACTTATGTCATCTTGTTTTGTGCCTTTTTTTTTTTTTTTACAGCGACTCCATTTTGTTTCTCACTGCTAAAAATGCAGACATGGTTTTATTTTTATCTTTTCTACTGATTTGGGATATACAAGCTCTATGTTAAACTATTTATGGTTTGCTTTAAGATTCAAAAGCCTTCTTCGATTTTTATTTCCCTAATAATCTGAACCAAAATAAATCCTTTGGGTCATCTTCTAGCTAAGCTAAGGAAATAAATACAATCACAATCCCTTTGATTTTTCAGTTTTTATTAGTATAACTTGAGAATATAGGTTAATATTACTGTTTTAAAATTATTATCTTACATTATATATTTTCTCTTTCAAGAAATAGTTCAGATCATTTACTTTTGCACATGGATTAGATTTAAACCTACATACAAATGCTTTTGGTGCTCACTCCAAGTACTCTTGTGCCACTATTTCCCTATTCCTGAGCTCATAATTTTGCTTCATTCGTAGTCAACGTGATCATATAATCAAGTAATAGTTTTTCAAAAATTGTACATGGATGATACTTTCTCTAAGCTATGGCATTTATATACACATCTTTATTTCACCTGAAGGACAATTTGGCTGCCTATGAAGAGCTGGATCTGAAATAATTTTGTCTTAGTATTAGATAGAACCCAGCTGATCTCAAAGTCCATTTATCCTTTTTTTCTAAGTACCTTGTCTTGTAGCCTGGATAGGATTTAAATTTTTTATCCTTATAATTCAAAATGAGTGCCAGGATGTAGCTCTTTGTATCTCTTTGTACTTGATTTTTGCCTGGAATTAAATGATTCTTAAACTCTTCTCTCTCTCTCTCTCTCTCTCTTTCTCTCTCGCTCTCTATATATATATACATGCACATATATATGTGTATGTATATATGATCACTTTTGCAGAGTATTTCTCTGACCTTTTGTCTAGAACCTAAGTTACCCGTACGATGCTCTGAGTTCTCTGATCATAGCTACCTTCCTTCTTTCATCTTTTCACATCCATCCACTCTATTTTCATTCTGTAAGAACTCAACTTTGTTTCCATATCCCTAACTCATTTTCATCCACTCCAATTGTGCCTTACACATCTTCAACAGTGAATTATTCCATTGTATTTTTAGTGTCCTTTTGATCCTGTCCAATGTCATAAATAACCCTCTCCTTTCCTTTTCTCTACATGACCATTCTTTCATCTTGATTTTTCATTGCTTGTACTTACACCTTTTATTTCCTGGAGGCTTTGCAGTCTTACAGTCTACTGAGGGTGCTTTTCTTCTGATTTCTGTAATAAGTCACATTCAGGGGTGCATTTTTAATTTGTCTCCATATGATATTTCATTTCATCTGAGCAAATTTTTATAGGCTCCATTTATTTCTTATCTTTACTTGTAGTAAGTAGAGACTAATTTAATGTTTGCCAACATATATTATATATGAATCACTATTGAGCCCCTTCCTGAATGTAGGTTGTAACCAAGTTCCTTTTCCAGATCTTTAGTTGAGGGAAGTTAATAACTATTCCAAATTTCTGATACATATTCTTCTATTATAAAACAATAAATTATTGTTTTTTGACTCCTAATTTCTGATCCCTGTAACTATAAGCAAAGGAGTAAATAAAATACAGTTTCCAACATCTGTCCTCCATTCCTACTTTTATAACTCTTTGTATATGAGAACCACAGCGTCTTTGATGAGACTGAGATGGCTAAGTGATCATCAAACTTGTTTCCTCTTCTTCCTGGACACACAGCCAGGCTGCATCTCTAAGTTCCCTTGCAGGTGGAATTCTATCCAGAGGAATGTGAGTGAAAGTGATAGACACTTTGTCTAGGTCTGAGCAAGCGAAAGCTCTCACATGTAATCTATTCCTTTCCAACAACTGCTTGCTGGATGTTGATGGTTAGCACAATTTTGGAAGCCAACTACTTAAGAGGGCAGGGCTATGGCAACCTGGATTCTTGAATGACTCTGAGGAGCAGGCAGCACCACATTCTCATTTGGATGACTGAGGCAGAAAAAAACGTGTGCTGTGTTAACTGCAGTGGTGGGATTCGTTTGTTTCAAAAGTTAATATGCTTTTACCAATATACACTTTCCTTCGTCTACACTTTACTTCTCAGTTATTTTCTAAGAATTGCTGAATCTGGGCAGGCATGTAGAGACATTGGAGAAAGGGCTGGAAATTTTTAGGTAAGATGACAACGCTTAGGCTATCTCTCACATGACCTCCCTGAGAGGGGTGGGTTCTTGGCTTCATCCAGGAAAGAATTGGAGGGTGAGCTGCTGGTGTTAGACAGCAGCTTTTGTTGAAGCAGCATTGTACATCAGGAGCAAAGGACTGCTCCTTGCAGAGCAGGGCTAACCCATAGGCAATGTGCCCAGAGTAGCAATGTATGGGCTGTTGGCAGCTGTGTTTATACCCACTTTCAATGATATGCTAATTAAGAGGCAGGTTATTCAGAACTTTCTGGAAATGAGGCAGGGATGTTCTGCAACCATAAGAGGTAACTGTTTATGGGCCATTGCCGTGGTTCATTGCCATGGCATTTGTAAATTGTCATGGCACTGGTGGGAGTGTCTTTATGCTAATGAACAGTGAGGGGAACTAGAGGTTGCTTTCATCACCATCTACTGGTTTTGGCCAGCTTCTTCACTGCACCCTGTTTTGACCAGATCCTGCTCCAATCAGCGGGGTCGTGATTGATTGGGGTCATGACCAGTGTTCCAAAAACAAGTCCTGCTGATCTCCTGCCTTGATAGCACTAGGCCACATTTGCTGGATTACATGGTCAGTGGACTAGATGTTTGTCCCACTAGACTGCAGGCTCCGTGTGGGTAGTGATGATCTCTGCCTCACTCAGTGTCCTGGCCCCAGCACCCAGCACGGTGCAGGCCCACAGAGATGCCTCAATTATTTATATATATATATATATATACACACACACACACACACACACACACACACACACACATATATACACACACACAAATATACACACATATATATGCATATATATCATTGTGATTATATATATATATAATTGTAATAATTATGTATATATAATTGTGATAAAATGCACATAATATAAAATTTGCCATCTTTACCATTTTTATGTGTACCGTTCAGGGGCATTAAATACATTCACATTTTTGTGCTATCATCACCACCATCCAACCACAGAACTCTTCATTTACAAATATAATCAATGATATTTATAGAAAAAAGGGATGAGAGCTCCTTTTTATAAAGTGAAAAATTATTTGTAATGTAAAATTATATGTCTCCCAATTTAACCACTGGGGAAGTTTGGACATATATATATATGACTTTATTAAATAAGGAACACCTATAAGGTAACTGATGGATCTAGAAATACTTGCATATATGGGCTGGGAAAATAAAATATTACCGATGGGATCTGAATGAAAAAGCTGGGAAAAAGGTAAGTAGATAAATCGGCATAACCTAGAAATAGGATATACATTTAAACTATCTTTAGTCTTTAGATACAGTAAGATGGTTTGTAAATGAATACTTAGATGTTGAATTTCCTTTTAATGTTGGCTCTCAGAGGAGCAAAGCATTCGGCCATTTGATTATATAAACTACAAACAAGTAATTTGAAAGTGTTTTACTCTAAGATAAAAACTACCCAAGAGAGGGCTTGTATTTGGGAAAAGTCATTTAGGTTTGATTCCTGTGAGATACTTACAAAGCTACAATATTGTTAATTGACTTGAAATTGACTTGAAACTCTTATTGTCCAACAACATCCTGTTGTGTGTGTATGTGTGTGTGTGTTCACAATATTCAGATAATTCTGCTTGGAGTTTTGAAGCCTGTGGAGGCAGAAGACATATATCCATCCTAACATAAAACTTGCAGTGTATTAAGGAAGAGTCAGGGTGTGGTGGTATATGCCTATAGTCCTAGCTACTTGGGAGGCTAAAAAGGAATTACTGCTTGAGCCCAGGAGGTCAAGGCTGCAGTTAATTGTAATTGCACCACTGCACTTGAGTGCATTCCAGGCCCGGGCAACAGAGAGATATCCTGTCTCAACAACAACAACAACGACAGCACCAACAATGGAGTCAAAGCAAATTAGAGGTGATAGAGCATATGTGTGCAGATAATTATATATTTAAATAGTGCACATAAATACTAATTACAATAACTACTGAAGTAGTGAAGGATACTAAAGTAGTCTGGTTTTACCATGAGCAGGTTTAATGAAAGGCAGTGTCTCCAAAACATAGTGATTTGAAGTCAATTTAAACATTTTTTCTGAACCAACACAATTAGCATGAATGTACTGAAGTTATGTAATTTACAAGTGAATCTTTCAGACCTAACATTAAGCTCTGTAAATGCCATTATAAATCAGTATGTCTAAAATACCTCATAACAATAGATTCATACAAGAGACATTGATAAAAGTCACCAGGTATGAACCGGGTCAGTTTTTCCTATTCTTCTTTTTTTTTGGTACTTCAAAGGAGACTATGATCAATGTCAAAGAAGCAGTAAAACTAACTGAACTAATTACAGATCTACAAGGGGTGTGTTCTCAAGGTGAGTAGCTTCTAATTACCAGATACCATCAGAAGGAAGGGCTGTTGTGAGGTGCTGAGCTCTGCAGTACTTTTCTGTTCCCATCAGTTAGCATAACATCATTTGGCTACTACTATGGGTATTGATGTTATATAATATAAACACGCTTACATAAGGAAAAGAGAGAGAAACACATAACCAGTGCAGAACGGTGCCCTTCAGAGCACCCATGTTTTGGATTATGCTTTCTGTAGAACAGAAAATACTGCTTCAATAAATTTGTACAATAAGTTGCAAACTATTTGGAAGTGACAGGAAAACACACAATGTAAATATGTGTTTGTTTCATGTTATTTAATTATAACGTCACTTTCTATTAAAGGATTCAGCTCTATATGACTAGTCTATTATAATTTAGTCTACAGTGAATGGGTCCTAATGGTATATGCTTGTGGGACACCTGGTTGATTTTTTTTTTCTTCTGTCAAAAACAAACTTGCCTATACTTGTATTAAAGACATGGCCTATTTTCTTAGTAGCATTGTACTTGGAGTTGATAGTCCTAGGTAACCTTCTTTTTCTAGTCCCTTCTCCCCAGAAATTCTCAGACACACCCTGGGTGCTATTAAGAATGAATCCTGCAGGTCCATTCATGCTGTGACAAATGGCAGAATCTCGTTCTAATTTGAGGCTGAATAATATTTCATTATATATACATTATATATAATACATACATACATATATACGTGTATACGCACACACAACTTTCATTATATTAAGTGAAATAAGCCAGACATATAAAGAAAAATATTTCATGATCTCACTTTTATGTGGAATCTAAACAACAACAAAAAGGTCAAGAGGCAGCGGGGTGGGATGGGGAGATGTAGGTCAAAGTAGCAGATACGTAGGATGAAAAAGTCTGAAGATCTAATGTACAGCATGGGAACTATAGTTAATAAAATTGTATTAAGGATGTTTGTTAAATAAGTAGATTTTCACTGCTCATCACAAAGCAGTAACTCTGTGAAATGATATGTTCATGTGTTTCACTATAGTAACCATTTTACTATCTATATGTATCCTATGACATCATGTTGTAAACCTCAAATATATACAATGAAATTGATTTTAAAAAAAGATTGAACCCTGGGTCTAGCTTTGAGTCCAGGCTCTACTCCTTGTAGAGCTATGCAACTTTGAATAAGTTGCTTAATGCCGTTTCCTCATTTGCAAGATGTAGGTAGATAAGAGTACTTAACTTGAAAAATTAAGTGGATTAAAGAAGATAATAAACCAGTGTGTGATTAGCACCCATGTAGTTGCTAATAAATGGTAGCAACTTTGTTACTAGAAAAGCCAGCTGCATTTGATGTTGTGCAGATAACTTGTATGATTCACTTCAGCACTGCACTCCGAAGGCAGTCACAAACACAAGCGAAGGCAACCACCAAACCAAGTGCTGCCTTCAGTAGGTCAAAGCCCTCTTCCCTGTTGCTGGCTTCAACTCCTAGGTTATCCTTTACAAAACGTAATCCTTACTGAGCCTGCGTGGGCCTTCACGGCCTTGCTACCTGGCACTAGGGCATGAAAATCATGCCTGGGTAGAAATCAAGAAGGGCTGCTCTGCCCCTGCTTGGCATGTACAGTAGAGTCAGAGAAGTGATTGGATGGTAATACCTCCTGGGACTCTCTTCCCTTCTTTCCCATCAAACCTTTCTTCTAGAGCCATGATGCCTGCTGTCCTATGTGAGCCTTGTGACGTGAGCTCTTATTTTTATTGAGTCAACCCATAGGTGTTATCATACTCCTAATCCAGATATAAATAAACTTGTGGGAGGCCTTGTTTCTTGTATTTGCCTAGTTAGCTTCCTGAGAATTTCCTCCTTCATCCAGTATTGGCTAATTTCTGGGCTCACTAGTGACTGTGATAACCTGTGGTCCTTTAAGACACCGTGCAATTGGCCTGCCTTTCATATTTTTGCTTCCAGACTATTAAGAGGACAAGCTACAGTAAAAAGAAAATATCCAAGTAGCCCTTTTGCTGGTTATCTTAGTATTGGTGAAAAAAATACTTAATTTTTAATGCTTTCTAAAATTACACATATATATTTTATTTTAAGAAAGATCCTATTTCAGTGGATAAAACATGTTTTAATCACCTCCTATTCATTCAGTTGGTGAGGGAGGGATTCCTGTCCTAGGGTTATAAGGATGGCTGAAGATGCTACTACCAACAACGGAAAGGTTAGATTAACAGCAATTTATTAGTCAGATATACTCACTGCCCGGGGAGTGGGGGCGACACCGTAGACCAAGTAGGGTTGTATTCAGGAACAGAGTGGACAACCAGGGGCTGCGGGAGGCAGGCTTTGTAATATCAAGAGGGTGAGGTGTCTGTTGGTTCATAGGAGGAAGTGATTGGCTTGTTTGAACAATTCGGAAAAGTAGCAGGAAGTTGAAACCCCAGGATACTCCAGGATAAGCAGGAACTGCCTCTGCTACCTTTGAAAGGAAAGTTGTTCAGCCAAGGGACCTTATCCACAAGAGCAGAGCAAGGAGGGGAAATTGCAGTGAGAACATTCAAGGCCTCCCAGTTTCAACAGATGTCAAGGCAGCACGTAACACTCGGCCTTAATTTTAGACCTTAGACCACACATGTCAAGATGGCAGACCTCTCATTCTCTCGGTTTATAAAACCAGAGCAGAACGATGTTCTAAAGGTGACTATCGTTCGATGAAAGACTTTTTCTTTCTCCTACATACTACACAAGGCTGAGACAAGACAATGCTGAGAAAGAAGCAATTATTTGGTATCGCGAGGCAATAAAGCATTCTATTTCTTTTCCTGAAATATGTATGCTGTTCTACTCATTAACCTATTCTCCAGCCTAGCAAGTGTTACTGCAAGTGCATTCCAGTGTTATTGGAGATAAGATTACTGATTAAAAGGAGGGGTAGATAGATTTATCTGTTTCTCAATGCAGACACTGTCTCAAAATAGAAAGATTTATAATTTCTTATGTATTATGTGAAGGTTGCTTCACAACCTCCCCCATCACATATTTCACAGTGTATTTATTTATATTTCTAAATAAATAAAACATTATAAAGCCTTGGAAAGTCCGTGAATGTTCTATACTTTGCAAAGGTTATTGTCAGAAGGAAAAGGATAAAGAGGGCCATTGTCCCTTTTCTCTTTCCCATGCCCTTTCCCTTAGGAGGAACGGTCGGTCATATAGCACTCACTCATACAATGACATGCCAGCCACCAGCTAAAGAGCACCAGGCAAATCTGCATGTAGCATTCTAAAAACCAGACCTTCAAAAAATGTAAGGTTCAACTAATAAAGCAGCTAAAACAGTGTCTGGCACATAGTAAACTCTTATTCCAATATTGGTTAACTAATGAATAAATGTTGACAGTAGCTGTGATTGAAATGAACCAATGCATAGTCCAAAAGGATGGGCACATTTACACGAAAACCTACTTGTTAACTCTCAAGGCCACTTCTTACATTGGACCATGTACCAATGTTAGCCTTGAGTCCACACCTTGGATCATCTCATGAGGATCATGTAAGATAGTCCCACTCTATGAGATCCTGGTTCAGTTTGTCCAGGGCCATGAATCTGCATTTCAGAAAAGCACCCCAGATGATTCTTAGACCCACTACAATTTAGGAATCACAAAGCTCAATAGTGAAATGTATGCCTTTTGGAGAAAAAGAAGGAAGGTAAGAAACTCCTGCTGACCAGCACAAGCCATGGTCACCCTTTCACTCAGGTGTGCGACTCTTCCGTTCCTACCTCAAACAATGCTTCTTCCCAATGCATATACGTGAGTTTCATGATGAAATGACGTGTGCCTTTGGATGATAGCTAACAGGTTTTTTTTTTTTTTCATTCTAAGAATGTATTTTGTTTGTACTTATTTACTTAAATCAAGGCCACCTAAATCAGAAACCCCTTGGTCTCCATGCTCTGATTCCTTTTTTGATGGGCTTTAAAGTTACTGTCCCCCTCATCTCGGCTATGGTCCCAGTGATCCCCAGCCCCTGCCACACTCTGCCTGACTGTGTAGTGTTCCATGCTGCCCTTTTCTGCTGTCTCAAACTTGATTCCACCTCTCTACTCTCTTCCAGGTGAGTAAAGCAGGTTCTGAACTTCGCAAAGAGTTATTTTTGCTTAAGACCCTAAACTTGTCATAGTTTGACTCTCCCTTCTTCTTCTTCTTCTTCTTATTATTATTTGAGACAGGTACTGTTATGTCGCCCAGGCTGGTGTTGGATTCCTGGGCTCAAGGGATCCTCCCGCCTCAGTCTCCTGAGTAGCTGCCAGTATAGGTGTGTGCTCCCCAGCAGTTTTTGAGATAACCTAGACTCCTTTGTGGGGAGAACGGGACTGGCATTTTCATAGAGAGGAGAAGCCACGTCCTCAGCCTCCCGAACTGCTCTAGCCTTTTCATTTTTTCATCCCTATTGGTCCCTTGCAGGGATCATCTTCTGCTCAGGACCAGAAGATGAATGCTCATAGGGTTGACTTGTGTGCCCCAGTCCTTTGGTGATGGCAATGGCGTCTTGTGGGAGTTCTGTCCTTTACCTTTCTCTCTCTCTCTGGGCTTCAGTCTTGGGATGGGAGACTTTCTGGCTTCCATCTCATCCATTCACTCGCGTATCCTTCATCAGCAAGGCCCAGACGAGGGGTCCTGCCATTAGGCCTTTAACTGTTTCTGCAGCAGGCTTGCCAGTCATTTCCGCTCCTTCAGCCACCACACTTGGGCTGCTCTCTGGGGAGAGACCAGAAGCTCCTCCTGGCATGCAGGACGTAGCCTCTGAGCGCAGGGAAGTGCTTGTAAGCAGTTGCTCCAACTACCTAAAGATCCTCTGAGCACACCTGCCTTGATGTGCTGGTTCCATGTCCTACTGGATCCACAAAGGCTGCTCTTGCTGGTGCTGTTTTAATGTGCTCTGAGTCTGCAGACTGGGTGGCCTGTGTGTCCATAGCACTTGCTTTGGTGCCTGTTGTTACCGCTACTGTTGCCCCTTCATTGAGCACTGGTTGCATTGCAATTAGAATGAAGAAGAGTGCCCTTCCATGAACACATGTGCTGGAGACGTGTTGAATTTCTTCCCCCTCAGCATAATCAGAGGAGGTGACCCCAAGCACCTTAGAGACCATGGGAAGTTCCTAATGCCGGCCTGATGCAGATTCTCTTCTCCACGGAGCACCATGGCCGCTGGGCTCTGCCTTCCACACAGGTATTCCCATTGTGTCCTCAGTGGGATGGCCTGGGTACAGATTTAAGCCTCCATTGGTGGTCTTAGGGGATAAACAAGGTTTTTCCAGATCTTTTGCATCTGCAGGGGCACGGCTGCAGGTGAAATGAGTGGCCATTGGCAAGCTTCAGGTGGAACTGTTGTCATGACTGTGGATGACTGTCTTTACAAACCTCAAGGAGGCAGCCCTGTTGCCTCGAAGGTCTTTACAGGCCTACAGCCTCTACCCTGGATGTCTCAGCCCAGCCACTTTTTTTTTTTAATTTTTTTTTTTGAGACGGAGTCTCGCTCTGTCACCCAGGCTGGAGTGCAGTGGTGTAATCTCGGCTCACTGCAACCTCTACCTCCTGGATTCAAGTGATTCTCCTGCCTCAGCCTCCTAAGTAGCTGCTATTACAGGTGTCTGCTGCCATGCTCAGCTAGTTTTTGTGTGTGTGTGTATTTTTAGTAGAGACGGGGTTTCACCATGTTGGCCAGGCTGGTCTCGGACTCCTGACCTCAGGTGATCCACCTGCCTCAGCCTCCCAAAGTGCCTGTATTACAGGTGTGAGCCACCATGCCCAGCCTCTCAGCTACTTCTGGTCAGCCCAGCAGCATGGCGTCAGGTATTTCCCGGCTGGTGCTGGTGGATACAAGGTCCACAGCCACCATTCCCGTGGTGTATAGATGGATCATCGCTCTTCTTTTGCTATCTGGAAAAAGTCTCTTTCAAAAATCTGTTAAATTAACTTATTTTTGGCCTGAGGCTGCCTCCATACCTTGAGTTTCTGTGTCAGGAGCCACAACCTAACTCAGTAGGTAAACAAACCGAAAGCCTAATTTAGGAGCATATTTTTGTAACAAATAGCTGTGTCACAGCCAGTCATAGCAACCGAACTTCCGCTAATCACAGGCTACCCACTGATCAGACCATGTCCAAAAAAGGCAGATGCCGGAGTTGTAACCAATCAAGCTATTTCTGTAGGGTACTTCCAGTTTTCTGTCTATAAATAATCCCTGCCCAGGGAGCTCTCTGAACTTCCACTTGTTCTGGGTGTTGCCTGATTCATGAATCATTCTTTGCACAATTAAACTCTGTTCAATTTAATTTGTCTAAAGTTTTTTTTCTTTCAACAGAACGATGTGTACTTGAAAACAGTACACTCTTGCACAGCTGTCCCTGGAGCTTCCCCGTGGAGCTGTTAAACTTGCCCTCCGCTGGCTGTTTTCCACAAAGTAATATGGTTACATAGATTCACGGCTCATGGCAATGTTTCATTAAGACAGTTCTTGATGGCCGCTCCACACCTTTCTCACCACATCTCACAGGCTGCCCTGCTGAGCCAGGTCTCCCTGGAACCCGGGGCTCCTGCGCAGGCCCCCATTTTGCTCCAGAACACCCAGGAAGGCGGGGCTTGGGCTGGAATGGGGACACCGATTACCCTCTGTTCAGGCCTTTGGTGCCAGCTGAGGTCGATACTGGTGCCAGGATCGAGACTGTGCGCATCCCATCGAGAGCGGGCAGATGTGGGGGCGCACTGGACCGGGCCTCCCAGGCTGACACCCATTCACAGCAGCCTGAGCCTAATCCGCCACTGCTCGCCTTCCTCCGACGTCTCCACCTAAACCATCCTTCTGCACATTGTGACCCATCACTCCGCCCTTTGTCCACACATCTCCTTCCCCACACCCACAACGCGGTGGTCCCTGCCCCACAATGCAACGGAAACCTTGCGGAGTGCTAGGCGGAAGCTGCGAGGCCTGTGTAGACACTGCCTCCGCAGGGCTGGCGCACTCCTCCGAGGGCCGACTGAGGGGTGGGTTTTTTAAGTTGCAAAATAAAAGTTATCGCCTGTGGGCCCTGAAGGCCTCTTTTCCACTGGATGACAGGAATGTGTTTGTTCAGAGATTGTAGTCTCCCTGAACTGGAAGGGACTTTAGAAACGGTCTATTACAACACTCTCCTCCTACATAGAGTTGGAGAAATTTCACCCATGGCTGGGCAGAATCAGGGAGGCTTACCCTTTGGTACTACAGTTTTTGGCATTACTGCAGGAACATAGTGTCCCAGCCATAATGTTAGGTAGTTAGACATTAGCAGCTGGGAGGGGGCGAGAGAGGAGGGCAGAAGGGCTATCACTAAGACAGGCCCTGGCCCACCTAAGTTCAGCCCCCAAGACCACCCTAACTCCACCCTGATAGATGCAGCTTGTGGTAAAGTCTGTGGCCAGCACATCCTGGAGAAAGAAGAACTGGGCACAGATAAAAAATCCCCTTACGTGGCGCATGCCCAGTCCATCTAGGCCATAAACCCGGGTAACCTCATCCTCATTATACAGTCATTATAATAAAATTTACATGTGGTTTTGCCCCTCTGAGTGGGCTTTCCTTAACAAAGTGTAAGTAAAGACGTGCAGTTTAAGTTCAGTGATATAAGCATAAACTGCTAATCAAATGACACAATCCTGTCACTCAAACACAGCCCAAGCCTCAACTCCTCCCCACAAACTGCATAAACGCACCCTGAGCTCTATAAAGAGGGGCTGATTTCACTTCGCAGAGGTTACCCCACTCTCCCTCTGAGAGTGCATTACTGTGCTTCAGAAAGCCTTGTTTTGAGCTTGCATTTCGGGGTTAGTTCGCAATTCTTTGCTCACTATCACGAGAACCAAGACTGCTGGTCCAGAGGTCCGGCTTTGTTGGATCTCCTTGGTTAAAGGATCCATCTCAAGGCAGGATTCCAGGTAACAATACCATCTTGGCAGTTGCCAATTTTCCTGTGCACATATGGGGATCTATTTTGTTTCCATAAAAACACAAAACAAGCTTGATTTATCATATAAGCAATTCCAAAGCATTCTTTTAAGCAAGCTGTTCATGTAAGTTGATACAAATGAAAGTTGAGTACACTCAGTAACTGCTGGCTGTATTAGAGCTATCTACTCATATTTAGAATCATCAAATTTAGGGAAAACAAAAAAAGTAGGTGTTTCAGAATGGCCCCATGCTGCTCAGAAAGGTTTGATCTAAATGTAGGAAAGCCACTTTACATGGGAGAGACCTGAATTTTTTTAGGCCTGAGTTGATGTCATTGCGGACAATGATATGGTGGCAACTGGATTCATAAATCCTCTAAAGCCGAAAGCACTTGTAGCAAGGTTACTCTGGGAATAACATGTCCATGGGGAACTTTGGTTCTCCCCACGCTGGATTAGAAGAGTTGTTTGGAATTTTCACAAAGACCAGGGTCAGCATCAGATTAAACTGGTGATCAGAATTCTGAAGGCTCATATGAATAGCAGCTGGGTGTGGAAAAAGTCACCATATGCTGACATGTGCTGGAACATCTTTCTACGCTCCACATTTTACTTAGACTTGTCTGGTCAAGATATTTCCGATTGCAAGGCGTTTTTTTCCAAGTTGTCACATGTTTGTGATTTGCTTTCATAAGGGAGTTGATGGCATTAACTAGGTAGAGACAGAAGAATATTGGGGGTTGAGAGATTAAAAACTACATATTGGCTGCAATGTACACTACTCCAGTGACAGGTGCACTAAAGTCTCAGACTTCACCCCTCTAGTTCATCCACGTAACCAAAAACTACTTGTACCCCCAAAGCTAATGCAATTTTTAAATACTTATTTAAAAACAAGAATGTGGGAACCATCCTACTGTGTTAGCCCTCTGGACCATCCAGCCTGGCATTTTTTTATTGACAGAAATATCAAAGGATAGATCATGAAAAAACATCATTGCTTTTCTTGACTAACCTGAATTTCAGTAGAGCGTGACTTCCCTTAGCAGTAGATTTTTGTTTTTTTGAGACAAGGTCTTCCTCTGTTGCCCAGGCTGGAGTGAAGTGGTGTGATCATAGCTCACTGTAGCCTCAACTCCCCGGGCTCAGTTGATCCTCCTGCCTCAGCCTTGCAAGCAGCTGGGATTATGGGCATGAGCCACCATGCCCAGCTAATTGTTTAATTTTGTGTTGAGACGGGGTCTCACTATGCTGCCCAGGCTGGCCTCAAACTCCTGGACTCAAGTGATCCTCCCACCTCCCATTCCCAAAGTTCTGTGATTACAGGTGTGGCCATCGCACCCGTCCCCTTAGTAGTATTTTAATGTTTCCATTATTCCTTGGAACCCTTTTATATCTTGTTAACTTTTGTGATATTTATTTGCTGTGATCTGAATGTTGGCGTCCCCCATATGTTGGCACCTACATATGTGACAGTATTAAGAGTAGTGGTGTGGGAGGTGATTAGGTCATGAGGGTGGAGCCCTCTTGAATGGGATTAATGCCTCTTTTATAGAGATGTGAAGGAGCCTCCCATTCCCTTCTTCCATGTGGGGATACAGCAACCAGGCACCCTCTATAAACAGGAAATAGGCCCTCACCACACATAGAATCTACTGGTGACTTGATCTTGGACTTCCCAGCCTCCAGAAATGTGAGCCATAAATTTTGGTTGTTTATAAATTACCCAGTCTAGGGTATTTTTGTCATAGCCATCCAAATAGAGACATTAGTGTTCCATGCTAGAGAAAAGAGTCCTTCATGTTTTCTACCTAATTAATTTCACTTAAGTTTGAAAATAACGTCCCCTCCTCTAGCTACTTCAGAATCGGAAAAAGAGATGTGTGTCCTTCTCTTTCATCCAAGGTCCTTCTCTAGTCCAAGACCTGTGCCTTAACTGTTTTAGGACAGTTAAGACCTGTCCTAAAACATGTACTAGACACTGACTAAAACTCATCTGTAATGCACATTGACTTGATGTATTTTACATCTTGCTTTTCCTTTTTTTTCTCTTGACTTTATAAGCTGCTAACCTGGTTGGTTGTTCTGCCATTTCTTCCTGGTCTTGACTGTGATCTATACAATTTCATCCCCTGGTCATGAACTCTTCCATCATCTGAAGTCATCATGTCTCCTTGTTTGGCACTGAACTTGTAGGCCATATTGGAATACAGATCATCTAGTCTAACCTAGTCACAGGTGTTTTTCTACTTAACATGCTTGACTTCCTTCACCAAACATCCTCCCCACCCAATTAACTTACTCCAGTCTTTTAAACAAAATGATAGATGTATTTATCTTATCCATGTCACTCATTAGTTTATGAACTGCAATCCTGAATCCTTTTACAATTTACCTAACAACTCAGATTTTTTTTTTTTTTTTTTTTTGAGACGGAGTCTCACTCTTTCGTCCAGGCTGGAAGTGCAGTGGCACAATTTCAGCTCCCTGCAACCTCTGCCTCCCGGGTTCAAACAGTTCTCCTGCCTCAGCCTCCTGAGTAGCTGGGATTACAGGCGCATGCCACCATGCCCGGCTATGTTTTGTATTTTTAGTAGAGACAGGGTTTCACCGTGTTGGTCAGGCTGATCTCGAACTCCTGACCTTGTGATCCACCCACCATGGCCTCCCAAAGTGCTGGGATTATAGGTGTGAGCCACTGTGCTCGGCATAACTCAGAGTTTTAAAAATAACACAGGAGCTGAAAATGTACCAGGTAAAGTTGCACTGCATGCCTTCGCCCTCTAAACTAGGTGACAGCCCAACCCTCTGTATAATCCTAGGACTGTCTAAAACAAAACCACATGGGAGGAGAACAGTGGCAGGGGCTCCTCTATATTTGACGGGCATGGGGGATTTACCTGATTGCCACTATCTT
Source organism: Homo sapiens (assembly GCF_000001405.40). Lineage (NCBI taxonomy): Eukaryota > Metazoa > Chordata > Mammalia > Primates > Hominidae > Homo > Homo sapiens. Next base: position 12,762,059 of record NC_000008.11, on the reverse strand, counting down.
CAGGAACTTTCCAAAGCAGTAAAGTCACTTAGTGTTGGTCACTAGAGCTAGTGATTTTTTTTTCAAGAAGCTGGATATTACCACTTTATTTCTACCTATCTCTCTTACAAATAATTAACATTTTGTTAGATCCTGTCCTAGGAAACCATGTTAGAGCTTCCAGACCACATCCTTAATTCCACGGGCTTCACTCTCCCTTCTAGTTGTGGCACAAGTGACCACAACCATTACAGTCAGGTGCTGAGCATCAAAACAAACACGTTTCTGTGTGTAGCACCACAGCCCTTTTCTCATTTGTTCATACAACCGTTTTTTAAATGGAGGATCAATTATGTGTCCCAAGCATCAAATATTCAGCAGTGAACAAAGAAGTTAAAATCCCTTGTGAAATTTATATTATTTGGAGAAGACAAATAATAAATAATATCAAATATACAAAATGTACAAAACCAAATATATAGTATAAATTAAATATACAGTATATTAGGGATAGAGGCTAAAGATGAAAAGACAGGAAAGGAGATAGGGAGACCAGGCAAGTCGCCATAGAGTGGGTGGCATTGCACAAAAGTCTAAAGGAAGGAAGGAGGCTTGGGGCTGTGTATCAGAAGAGCGTTTCAGGCAAGGAGAACAGAAAAGACAAAGGCCCAGGAGAGGCCAGCGTGCCTGGACACTAGTGAAGACTGGGGCTTTCAGCCAGAGGTGAGGTTGCAGGGTGAGGGCACATTTAACTGCCGACTTCCAGGTCAAACCTAAAGAATACCCAAACTTGTCTTAATTTTAAAACGAGAGATGTGGGCTGGGCACAGTGGCTCACACCTGTCATCCTAGCACATGGGAGGCCAAGGCAGGCAGATCACTTGAAGTCAAGAGTTCGAGACCAGCCTGGCCAACATGGCAAAACCCCGTCTCTACTAAAAATACAAAAATTAGCCAGGTGTGGTGGCAGGCACCTATAATTCCAGCTACTTGGGAGGCTGAGGCAAGAGAGTTGCATGGACCCAGGAAGCAGAGGTTGCAGTGAGCTGAGATTGTGCCACTGCACTCCAGCTGACAGAGCAAGACTCTGTCTCAAAAAATAATAATAATAAAAATAAATAAATAAAACAAGAGATACTGCTGTCTTGGGCCAGGGTGGTGGTGGGGGAGAAGGGGTAAGAGTGGTCAAGAGGACTGTCTGACACACCGAATGGGAAGTATCAGAGAAAGACAGGACGTCTTAGTCAGCTTGGGCTGCTGTGACAAAGTATTAGGTTGATGCAGTTGTGATTAAAAGTAATGGCAAAAACTGCAATTACTTCTGCACCAACCTAATACCATGGACTGGGTGGCTTACAAACAACAAATGTATTCCTCAAAGTTCTGAAGGGTAGAAATCTGAGATCAGGGTGCCAGCATGGTAAGATTCTGGCGAGGGCTCTCTTCTGGGTTGCAGACTGCTTACTTCTTGTTGTATCCTCACTTGATGGAAAGAGACTGAGCTAGCTGTCTGGCCTCTTCTTATAAGGGCACTAATCACATTCACGAGGGCTCCACCTTAATGACCTGATTACTTCCAACCAGGCTCCACCTTCTAATATCATCACTCGGGGGATCAGGTTTCAACATATGAATTTTTGTGAGGACAAAAACCTTCAATCCATAACAGAGGAGAAATAAAGAAAATAAATTGCCCCAAGGTATTAATGGTAAGTGGATTTTTGTTGTTGTTTTTGAGACAGACTCTCTGTCACCCAGGCTGGAGTGCAATGGCACAGTTTTGGCTCACTGCAATCTCTGCCTCCCAGGTTCAAGTGACTCTCATGCTTCATCCTCTAGAGTAGCTGAGACTACAGGAGTGTGCCATCACACCCAGCTAATTTTTGTGTATTTTTAGTAGAGATGGGGTTTCACCATGTTGGCCAGGCTGGTCTCCAACTCCTGACCTCAGGTGATCCACCCACCTTGGCCTCTTAAAGTGCTGGGATTACAGACACAAGCCACCGTGCCCCACCAGATTTTTATCACTAACAAGAATGAAAAATAGTACATGATATCTTTGTGGGTGGACTCATTTAAGAATGATTTTCTAGTGTCTTCTTGGTGCCTAGGTGCTAGAGACATGACAGTGAACAAGATGTACAGAAATCCCAAATCTCAAGGAGCTTACATTCTGGAGGGTGGAGACAAGTAATATGTATGTAATACGTCAGATGATAAGTACTAAAGGTGGGGGGGTGTGCGGTGGGGGGGCAGCAAGGAAGGAGGATGGAAAGTACCAGGGGGATTCATATGTATTAAATTCTTAGAATTTGTTAAATAATATATGGGGTTTATTCCTATGTCTACTTTTTAAACAGCTTGATACAGGAAAATGTATTCATTTAATCAATTTGACTACCAGCAAAATAGGCCATGGGTCACACACTTAGTATTTCTAGATTCTTCAGAGTATTAGAAATGAAGAATGAAGCATAGCACCCTTTGTAAGGGTAGTGGCCCTTGCGCACTTTGTGCACCCTGTAGGGATAACAAAGAATGAGCAGTAAATGGTACTTGGTTAGATGGTAGTCCTTGCAGGCAATTGGCTTTAGACTTACACTTCGTATCAGCTCTATTTAACCTACTCAGGTTGTCCTCATTAGGGCTTTTCATTTGGAACGCTATTATAGCAATCATATATGGTATTTTTAGCATCTTATATAAACTTTCGCACAAATGCCCAAGTTATATAATCAGCTCTCCCTCGGCCCCCCCACCCCCGGCTTTCTTTCAGCTTCCCACAGTTTTACAGTAGGGGCAAGGAGGTGTGAGTGCAATAGGGGATCCCTGTACAGTGACTGCAGGTGTTCAGGTCTCAGAAACTGGTTCCCCCTCTCTAAACAGGGATGAGTATGTACCAACAAAATGTGTTCTTGATACCCTTCTCTTCTATTCTCAGCCCTCATCTGCTGTTACATTTTCAGCAGGTATCACATTGCTGTGTTCCTCAGTCTGGGAGATGCTCTGCCTCCTCTTACTGTGTTCAAACCAAGCCCTGGGGCTTGGCTCCAGAGGCAGAAGGCACCTTAGAGGTAGTTGCAGTTCCCTCTTTCTACAGATAGCAAATGAGGCCTAGGGAACCCAGGTGACTTCTTCCCTGGCATAGAGGCATAAATAGAGTCAGCACCAGGTGTCTGGATTCCCTCGCTGGTATGACTTCTATGAAACTAGCAGCTTCTCAGATCCCAATTTTCTTATATATATATATATATATATATATATATATATATATAGAGAGAGAGAGAGAGAGAGAGAGAGAGAGAGAGAGAGGGGTATGAAAAGGTGGTCTCTAGAGACCCCTCCATCTGTGTATTCTGTACAAAAATGCTATTGGGGACCAGGCGTGGTGGTTTATGCCTCTAATCCCAGCCCATTAGGAGGTTGAGGCAGGGGAATTGCTTGAGGCCCGGAGTTTGAGACCAGCCTGGGCAACATAATGGGGCCCGCCTCTACAACAAGTTAAAAAAAAAAAAAATTGCTGAGCAGAGAGGCATGCGTCTGTAGTCCCAGCTACTCGGAGAGGCTGAGGTGGGAGATTGCTTGAGCCCAGGAGGTCAAGGCTGCAGTGAGCTATATACTCACTATGCACTGCAGCCTGGGTGACAAAGTTAGATTGTGTCAAAAAAAAAAAATCTATTGGCTAGGTACTGTTTATATAAAACGTTATAGTTTACTCTCTTTGAATAGAACATTATCAACTGAAATGAATCAGGAATGGGACATATTTTGCTTGGACTGACAAATTCAGTTTCTTTTTTAATAAGAATGTAAAGAAACAAATGGTAAATTCACCCACAGCAAAAAAAAAAAAAAAAAAAAAAAAAAAAGAGGTTCAAATACACATCTTCAGCTGAGTTGTATATAAGAAAAGCACTGTGTTATGTTACTCTTAAATAGGAGTTTACCAAACTATATCAGGAAAAGTCTTATGGTGTGGCAGTGGGAGGCAGGGATAAGCAGGCAATGATGGTGATAAGCATTTTCCAAATTAGGAAACAGATACGCTTTTCTTCTGACTCTCTTACATAACTGATCTATTTTAGAAGACAACACTCAAAAACCGAAACAGAATACAAATCTCATGATTTTACTACTTTGTTAGCAAAGAATGACACGAGCAAGTAATGCGGAAGGAAAAGGAGAGCTCTTCACTCCATTATACTTCTCCTAGCCAGGGGCAGCTTAGCAGGATTCCCTCTTCTCCATCACAGCCTGCTGGGTGACTCAGAGACCTGTCTAAATTTTAGGAAATGAACGAAGAAGGACACTAATTTTTCTCGCCTTTGAATTTAAACAAGCAGTCACATTATTGTGCAACTTTTGGATGGCAGAGAATGATGGAAGGGTGACCTGTGACAGTGCCAGTGACTGCTTTGCCTAGACTTCCTGATTCAAAGGGAAGTTATGCAGCACACAAAGGCCACAGCGGCAGTACAGCCTCTTACATAAATAAGTTACATAAATGAGAACAAGTTATGTAAATGCATAAACCAGCAAACATGAATTATAACCATTCACAAATGCCAAGGAGAACACGGTAAGATTCCTCCTACGGTCCCATTTTTTTCTCCCGCACATTATCATAATTGTGCCATTTTATTTCACATCAGAATCAGATGTGGTTGTCATATTTATTAGGAAAAGGAACTCCAAAGGACAAATAATACTTCACATTATTTTCTGAACCACATATTGTACTTTTGGCAGAAATCCCATAATAGAACCTGACTTTATATTTGAAAAGAAGTTTATGAGTGTTTATTAATTTACTATGCTCCTTGTAATAAACATGAACACATTGATTACATATTTACTGTTGTAAATTTTGCAACATGCCATTAAGAACAAGGATGCGTTACAAAAATGAATGTGCGTGTACACATGGATATTTGTTTGTGATTTCAAGTCTCAAGGGAGTATGTGGACATCAGCTGAAAGTCACTGTTCTGCTTGTTAAGGTAGTAATTTAGGGGTTAGGATTGGATTTAAGGTTATGCTCATGACTTAATCCCAATGCTTCCCATGCCAAATGCTTAGGAGGTGCTCCTTGGATCTAGCTGCAATTTGCTTCAGGTGCAATGTGAGTGATAAATGAACTTGTTTCTGTCTGCATCCTGTTGGAACAGGAGGCTTGGCTTTTTCTCAGGCACCTCTTTTTTATTCATTCCCTTTAGGGTAATATAACTCTGTCTTTTCTGACGTTACACGACTTGTTGATTGTGTAGTGAAAACACATGAACTCAAAACATTTTTTAGCCTTAATTGCCTGTTCCTTATAAAGAGAAATATTAAACGTTTACCAATTTCATACATAGCATGCTCAGGTGAACTTTCCAATTAGCAACTTCTTTTACTTTGAAAATCTCATATATTTCTATGAAATATTACATATTTTATTAAATATTACATATTAGTCTAACGTAGTAGTAGTGGAATAGACGTGATCTTAAAATCTGTATTAGCTGTGTGATTTTTGACAAATAACTTTCCCTGTGTTTCCAATCATTTGAAAAAGGACTAAAAGTCCTAAGTGACTTCCAACATTAGCGATCTAATACCCTATCATCAAATCTGTATTTTCAGCTGAGAGCTTTAAACTTGCTGCTGTGAAGTTTAAGGGAAATAGCACCCATTATATATCAACCCGATCATTTTCTTCTGTCAGCAAAACTGCAGAGCCAGCTTGGGTTGTAGTAATACGGTGACCGCCATGTGAAACATGTTTCTTGGTGTTTTCTTTTAAAACTGCCAAATATAGACCTTAACCAGCTGTAAGGCAGTGCTTGAGGTGTGGAGACACCTGAGGAAGCTGTGGGCTTTCTCCCTCGAGGTGGGCCCACGATGAGTTTTAAGCAAGACGGGCAAGCAGTCACCTGGCACCAGGAAAAACTCCTTGCCCTCTGGAGGGAGTCGCCCCAGGAACGTGGGTTTTTTGTTCATATTTAAAGTTGAGTCCTCTAGAACCGAAGAGTCCCAGTCATCTGCCGAAGGTGCGCTCCCAGGCCCCCTGCTTGGGCGCGCCCACCTGGAACATGGGCGTAGAGCTATGAAAATGCAGACCCGCACAAGCGCGAGGCCACGCGGGGAGACCCCCGCCCGCCAGGAGTTGGGGCAGGTCCGGCCTGGGCGGGGGCGTCGGGGGAGGGGTGGTGACCCGGAGTCCCGCGCGGCAGGGGAGCGTCCCCCAACCCCCGGCAGGGGCGAGGGCCACCGCAGGTGGCGGCGTTGGCAGACAGGCAAGCGGGGACTGAAGCTCCGGGGTCCTTCCGGCTTTGTTCCGTCACGAGCCGAGCCCTCCTTTCCGGAGAAGCCAATTAGATCTCCGACGGAGGAATCATCCGACCTGCGTCCCCCACCCGGAGGGGGCTCGGAAGGGGCGGGGCCCAGCGCTTGGCTCCTCGGGAGCGCGGCCGCGGGCGGCGTGGGGGAGTCCCGGGCGCCGTCGCCGAGCCCGGCCCCGCCCTCGCCAGGCCCCGCCCTCGGGGCTTCCCGGGCGCGCGCAGCCCCGCCGTGTCCGCGCGCCACGCCCCCCTGCTCGCGGGCCGCGTGCGGAGCCGCGCGCCCGGGAGGCTCCGGGACCGTGGCGGCGGGCGGCGGCGGCGCAGCCCTCCGCGGGCCATGTCCTCTCCGGCGGTGGCGAGGACCTCCCCAGGAGGGAGTCGGGAGATGGCCCCAGCGCCGCAGGGCCGAGGCCGGTTCTGGGAAGTGGGCGGCGGCAGCGGCCATCGGCTGGAGCGCGCGGCCGCGGAGTCGGAGCGCTGGGAGCTGCTGCTCCGCCGCGGGGAGCTGCTGGCGCTGGGCGGCCACCTGAAGGGCGCGCTGGAGGCGTTCGCGGCGGCGCTGCGCCGCGGGGCCCCGGCCAGGCCCGAGTGCCTGGGCGCCCTGGTGGACTGCCTGGTGTTCAACTACCGGCTCCGCCACGGGCTGGGCTGGAGCGCGGCCCCGGTTGCAGGCGCTGACGGCGGCGCCGGCGGGCTCCTCAGATGCCTGGGCTGCCGGGGCTTCCTGAGCGAGCCGGTGACCGTGCCCTGTGGCCACAGCTACTGCCGCCGCTGCCTGCGGAGGGAACTCCGCGCCCGCTGCCGCCTCTGCCGGGACCGGCTGCCGCCCGCCACCGCCAGTGCCACTGATGCTGAAGGGACCGCCCCGCGGCCGCCGCCTCTGGCCGCCGCCATCGCCGCTTCAGACTTCAGAACCAGCGTCGTCCTCAACCACCTGGCCGAGAAGTGGTTTCCGGGCCAGCGCGAGCGGGCCCGGGCGGCCGGCAGGCTCGGGGAGCTACTGCACCAGGGGCGCTACCGGGAGGCCCTGGCCGCCGCCTGCGAGGCGCTGCGAGCAGGTGACCGCGCGGGGATGCGGCGGGGCCGGGCCGACCGCACCCTCCTGGCCCCGAGGGCCGGGGACCCGGAGCTTGTCTGCGCCCCGAGAGTCTCCTCTGCTTCCCCGGGGCCGCTGGGCCGCTGGCGTGTCGGGTCTCGGGGTGCTGGGGGGTGTGGGAGGGGGCGGCGCCCCGGGGTGCTTCGGTCATAATGGGGATCGCCCTGGGAGCCGACTGTGACGCGGCGCGGGGAGGGGCGCTCGGCGCGGGGTTCCCTCGGCCGCGGCCTGGCTGTCGGGCGCGCGCTCCCGGCGCGGAGTGGGTGACCTGGACCGAGGCCGCCCCGGCGCGGGATGGGTGGTAGCTGGGCTATCCCGAGCGGCCGCTCGCTTCCTGCCGCGCGCTTTCCGGGAATTGGCTCTCGGGCCGGGCCCGCCGCGGGGAAACGACTGCCGGGGCGGGGAGAGAATCCCCCGCGAGGGCAACTAGGCCGGGCAGGCGGCGTCTCCCTTCCTCACCCACAAAAGTCACCGGGACAATTGGGAACCGCGGGAGGGCAGAATTGCATAAGCTGGGGGCGGGGGGCGTTGTGTAACGGGTGACGTCCGGTGGGCGTGGCGGGAGCTCCGCGCGGGCGCCCGGCCCCGGGAGGCCCTGCAGGCCGCCGGGCTTGGGGCTTGGGGCGGAGCTGCCCAGGGTGGTCCCTTGCTACCTGGAAATGCCTGAACTGGTTCCTCTTGAAAGTTTCAGCTGGCCTGTTTCAGATCCTGCTTATTTCCTATGTACTTTGCAGTGCACCTAGCTTATGGTAAAGATGAGAGGGGCTGCCTGATCCATAGTTCTCTGCCACGCTTCTCCTGGCCTTTCCACTTAGGATCAGGCTGTGGGGAAAGGCCTTATAGGTCTTGAGTGCATTTCTTAGTCTCCAAGAAGCAGCCTCGGCCTCCTAACCTAGGTTAGCACTTTCTTCTTAAGGTGGTTTTAGGCGCTGAAAGGGGGCAGTTTCAAGCTTCTCTTACGTAAAAGGAAGAGTTGTTCTATATAAATCAGTAGTTCTCTACCAGGGGGATTTTATCTCCCCTCTCTCAGGGGGCATTATTTAGAACAATATCTGGAGAGATTTTTGGTTGCCACCTCTTGTGGGGGTGGTGCTGGTACCGACATCTAGTGGGAGAGGCTGGGGTGCTGCTCAGACATCCTACTAGGCACAGCAGGATTCCCACAACAAAGAATTATCAGGCCCCAAGTGCCACTGTTGATAAACCTTGTGTTACGCGTATTTCAAGATCTTAGTGTCTATCCATTGGCATGAAATGATAGGGGAATAATCCCCAAGAAAACAGACATCTAGAATAGCAACTGACTTTAGGTATTACAGGTAAATTTATAGACTGTGTAACTGAAAGGATCATCTTTCGGGTCATCTTTTGTCCCAAGTGCTTAGTCATATTGAACTAATGTCAAGATCTTGTGTTGTTTAGTATCTTTAGAGTTCGAAGCACAAACCCCGGAGATTTTTGTATTCTTTCAGTGCCTTCGTGAGGAGTAGGCAGGTATAAAATAGAAAGGTAGGCTCAGAACAAAAAAAAAGTATTTGGAATACAGAATTCTGATACACATGACTCTGCTTCTCTGGGTGAATAAAGAGAAGAGAAACTGGACTCAGTTGTACAGACCACCTAGTAACTGACCATGGTGTGATTTTTAAAGCGAGGAAGCAGATGCCAGGCAGTGAAGACTTGCACACCGTCACACTGTTAACTGGTAGAGAGGCAGTGCTGTATCTTCCGCTTCTCCTAAACGTTGGTCTAGGGTTCATCCTGCCTTATAGCACATGTTTAGTATACATATCCAAGGAAGTTTTTTTGGTCACTGAGGCTGAACCTTATGGACAGTACTGCTGATTTAGTGATCTGACCTTGAATTAGGGGTTTCACAAGAATCCAGGTCCTGGTCCATGGAAGAACAGTGAGCACTTTTGATAATTGAGGTCTAGCTTAACATTCTGTGACCAATAATATTTTAGTTAACAGAGATTCTGGTTCTTGGATCGAGGATATTATGTTTAACAGGAAAAGGCTCTGAAAGATGTAATCTCTCTTTTTTTCAAGTTGCATAGATTGCACATGAGGATTTTGCCCACTTAGCAACTTCATTCTACTTTTGCAGGAATAGAACCCAAGTCTTCTGACTTTCACTGCATTAGCTTATTTTTTCCTCATTTTTAGTTCTTTCAAGAATCATTAATTCCATGCTTGAAAATGTCTGAATGGCACTAATGAGGATAAGTTTTTTAATCTTTTGAATTCTTAATGTGAACTAACAGGAAAAAAATCTCAGAGCTAACAAATTAGAGTTGGTAAAGGGCCGATTTATAAGTGTCTCACAATTTATGGGTGTAAATCAAAATGTTAACTAGTACAGTCATAAGCTGTTTGTACAATCCTTAGGCTTTAACTTCTTTGGAATTGGCAAGCTAGGCATTTGACATGTATTTATATAACTGTACGGTTGTAGTTATTAATGATCTTGTCATTATTGTTGATAATGAAAAAAGATCTTCACTATAATTTCTTCGTATAATTCTTATAATGAAACAAGTAAATACTATTAACTAGAAAAAATCTAGTCTGCAGTTAGCCCACACACATCCAAACTTATCTCTGCCAGCAGCAAAAGAAAGCTTGAAAACCTTTGCCAAAATCAGAAGTTTCCCATTTAGATTACATAAGTTTCTGTTGAATTGAAATATATTTAGATAACATTTAAACCATTGATCTTTTGGTATTAACTCTCAGATGTTTCATAACTTTCTGTCTTTTTAGTATTCAGGGATATTATGTAAAGTTTTTCCTGCACTGAATCTCTGTGCTTGAGCCTACTGAAATGATCCCCCTAAGCCATGCTGCCTGCCTTTTGTGTTTAATGTTTTTTTACACTGACTTATCTCCTTCGTGTGTTCACCTCTCCCCCAGAGGAAGACAACAGAACAGTATAATTTACAGTTTGTACAGGTTAAAAAAAAAAAAAAAGGTTGTAAGGTGGGGGGGTGATATTTTGTTTTAAAATATTTGGGTAAGGAAAATTTTGTCTTTAATATTAATTCTGTAATGCTTGACCAGGCATGGTGGCTCAAACCTGTAATCCCAGCACTTTGGGAGACCGAGGCGGGCGGATCGCATGAGGCCAGGAGTTCGAGACCAGCCTGGCCAACATGGTGAAACCCCGTATCTACTAGAGATACAAAAAATTACCCAGGCGTGGTGGTGCATGCCTGTAGTTCCCGCTACTCCAGAGGCTGAGGCAGAATTGCTTGAACCCGGAAAGTGGAGGTTGCAGTTAGCTGAGACCACACCACTGCACTCCATCCAGCCTGGGCAACAGAGCAAGACTCAGTCTCAAAAAAAAAAAAAAAAAAAAAAAACATAAAAATAAAAATATAATCCTTGACTGTTACCCAGTATTTTTACATTATTTATATTAATATCATTTGATCTTCACAGAGAATTCTATGGAGTACTGTAATATTATCCTCAGAGGGAAACTGAGGCATCTATGGATAGACATGCAGTGTGGCTTAGTGATTAAAGCTCTGCATGCTGGAAGCTGACACCTGGGTTCCAATCCTGACGCAGCCCTCGCCTCTCTCCGACCTTGTGCACGTTGCCTAACCTATCTGTGTTTTGGTTTCCTTATCTGAAAAATGAGAATAGTCTCTACCTCATAGGGTGTTGTGAGAATCAAATGAGTCAAAACATGCTAAGTGCTTTAAATAGTGCCTGACACAGAGTAAATGCCCAGTAAATATTAATTCAATATTTTTAAAATGTAGAAGTGTGTTACGGCTAGAAGGGGATTTTGCTGAAAGTGGAATCTAAACCTTGCAATTTTACATCCTGTTCTGTTCTATCACTTGGTAGAGAGTAACAATTACATCCCGATTTTAGTTTACACATGTTAACTAGCAGTTTAGCATTCATCAATAAACTATAGATACTTAAAAGCTTTAGCTATCAGAAGATCAGTCAAATTATAGGTAAATACTGAATACATTTAAAGAAAATGTAGAGGGTTTTTATTATCTTTAGTAACTCAACTAGGTTAAAATGAAGAAATTTGAATTTAAACAATACAGTAGTTTCCCCTTATTTGTGGTTTCAGTTACCCACATGGTACAGTATGATAAAATATTTTGAGAGACCACTTTCATGTACGTTTTATCACAGCATATTGTTATATTGTTCTATTTTATCATCAGTTATTGTTGCTAATGTCTTACTACACCTAATTTATAAATTAAAGTTTATCACAGGTATGATAGTATATATAGGGCTTGGTACTATCTGAAGTTGCAGGCATCCGTGGGAGTCTTGGAACGTATCCCCCTTGGGTAAAGGGAGGCTCTTGCTAACTTATTTATGTCCTTACTTATTGTGCAGAGGACTTGAAACAGTAAACACTGATGTCTGTATGGTGATTATAGTTCACAATTATTTTCATTTCTATTATCGTAATTGATCCATACACAAACTCATGTGAGATAGGAGGGCAAGTATTAATATCCCTAATTCACAGATGTAAGAAAAGTTGCAAGAATTTTGGGTGACTTTCTTAAGGGAAGTAAGTGACCAAGTTAAAACTGAAAGCAGAACCCAAATATGTGCATATTGATTCAAAACACAAAGTTGATTTAAAAATTAGCACGCAAAACATAAATCTAAAATATTCTTACTATTCAGCAAATTTTTATTGAGTAGCTACTATATACCAGGCATTGTTTTAGGTGCTAGAAATATAAAAAAGGAGTAAAATAAAGTCCCTGTCCTTGTAGAGTTTGTATTTTTTGTTTCTTTTGTAATTGCAGCAAATTGAAAATCCCTAGAAAATGGGGTTTACTGCTTAATTGGCTTCTACTTAACCGAGACTATATCTCTAATTATTTTCTTTGATTCATAAGGTACTTTAAGGATTTTTTTTCTTAGTGCCTCAGGGTTACTAAAAAGATCAACTGTAATGGCTTTTGATATAAATGATAAAAAAACTGATTCAAGTGTCCCATTTCAAATGAATAATTTGTTTTTTAACTGTTTTTCATTCATCAAATGCAGAATTTACCAAAACTGAATTATCTTAGATTTCTAGTTATTTATATATTAACTTTTTGTTTATTCAGAATCATTTTTCTGTTTGTTGGAATATTTCTAAGAGCCTTGGAAAATCTCGAGTAAAATTTTAAATGAATTTGTATAGTGTTCTGCCTCTTTCCAAAGGTATTTCTCAAAATTGGAATTGTTTTATTATTGAAGTTGAATGACTTCAGGGAACTCTAAAATGCAAGATGGAAGCTTCTGTTTGGTTTTTTCTTTCCCTTTGGTAAGGTCTTTTGCTTCCCATCCCCTTGACCCACCTTTGTGCTGTCTGTTGTCCAGTCTGCTCTCCTGATCCCTAAAGATGTTTCTTATCTAGGCTACCATTTATGTGGGTAAAAGACAAGGTAGAAAATACTCTTCTGTATCTTGTATCAAGGGTTAATCTAATATCTTCATCACTTTGTTTTGAGATATTTTGGAATGTTATCAACAATTATTATAGATGGAGCATGTATGTCTTAGGTTTGGTGTTAACTGTTTAACATGCATTATCTTATTCAATCCTCACAGCAGTTATAAAATGTAGGTGTTTTAGAGGTAAGCATATTATAGGTCAGGAGAGTTCAAAGAGTTAAACTACCAAAAGGGGATCTGAACCCAATTTCTGAATCTAGTGTTAATGATCTTACTATCCCAAACTCCTACTCCTGAACATTCTTAATCAATGATCAACAGCTTATCACTTGGCAGCTTTGAGCTCAACCCTGGTAACCAAGTCATACTATACTGAACATAATGAAGCAATAGAAGCAAAAAAAAAAAATTGATATTCTGGTTAGCCTTTGAAAATTTCGATAGCTTGATATATAAATCTCAGAAAAAGACACTCAGAAAAATGAGAAAAGGAATATGAATAGAGAACTTTATACACAGCCCAAATACTGAATAAACACAAAGTTTTAAAGGTCAAACTTAATGAAGAAATGGAGGTTGTTAAAATTACGATGCTATTTTTAATTTATGTATTTCTAGCAAAGAGAAGAAACACAGCTTGTGGGAGTATAAAATAAAGTCTTTATAAAAGAAGGGTTGGCAGAATGTGTTGGAAATGTTGTATATCTTTATAACTTTCTAGGCCCAGCATGGTGGCTCATGCATATAATGCCAAAACTTTGGGAGGCCAAGGAGGGAGGACCACTTGAGCCCAAGAGTTTGAGACCAGCCTGGGCAACATAGTGGTACCGTATCTGTACAAAAAAATTTAAAAATTAGCCAGGTGTGGAGGCATGCACCTGGAGTCCCAGCTACTGAGGCTGGAGTATCTATTGAGCATAGGAGGTCGAGGCTGCGGTGAGCCATGTTAATGCCACTGCACTCCAGCCTGGGCTACAGAGTGAGATCTTAGATCTTTTCTCAAATAAATAAAGTACAAGCAATAAATAACTTTCTACATACTGTATAGCAAATAACTAAAAAGGCAAGCAGGTACATAAAGATAGACGTTTGTTATACTTTTTATACTGCCAAAAGTTGGAAGTAACTTAATTGCAGAGTAGGAAATTTTTAAATAGGTTGTATATATAGTAGGATATTTTGCAACTATTAAAAATCATGTGGACTAGTATTACATGGGAAAAAAAGCAGATTATAAACAGCATATATAGTATATTTTATAAAACTACATGTTAAAAATGTACTTTACACATAAAGAACAAAAATGTATGGGAGGCCGTTTGTTTTAGACTGACCTGCACTAGGCACCAGCAGACCAGACAGAATTAGAATGGAGGCCCTTGTGCTGAGTGCCACATAATCAAACTGAACTTTGAATTTGAACTGAAATGAGCCAGTTTTCTAAAAAAAAAAAAAAAAAAGAGAGAGATTTCAGTCAACCTGAGTTAGTGAAATAAGACAGCCCTCTCTGTTTTAACCTGTAAAGAAAGTTTTCAACTTTAAAACAACCAATCTACTTTTTGTCCCTTATTTCTGCTTTCTTTAAACCTTTTCTGCCTAGAAGGCTAACCTCCTCTGCTTAGCTCATTAGAAGACCCATTTTATAGAATGAGCTGTTGCCCATTCCTAGAATCACAAATAAAAGTCAATTCGAACCTTAAATTTGTGCTAATTTTTTCTTTTGTTAACACCAACACTGGCTATTTCTTTGTGATGGGTAAAAGATAGTTTTTACCTCTTATTTCTATATTTTTCAAATTGTATGAGTAAACATTTTTTAAGCTTTTGTGATTTGAAAAAAACTTTCTTGAAGGTGAACTAAAGAAACAACTTTAAGACCTGTTACTAACCATGGATCTCTAATGATTGGAACAAAGATAGAAAACCATGACTCTAGAATAGAAAACTCTCTCTTCAACCCATGAAATAAATGCTTTGGACAGCCGAAGACTAGATTCCTCAGATGGTGGAGCAGAGTCTTATTTAAATCTTTTTCCTTGCTGAATGACTTACAAATAATACTGGGTATAAAAGGAGAAAATGGGAACATGAATTGAGCTTAAGGAATCAAATTTTAATGAATTTTTTCTAATTCAGGAAACATTTATCAAAGCCAGGATCTGAGGATAAAAGGCAGGAAATAACGGAGGGAGTTCAAACATCTTTGAATTAAATTACTTTAATAAATAATGTATATATACGATGAAGGCACAGAATCATAATAGCAAACACGCCATGCTTTCAATGTACCAAGCCCTGTTCTAAGTACTATGCACCGATTAACTTACTCTCTAGAGTAAGCCTTGGGGTAGAGACTGTTACCAACATATTAATAGCATGGAGGTAAACAGCTAGAACTCTGGAGCTGGCTTCCTGAGTTAGAATCTCGAATCCACCAATTACTAGCTGTATGATCATGGGCAAGCTGCATATACTCTTCACTGTTTTCTATAAAAATGTGGACAATCCTAGATCCATGTAGAATTGTGCTGAAGATTGTAAATCATTTAGAACAGCACATAGTGGTGTTAATAATGTTTTAAAAGCCCCGGAATATTAAAGCTAAGGAAATTAAAGTACAGAGATTACTTGTAATTTACCCCAAGTCACAGTGAGTGGGTGGAAGAGCCAGATCATGCTCTTAGTGGTTATCATAAATTGTGGAGGAAGACCCAAAGCAAAGCATCTTGGGAGGAGACTGGTGAGCTGTCTTGCTGGATGATAAAAACTTATCAAGATAAAGAATGGTATGGTAAGGGAGGAGCTCAGCACAGGAATGAGGCATGAAATAGAATGGTGTACATGGGGCAGTGTGGGTAGTTAGGTATGGTTGGGACTTTGAGTGAGTGGGAAGGTTCATAATGATAATTAAGGCTGGAGAGATGGGCAGGAGCCAGGCATGGAGGAACTTGTACTAAATAATACCTGTTTTACCTTGTGAATGGTAAGGATATAGGTAGAGTAGAACTGAAGGCAGGGAGATCAGTGAGCAAGCTATTGCAATAGTATTAGAGATTTGGGGAGCCTAACCCAGGATTACTAGAGATAGGATTGGAAAAGGGGAGATTTGAGGAATATCATAGGAGGTGACATTTACAAAGTTGATTCTGATTTGGGAAGTTAGTGGTGTCAATAATAGAGAATACAATGAAAAATGCTTTTTTGGTGAAGAATGCTGAGTTTAGAAAAATTATGGCAGGCAGTTGGAAATTTGATGAATCTGAAGTTAGGGTGAAAAATCAGGACTAAAGATAAAGATCAGGGAGTTAAATCATGACAACTAGCACATCTGTCCCTGCTTCTGGTAGATATGGGTACAAGACCAGAGATATTAAGTGATTTAGAATAAGGTCACAGAGTTAAGTACCACAGTCATATTCAATACAATTAACCCAAACCATGTTGTCTTTGGATTTTGTCAATGTTGTCAAAATTTTGACAACTTTTGAAATTTTGTCGATTTCAAAAATGGAAAATACATAATATGCCAGGCACTTGCTGGGCAATACAGATACCTGCAGTAATGGAGTGAGCACCAGCATCTTCCCTGATGGCGTGTGCAGTGAGGTGACTCGTCTGTAGTGTCCTCAAGGTCACGTAGAGAGCATACAGTAAATACTTGTTGACTCTTTCAAACTTAAGTTAATGATACAGTCAGGACTGATAGCCATTTTGTTGTCTTTCTTGAAAGTTTACGTGGAAGGCAGACCTTGTGTATGCTTTTCAAAGGGGCTCATTTAGCGCACTTGGCGCTTAAGAATTTGAGATCAGTGTGATGGTCCTAATCTTTTTTTAAAAGTATTGGAAGTTTGAACTCACCTGATGGGGTTGGTTTTTTTTTTTTTTTTTTTTTTTTCCAAAAAAATAATCATTCAAAATAATCGGTTAACATTTTCAATAAGAGCATTACATACAAGGAGTTAGGGAACAAAGAGTTTTAAAATCTGGCTCTTTTTATCTCTACTTAGGGCGTGCATCTTCTCTTCTTACCCCAACATATACTGACTTTTTAGGACCTCCTTTAGGGAGATCTCAATATCCCGAATTTTTCTGTGTGGAGAGGGGAAGGAATATGTCTTTTTTTGCTTTGGTCAGAGTGGATACATTTTATAGTTTGTTTTTTCAAAGACGGGTCTTCTGAGTCACTTCTTTCACTGCTGCCGTAAAGAAACTGTATAAAGGTGATTGAGCAGTGAAGGCATGGATAAAAGGGGAAATATTCAGCAGTTCTGAACGTGCATGTCATCAAATATAAAGGAGTGAGAACTTGATGTATAAGAAAAAATGGAAGTTAAAAAAAATAAAAATCCAAGAATGGGCTGCTTGTTGCAGTAGTGAACTCCTCGCTGGAGGTACTAGAGCGGAGTCTGTCTCAAGGATGCTATTGGAAGCACCCCAGCTGTGGGTGGAAAACTGCACTTTCTGAGCCTAGTCTTTTATAGCCTGGAGTTTTTGATGCTGATGCTTTTACTACTTGTTCTTAGACTATTTTGCCATACGCTGCTCTGTTTTCTCACCTCCAGTTGTACTTGACAAGTCAGTATTGCATGATGCTGTTTGACAGTAAAATTTTCTAGCTAGATTATAAGCTCCTCAAAAACAGGAATAATGTAAAACATTTTTGAATACCTACAGGGTCTAGGTTTGTGCTAGGAACTCTTAATTCTTGATTGATTAATCATATTGAACTTTTAATTCTTATGCATTTTGTTCAGAGATAATTTTTCATTGCTTTAAGAAGCACAAGACACAATATTCTAGACATGTCTTTTTTTAACAAGTAAAACATTTTTATAAAATATTAATTTTATTCTTTAAATGTTTTCGTTGATATAAAATTCTGAGAACATTGTAATCCCAGTTCTCAGGCACCAGCAACTGAAAGAGGCCTTCCTAAATTAATTGCTCAAGTGAGAGTTTTGAATAGAAAAGCAATCATCTAAAAACTAGAGTAAACCCGGCAGCTATTGATAAATTTTATTAAATTTTATTTAGAGGCATTAAGGTCTTTATGCCCATCTTACAATGAATACTTTATGCTTTTAAAGATCTCAAAGATAGCTTTAAAATAAGAGTCAAGTTAATGTCATTTGTTGCTATATTATAAATTAATGTCTTGCTTGGACATCAGTTTTAGAATCTGTGTACCTGTAGTAATTGATTGCAGTAATATCAGTGAACCAGCTAAGTGTCTGAAATTCTGAATGCCATAGGATAATAATTTGGCTTCTTAAGTACAGATGTGGATGATAGTGAAATGAATCACAAAGCGTTTTTTCTCAGGAGTATTTTAAATTAAATATATTTTGAATTGGGCCAATACTGTTTTTGCTAATGGCAGGAATTAAAATTCGATCTCTTAAAAGCTGACTCTTATTAACCCATTTCCTCCAGAATCAAGACTACTGTGTATGCTCATAAGATTGAGCCTTTATCAGTCCCTTGTCACCGTGGGAATTCCATATGTAATAGTTACACGTATGGCTATTTTTATAAATGAAGATTTAGAAAGTAGGGTAAAAATATAAGATTTACTATAAAAAGGCAAATCTAAACATCTAAGAAATATGTCTTTAAAATCTTTATAGACTACCCTTTGTTAAAAAAAAAGTTTTCTTAGGAGTGATTATTCATATTATAAAAGTATTTACAGTATTCTGGAAAACAGTTTCCTCCACTAAAATGATCTACTTACAATGATTTGATACAACTTCTAGATAAGATTCAACACGTAAAATGGGTTGTGCCTATACTGCCTTTGGCTTATAGACTTTAGTTTGGTGATTATTAACCCTGGAATCACTAAGTCATTTCTTAATCTGGTATGATCATATTTTGTAGATTATGTAATAATCTTTTAAAAATAATCATATCCTTATAAAATATTTATTTCAGAACCCAGTGACTTGATTGTAAAAATTTACAGAGCGGAATCATATGCTGGTCTCCAAGAGTTTAAAGCAGCCATAGAAGATTTAAATGCAGTTCTTTTTCAACTTCCAGATTGGCCTGAGGTAAAATTACTGTTTTATGTTTGCATAAATTGTAAAATTTTAACTATAAGGGACATGCATTCATTCACAGTTAGGAATTTTAACAAAGTAGATGGTTGACTCCAAATAAAATATCTAGTGCTCTAGAAATATAGGTTCACCTAGGTGCAATGGCTCATTTCCATAATCCTAGCAATTTGGGACGCTGAGTTGGACGGATTGCTTGAGCCCAGGAGTTTGAGACCAGCTTGGGCAACATGTTGAAACCCCATCTCTACAAAAAACACAAAAATGAGCCTGGCATGGTTGTTTGTGCCTGTAGTCCCAACTACTCGAGAGGCTGAAGTGGGAAGGTCACTGGAGCCCTGGAGATTGAGGTTGTGCCACTGAAGTGCCACTGCATTCCAGCCTTGGTGTCAGACCCTGTCTCAAAAAAAATCTAGGTTCAATATTTTGAGTGGAGGAGTATCATCTCACAATTTTTTAAATTATAAGAGACTTTTCTTTCATAAATAAGGAACAAACAATTCATGGTACAGGAAAAAAAAAGACTTTATTATACAAAATGTCTGCAAAGAAATACAACTTGCCATATTGTGAAGATGGATACAAACTGGACTTCATTGAATGAGATTTATTAATGGAAAGAGAATAGGTTCTTAAAGTTGGAAACTTTTTGAGGTATTATATGGTAACTAGATGATTAGGCAGTGATTTAATTCAGAAGATAGGGACAAAGGAAGTTGCCTTGCCCATGTGGCTTTTAAAAAGACTTAGGAATGTGTATAACATACAGTCAGTTTACAGATTCTCCTTTTTATCAAATTGTCAAGGCAAATTAGTCCAAATGTGTTCTTTAAGATATAAGTTACTCTTTTAAGTGACCTTTTCCCTCCATTCAAAACTGTGTCTTTGAGGACAGTGTAGTAAGGCTGCTCTAAAAAGTATAAATTAATTAGAGAAATGATACGAAATCTCATGATGGCATGACTGGTTAGTACAAAGTAAATGTATTCAGAATAAGAGGGCAGTGGTCAGTGTGCATGGCTTTAAAACTATTGAAAAGGAATCTTTTGGATTTGCCACAGAAGTGATGTAATCAGAAAGGTTTTCTTCAGCCATTAAAGTGGTAGCTAAAAAACTGTTTGGCTAGAACGTTCTTTAGGCTCCTCTGATATTATTTAATACTAAGAATCTGTTTCATTCTAATCACATAAGCAAGGAACATTTAAAGCTTACCAGTTGATACTTTGTTGGTGGACCAACCCACAGGACTGAATTTTGGGTTTATCAGTGATAATTAGTAGGACTCTAATTTTTGTCATAGAGTTTGCTGAACTCACATTATGAAGGAGAAAAGTGAAAGACAAAATAAGGGATTTATGAAAAGTGTCATGTCTATAAGTACTTCCTTAAAAAATTTCATGGGCAATTATACATTCCTAATAACTTGGAAGAAATTTACCATACTGCCCTAAATCTAAGACAAAATTTTTTTCACATTTTAATATTTCTTTAATTTTGATGGATTCTTAGTCAGTATAATTTTACGTATAATTTCCTTTTCCCTCAAATTAAATCAATAATATTTAAATCAGTAATTTCCTTAAATTGTGGGGACATGGTATTTCTGATCCTGCCCAGCTCTGACTTGGTGTGGAACTTTGGTGAAAAAGTCATTGTCTGGGCCTCAGTTCCCCTGTTAGTGCTTCTCCAGGGTGGTGTGTAGGTATGCCTTTAAAATGCTTTGGCCTCAATTATTCAGAATTTCAAAATCTGCATTTCCTTTTTTTGTTTGTTTGAGACAGAGTCTTACTCCGTCACCCAGGCTGGAGTGCATTGGTGTGATCTCAGCTCACTGCAACCTCCACCTCCCATATTCAAGTGATTTTCATGCCTTAGCCTCCCAGTTAGCTGGGATTACAGGTGCATGCCCCCGTGCCTGGCTAATGTTTGCATTTGTAGTAGAGGCAGGGTTTCACCATGTTGACCAGACTGGTCTCGAACTCCTGAACTCAAGTGATCCACCTTTGTCAGCCTCCCAAAGTGCTGGGATTACAGGCGTGAGCTACTGCACCCGGCCCAGAATCGGCACTGCTGAGCAGACTATTGTTTTTCTTTACTTGATAATGATTTTTTAAAAAGCAATTCTTAACACAAAGGTTTTATATATCTGCTTTTATTAAAGGTCTACTTCAGGAAAGGAAAAGTACTCTGCGATGCTGGTTTTTTAGGTGATGCCTTACAACTCTTTCTTCAGTGCTTAGCCCTTGATGAAGATTTTGCACCTGCAAAGCTGCAAGTACAAAAGGTAATCAGTTTACCAACAATTACAGTTCATGGTAGGGCTAAGAGGCAGACAGGTTTAAAAAAAAAAGCTAATAAAAGTTGGAATAAGAACATAAGTAGTAAATAAATCTAACTTAGGAACAAATGTGATAATTTGAGTGGTTTTCAGGTTCATGTACGTATTATATTGAGTTCTTAGTGAAATCGAAACATTTCATTCACAGATATTTCAATGCATTTTTTTGGTTAGTATTCTAATAGTTTGTTCAATCTGAGCCAGACTGATGGTCCTTAATTAAGCATTACTATCACGATGTTCCTGCTCAGAAGCCTTACTGACCTGCCTTTTGCCTTTTACTTCAGGTCTAACCTTTGCTTACTCCGCAGGATTGCCAATAGTATTGCTCAGTCCACTTGTTTTGCCTTAGTTTTTTCAATACTCCATATGTCACTTTCCATACTTTGTTCTATTTGTGGTGTGTTAGTAATTAATTTTTAAAGATAGGAGATGGGGGAAGGAAGGGAGCTGTCTGATGAAGTGACTTTGGGAAGCATTGGGTTAAGCCAAGTTAATTAGGTTTCTCCAGAACGTTTCATAGCTTTTGATATGCCAGCATGAAATAAAATAGCACTCAGCTCTTGCAAGACTTATTCACAGAATATCTTCGAAAAATTCTTTGAGAAAATCTATGCTAATACAAATTCAGGGTCCCAGTCATGATGCTTTCCTGCACATACTCAAAACATGCCACGTTATTTATCAGTGTTTCTTAGAGTGTGGCTTTTTGTCAGAATCATGTGGGGATCATGTTAAACCTAAAGAGTCCTGGGCCCACCAACTACAAGTCTTTGATTCAGAATCTCTAAAATTGGAGCAGTCATTTAAGAAGCATCCCAGGAGATGTTTTTGTACCCTGAAGCATGAGAACTTTGAGATTGTTCTCAGATCTCAGCCGCCTTAAGAATCCAGCTGGCATTGGTATAGCCTCTATGAGGTTTGTTTGTATATACATTCTAGCCCACTGATTTAAGAAGAAAATGTTTACTATTGTCTGTTTTCTGACTGTTCCATGTTCGTTAGTGTTATCTTCTTGGTAAGACTGCAAACTTTAATTTTAAGAGCATGTGTTTCTGCATTTTGCATGCTGCCAGACATCCTTCTATTTCTGTAACTATTTGTTTGCTGGTTAATAGGATCAGGTAGATGCAAAACAAATAATGCTTTAGAATATTTTGTTTTTCTCCAATATACTTTTTCTAAGTTGTGGTATAATTTACATATAATAAAATGCATGGATTTTACACGTCAGTGAGTTTTGAAAAATGTATGTACCTGTGTAACAGCATCCCAATCAAAACAGAGAATATTTCCATCACCCTAGAAAGTACCTTCATCTCCTTTCCAGTAAATCCTCCATCCCCTGCTCCTAGAGGCAACTACTGTTCAGATTTTTGTCACTGTAGAGTAGTGTTACTTATTCTAGAACTTCATTGGAATGGAATCATACAATATATACTGTTTTGTGTCTGGGTTTGTTTTTTTTTTTTTTTTTTGCTGAACATATTTTTTAGATACATCTAGTCATTTTTTATTGTTTTTTAAAGTATTCCATTATATGAACATAATGGAATTTGTGGTTTTCAGTTAGTAGTGATTTTCATTTGGATTGTTTCCAGTATTTTTTCCTGATATAAACTAAGCTGCTATGAGTATTCTTGTACAAGTCATTTTGTGGACATATGTTTTTACATCCCTTTGGCAAAAACTTAGCAGTGGAATTGCTGGGTTCTAGGGTGGATGTGTGTTTAATTTATTTTTTAAAACAGAGGAAATGTAAATGTGTATATACAGATTTTTAAATGTTTGCTTATTAAATGGAGTATTTGAGCACCTACCAAAGATACGTGCTTTTATCTACATTGTTTATATTTCCATAAATGATTTGTGATTTATTTTGATTTTTGTGTATTTGAAAGATAACAGCTGAAAAACCGAACCTCCAATTTAGACTTTAATATGTGCTATACCTATAAATACAGATTGTTTGACCACCAAAAATATCAGAATCCCTTTCATTTCATTCTAGCCATGTTCTTCCCCTATCTTAACCTGTTTCTGTTGGAGTTTTAGGCATATTCCTGAGGTAAGCACCCAGAAATTTGATTCTCCAGCTGTCTCCCAGCTTATTTCCTCGCTATTATAGGGAAGCTGCCATGGGGTGCTTCTAACCAAGTATTGGGCAGCAGTAACTGCCCACACAGGTTAGTTATTCAGTGAGAAATTAAATTGAGTGTAAGTACAGGGAATTTTGTAGTTTTGTAGTTAGAAGTCCAAGTGTAGTTCACATAAGTGCCCCAAGGCCAACTTCGTAAATATACATTGAGGTGAACCATGAACTATTTTGATAGCATAGGGCTCACTAA
The DNA here is from genome assembly GCF_000001405.40 of Homo sapiens. NCBI lineage: Eukaryota > Metazoa > Chordata > Mammalia > Primates > Hominidae > Homo > Homo sapiens. The sequence continues at coordinate 12,738,471 of NC_000008.11, read as the reverse complement.
GATTCAGAGATAAATATTTAATATGTCTTTTAAGATCTTTTTATAGTCTTTGTGTTGAAAGATCAGCCTTTATCCTGAGTCTTACTACTCCCATGCTTTCCTTTCAAAGTTTTGAATCATTTGTTTGCGGGTGATTTGACCCCATGAGGCACACCTAATTTTGCAAGACTTTTGAACTTACAGTGTTGCTTACCTTGTTCCCCTCCTGCTCATTAAAAAAATGTCTGCTACAAACTTTCTACATATTCTTTATTAGGTAAATTTATACAAAATTATCCTTAACCAAATATTTTATATTTTCTACTACTTTTAATATTTCTCTTACAGATTTTATGTGATTTATTATTACCTGAAAACTTAAAAGAAGGCCTGAAGGAATCTTCCTGGAGTTCATTACCATGTACTAAAAACAGACCTTTTGATTTTCATTCAGTGATGGAAGAGTCTCAGTCTCTCAATGAACCTAGCCCAAAGCAGGTACGGGGTGAGACAAGGTTATCATGAGTTTAGCGTATCCATTTCTTTACGAGTTAAGAGCTTCACTTTCCTAGTTTCAAGTACTAGCACCTACTTAAGTACTTTTAACCTGGTTAGTTATCATAGTAGAATTTTTTCCATAGCCTTTACTTTACACTAAAATCTTTTATGTAAAATATTTGCTAATGAATCACAATTTTAGGTCCCGTGAAAGAAAACTTTTAGTTCTTTAAAAATATGTATAGAACATTGCATTTATGTTTCCTCAGGGTAGTAACAGCTGTGTTATAGCATAACTACTTTTAAACCTCATTATAACATAAGTCACCTTGATTTCTAGGGCTGTGTAAGTACAGTCATCCCTTGTATCTGTGGGAGATTGGTTCCAGGACCTCTCACAGATAGCAAATCCAAGGATGCTCAAGTCCCTGATATATTAATAAAATGGCACAGTATTTGCATATAACTTATGCACATCCTCCTGTATACTTAAATCATCTCTAGGTTACTTATAATACCTAATACAATGTAAATACTATGTAAATAGTTGTTATACTGTATTGTCTAGGGAATAATGACAAGAAAAAAGTCGATATATGTTCAGGCTTTTTTTTAGAATATTTTCTATCCCCAGTTGGATGAACCCACGGATGCAGAGCCTGTGGATACGGAGGGCCAACTGTGCTGGCAAAAATCATTTACTTGTCACAGTGTTGGAATCAAGTTAGTGCTATTAAATGAACATTAAAATGAGCATTATAAGGCATTGAAATTTCATTTCAGTTTGATTCTTGGTGAGAGGAATAAAGGATAGTAAAGAAATACAGTTACCTTTGTTTATTGTATTTTTGTAGAGTGAAGAAATACCAGAGGTCACTTCAGAGCCTGTCAAAGGAAGCTTAAACCGTGCTCAGTCAGCACAGTCTATAAATTCAACAGAAATGCCTGCCAGAGAGGACTGTTTAAAAAGAGTGTCCTCAGAACCTGTTCTGTCAGTTCAAGAAAAAGGTGTTCTGCTGAAAAGAAAGTTGTCTCTTTTAGAACAGGATGTGATTGTAAATGAAGATGGAAGAAATAAGCTGAAAAAACAAGGAGGTAAAAATTTTGCTCTACACTTATATAAAATAAATTTATTTAGTCAGAATAGTCTTTAAAGTTTTTCCTAAGGAAGAAAACCCCATGTCTTTGTTTTAATAGAAACTCCCAATGAAGTCTGTATGTTTTCCTTAGCTTATGGTGATATTCCAGAAGAATTAATCGATGTCTCAGATTTCGAGTGTTCTCTCTGCATGAGGTAAGCATATAAAACTTTATAGAAGATGAATATTTTATGTTAGTATACATAAAATACCGTGTAGATAAAGGTAATAATAGACAATGTAAAGTAACACAATGCTGGAATAAAAATCAAAAGACATGAATTTTAGTCCTGGGTTTACCTTTCATGCCTTGGGCAAATAACTGAATCTCTGAACCTCAGGTTTCCTAATTTAGAAAGTGGGATCAAGCTTTGCATGGCCTACATCTCATTGTTGTGAGAATCACATGGCTTCAGTATAAAAGGAATCTGGGAAATTGTAAAGTACTAAGAAAGTTATAGATGATATTATTTTTGAAACTTACCTATCTCCATGGTTTTAAATTTGGGTATGAATTCTAATTAGTATTTTATGTATATGATCCTATCTTATTAATGTATATTAACCATAAAGTCTTTTTAAAGTAACATAAGGATAAGGATTTCCATTATTCAGAATGCTATAATTCTAAAAGACTAAATGTTTTGAAATAACATTTCTCATTTACATGAATTGTGTAGGATCAAAAGATTCATACGGGGTCAGGAGGCCTAGTGCTGGTCACACTAGGCTGGTAGCAGTTACATTCCTGAGCAAGTCTTAATTCTGAGCCTTGGTTTCTTCATCTGTGAAGTGAGGGGATTATACTAAACAGTCCCTAAAGTACCTCTAAATCTATTTCTAGCAAATTCAAAACTATCATGTTTCAGAAAATAAGTAAAACTAGTTGTTCTGTAATGTTTGAATAATACATTTAGTATTAAGTCTAACATTAGGATTCAACTGCATTATTTATTAGGTCATTCTTTTTATGAGTTTTATATCATAAGGGTCTTATAAACCTATTAAGGAATCATTTTTAAGTTGATATTAAAATGGGAATCTAAAGGCTATACAAAAGCTAACTAATGATTTTTAATGATGTATTTTACATTATTTATTTTGCAGAAAGTCTTTGAAATCTGGTATGTATTTTACATTCAGTGCACATATCAGCTTGTACTAGCCACATTTCAAGTGATTAGTAGCCATAGTGTCCAGGGGCTGTTGCGTTAGTCAGGACAGCTCTAGGCCCTTGGCTCTAGGCCTTTGGCAGGAGGCCTTTGTTGATGGAGAATTTTAAAACATTCTGGAGGGTATGGTTACACTTATCACTGCCCTTTCTCTCCTCTCCTGCCTGCTGGGCCCTCCTTCTTCCTCCTTTAAATAGAGATTAGTGTTATGGTTCTAAAGTAGTACAAGCTTTTCAGTGGATAGTTTAATGTGAAAACTAACATGTATCTTGGTTGATTTCAGGTTGTTTTTTGAGCCAGTAACAACCCCTTGCGGACATTCGTTCTGTAAGAATTGTCTTGAGCGTTGTTTAGATCATGCACCATATTGTCCTCTTTGCAAAGAAAGCTTAAAAGAGGTAAATATTTGTATATGTGTCTGTTTGTTGGTCTTAAGTTTGGCAGCATGGTTTAATTTCTGTTCAGCCATAGAAATAGTGATGATCACGTTCAGAATTACATTCTATATTCTGAGTGACTAACAAGGATAATGTTTTATTACCCATATGCTAATGTTGGAGAAAAGTGAGGTTGAAGAGGATGGGGAGAAAGAAGACAGATGCTGAAGACCAACCCCCTTGTACTTAATTTTTTTTTTTTAAACAAAAGTGGGTATGGTTAGTTATCTGGTCAGGGATAAGTTCAATTTTGGTGATGACTATACTGGGGAAACCCTATTGCCCTGCCTCCAACCCTCAATAATAAGCCAGATGTGAGGACTGTTTCAGCTTCCTCAACATCTAGAACAACTTTGTTCAATAGAATTTTCTGCATTGATGGAAATGTTCCATATCTTTGCTGTCAGATATATTAGCCATTAGCCATGTTTGCCTGTTAAGCTTTTAAATATGGTTAGTGTCACTGAGGAACTATATTTACATTTTATTAACTTAAATTTAAGTAGGCACATGTGACTAATGGCTGCGACATTGGGCAATGCAGCTCTAGAAAAGTGGTAGATTGGAAAGAAGAGAGGGAGGTACAGCTTCCTATTCCCCTTCTTGTAGAGTCAGTGATCAGTGCTAATAACCTGTGATAGGAAAGTAGCTAGATCTCAGTGGATGTCTTCTCTAATTGATGAGAAGAGAGCACCCTCTTAATCATGCTTGAGTGACTGCAGATCACCTACTGTCAGGCTAAAGCCTGTGATTCTGAGAGGCAATTGCAGTTTGTAGCGTTGATTGGGGAAAGTGATTCTGTCTCTGGTGATTGACAGGATTGCTTAAAAAAAAGTATCTTCCAAATATGAATTGAAAAATTCATAAAACCATTATGAATATACATACAGTATTTCCTGTATAGAAAACAACTCAGTACGGATGTCATAATAGCATGTCTGTTATTACATTTGATATGTGTCTTACATATATAACAAGCTGATATGTAAAACAAAAGCATATTTAGAATTTTCTCAAAGTCAGGAAACATCAGATACATTTATTCTTAAAAGAGTTTGTTAGTTACATTTTTAGCTAATATGCTCAATGTTTTTAGATGAAGTACTGTAAACATGCTATTTTTCCAGACTTCATTTAAATACCCCCCCAGGATAACTATGATGCTTGTTTTTCCAGATTAACTGTTAGGTTGGTGCAAAAGTAATTGTGGTTTTTGGCATAATATTAGATCTATTGCTTTGATTAGGGATATTCCCTCTTTAAAAAATGTCTGGAGATTGAAAAATATATACTAAGCATATTTTTTGAAAGTATAACTAACATACTATTTAGCAATATCCTGTTTCCAACTTTGAAGATACCCTGCGTAATATAATTTGTAAATTCAAAATACATATACTTTAAAAAAGATTGGTATGCTGTTCAGTTTTACATTTTTCCTACTTGTCATTTTATTTTGCTCATTTTTCCATTTCCATCTATTTTAGATACATTGTTTTTATAGCAGCATAATAGTCCAGTGATTTAACATTTCTTTGTTGTTGGATATATAAGGTTTCTTGTTCTCTTTTTTATATACTATGCTTTTGCCAACATCATTTAAAATGAATGATTTTATGCATCTTTATGTAATCGAAGATATTATGACAGATATTATATATCTGTCACTGAAGGACAGAGTTGAGGTCTGCTCCTCTACTCAGTAGTGGGTGACAATGGAAGAAAAACTTGAAAGAAAAATTATCTACAGACTGTGTCTGAAATTGGGAACAAAACAGATGTTTTGCTTTTCTTAAATAAGGCAATAACCATTTCCTTAGGTTAAATTTTTGGGAGGTGAATTATTGGATCAAAAGCCATATATTTATGAAGCCCTTAAAACCAATTGTTGGATTGCCTCATCCCCAGAAATGTTACATTTATTGAGATTTTTATCAGTAATGTAAGAGTGGCTGTATTTCCCTAGATGTTTAAACATCTTTATTAACTTAATAGAAAATGATAATGGAATTGCTTTTATGACAGCTAATTTGATTAATTTTGTGATAAACACTTATTATCTGTGTATATACTACCTGCCCAAGGCCACCTCTCCCCATGCTCCCCTGACCAGCAGCATCTGTCACCTGACAACTTGTTAGAAACATAGATTCTTGGACCCTACCCCAGATGCTCAGAGACTCTGGCGTGGGGCTCAGTAGTCTGTATTTTAACAAGCCGCGATTCATGCTAAACTTTGAAAACCACCACCAGTTTCCCAACCTCTCGCATTTCCCCATCTACTCTTCATTGGATAATGACAAAACCCTTGCTTTTACTGACTGCAGATTCAAGGATGGCTTCATCTTGTGATAGTTTCCCAGGAGGTTTTCCTCACTAATTTTATGAAATAAATATGTATTGGGCATTTTCTTTGTACAAAGTTCTGTGCATACACCCTGACCATGTCCCTGGCCCTACCCTAAGCAATTTTTAGTTTAACTACAGAGATGTAATATATCTGTGTACATATACTACACGCTACAATGCCTACTATGTGGTAAAAACAGTAAAATATGGGTTCTTGGGAGAGAAAAAAATAATTAAGGAAGAGTTTGTGAAAAAGGTAAAATTGGAGTCAGACCTTGAAGGATAGACATGTTTTGCATAAGCAGGAGTGAGAGAGATGGCTTTTGTAAGTTGGAATAGAGAATAACACAAAAATGCATGAGGATAGTACTTTTTCAGAGTATTTAGGGGTCAGCGCAAATGTAAGATTTTATATAGAGCTGGGGTAGATGGATCATACAGGAAAAGCAATATCTTGATAAGGGTCTGAGTGATAGTGTCCCAAGAAACGCACCTTCCTTGGGTCACTCAAGGACAGAGTTGAGGTCTGCTCCTCTACTCAATAGTGGGTGACAATGGAAGAAAAATCTGAAAGAAAATTTATCTAGAGACTGTGTCTGAAATTGGGAACAAAACAGATGTTTTGCTTTTCTTAAATAAGGCAAATGTGTTATTTTATTTATTCCTTATCCCGTTTTTGTATCTCAGTTAAAATGATAGTTTAGTGCCCATGAGCTGTCAGGTGGAAAAGGGCCTCTGTTGTGGAAGACGGCAGGGCAGGGCCCTCTGCGGCTAATAGAGAAGCTGTGGTCACAGCAGGAAGCAGTTCTTCTGTACAGGGCTTGGTTCAGGTTGCAGCCAACTATCTTTACTGCTCTTGTGCAAAGCCTCAGACAGGTTTTTTTGCTTAGCATCATCCATTGTAATGTTCCCCTCACTAATTAATCCAGAATTGATGGTATAAGTATGTAATAAAGGCTTTAATATATCAGTTAACTGTGTTGCCTGTTTTATACTGTAGGAAAACCACTGCTGGAATGTAAAATAATATTGTCTTTTAGTATCTAGCAGATAGGAGGTACTGTGTCACACAGCTGTTGGAAGAATTAATAGTGAAGTATCTGCCTGATGAACTGTCTGAGAGAAAAAAAATATATGATGAAGAAACTGCTGAACTCTCACAGTAAGTTTCTTCTCATAAAAAAAATTATGAACTACTACCCTTTAATAGTAAGGAAAAACCTCACCGCAAGCTGGATCCTGTCTTTAGTTCATCTCAGTCTAGTCAAGAAGTATTGGTCTGTTTCCGTGGTCCTCAACAGACAGAATCTTATAAAAGTTCACTTGGTAACATCCGGATGTTTTATAGGGAGTTATTGACTCAGCTCTGTGGGCTGAAGCAGTATTTTGGGCGGGGGAGGAATTTCCTACAGTGCCATCAGGCAGTGGAATGGGAAATAGAGAGGGGGCGCTGGTGACAGTGACATTGGTGGTGATGGCGGCTCTCATGTGTCGTGGTAGGGCAAGAGGAAGGTTGAGGGTCAGTAGCCTAGATTAGCAGGGGATTTTCTGTCACATGGAGGCCCGGAAGGGGGCTTTCCAAACTTTGAGATCTGAGATTGAAATTGGAAGAGGGGTGTTCAGGGCCAAATCCTCAATTAATGAAGATACTGACTGGGAGCACAACTGAGTTGGTGTCGGGAGGGTGAAAATCTCGGAGGCAACTTTGGGATTCGGTAAGGCAGGCCACTCTGCAAAGAACACAGCAGCTGATGGAGCTGGGTAGGCAGGGCCAGGCATTGCTTGTTGTCCCTTTTCTGTTTTTCTTTCCCGTTTTTCTCCCTTTCTTTTCCCTAAATGTCTTTCCCTCTTGTGCAGTCACTTGGGTCTCTTTAAATTTTATTAACGGGTTTTTAATTTCTTTATTTCTTTTACTCTCTTTTAATTGAACACACTAAAAAACAAAATTATAATTTGTATATGCTGTTTTATTTAACAACTTTTTGTTTCCATTGATTTTCAAAATATAAATTGAACATTTTGTATGTCACTTTCTAAGAAAAGCTGTGCTTGTAGACTCCTTTATCAACATGTGCCCATCAGATGTCTTCAGTGAGCCAGGTGCCTTCCACAGAAGAAAGATTTCCACTCTTTATAGAAATAGATATTGATTTGTCTTCTCACAGAATTGATATTTTATTGTGTGGTTTATAAAATGATATGACAATTATGAACCTTTCTGATCAGTGCTGAAGCATCTAGATTTAAGAAAACTGCATTTCTGCTTTTGAAAATTTAAACATGGTGACACAACCAGCCAGCCCACGGAAGAGTGGTAGACTCAAAGGACAGAGGAGGGAGACACACAGAGAGCTGCGCATTGGAGAGAAGAGAAGCGACAGGGTGTCCAGCTGCTTACTAATGGGGCTGTTTCTTAAAACACATATTTTAAACATGTTTCACCTTATGTTTATATAAGTAATTGATGGTCATTTTGAAAAAAACTCAAAAATACAAATGAGCTTTTAAAAAAAGCCATAATCTGCAACTCAAAGGGAATCAACTATTGGCATTTTGGCATACATATTTCCAAACTTGAATGTAGTATGTATAAATAGGCTTTAAACAAAGATGGGATCATGTTATTCATGATCAGTATCTAAAACCTGCTCCTCTCATTAATATAAGCATTTCTTCTAATTCAGTTCATACACATCATCTTTTAATGGAAACATAGTATTCCGTTTTATGGATGTACCATAATTGATCTTACTAGTCTCCTCTTTATGATTCTACAATTTGGTTACTATCCACATTGCTACAGTGAACATTCATATAGCACTTGCCTGCTTATGTCTGAAAATAAGCTGGTTGGTTCCAAGAACATGAACATTTCCTGCCAACAACGTAAGGTTTCTGCTGTCTGTAGCCATGTTCTTTAGCGTGCCTGTGCTGTTTCAGAGTGCCCCCATGCTGCCATTTTTCCCATACCTCAGACAGAACTGGGCATTGCCTTTATCCTTCTCTTTCTTTCTACCAATCTGGCAATGAAAAATGTTATATCATTTTAATTACTTGGAAAAAATGTTATCTCATCAAAATATGTTTTCTTATCCTTGCGTTTGAAAATAATGGCTGAGAATTTTTAAGTATTTGCTCTTTGTTGTGGGAGTTCACTTTTTCTTGTTATCTAAGAGTAACTATGAGTGTTTGGGATAAAAGGTATTTATTGTCATGTTATAAATATTTAAAACAGATTTTAATATAAAATATTACTTATAATAAATTCTCTTGATTCATAAACATACTTAGCTCTGTAAGATAATCTGGTGTCTTAAAATTCAGTTTACTCTTATAAATAAGAGGATCACAGCAGATTTTCAGTATTAATATTTCATCAGTGTGAGCTTAGTGAACGGGGTGCTGATTCTTGTTCTTGCCAAGAATAAAAACCACCTTATTTAGAACTAATTCTTTTTTTGCTTTACATTAGTTCATTACTGTTATAAACCTCACTCATTTTTTGTATGTGTTCGGTAATATTTTTCTTGTATGAATTCTAATAATTAAACTGTTTTTCCCTTAGCTTGACCAAGAATGTTCCAATATTTGTTTGCACTATGGCCTACCCCACTGTGCCTTGCCCTCTCCATGTATTTGAGCCAAGATACAGATTGATGATTCGAAGAAGTATACAGACTGGAACCAAACAGTTTGGCATGTGTGTCAGTGATACACAAAATAGGTATGCTTTTTGTGAACCTAAATATTTGTATTTATGTTAGACCTCTCAATATGGATGAGAACTTGCATGTTTATGTTTCAACTTTGTTACTAATCAAGGTTTTCTTTTAGTTTTGCAGATTATGGTTGTATGTTACAAATTAGAAACGTGCATTTCTTACCGGACGGAAGGTCTGTGGTTGATACAGTTGGAGGAAAGCGGTTTAGGGTTTTAAAAAGAGGAATGAAAGATGGATATTGCACTGCCGACATTGAATATCTGGAAGATGTTAAGGTATTTTAAAATGTGCTTTGCCAGCATACTTTCGTATATCCTGTTCCAGGGATTGGTACAGGCATGCAGGCTATTTTCTAGGTGCATGAACCAGTTCTTATCAGACAGCCTTACCACTGTGATGAGAATGTGCTCCAAGTTACCTTTTTCGTATCTTGCTCTGAAACTGTTGCACATTCTAAGAGAACTTGGAAGACTAGAACATAGATTCTCTTTATTTCTGCAGGCTTAACAACCAGCCCAGTGCCTAGAATGTATGTGTATATGTACACATGTGCATGTGTGTATACACGTGATAGGTACTTAACAATAGTGGTTGAATAAGTTGAACTTCCAACCCATCTAAGTTTTGAAAGGTTTACATTTCTGCCCTGTTTTATTGAATGTATTAGTAGTTGAAGCCGATGGAATTAGTAGATTGAAATTTGATGTAAATGTAAACACATCAAATCTTATAAGAATTGTTTTATATATTAAGATTGTTCTTGTGCCTAAGATAACCTTAATGATAAAATAGAGTTGAATGCTGTGTGAAGACCCTGGGGCAGACATAGAAAGCACTGCCAGTGTACATGTTGGTGATATCTTAACAGGGTAGGGTTTTTGTGATGTCTTTCTAGAATAGGGTTAATGTGGCCCTTTTGATGTTTGCAATACCCAGTTTACCTACTGCAGTTAGTTTAGGAACCGGAAAAGTGACTTATGATGCTACAAATACCAAATTGAAGGCAATTTCTTTTGGAAAGGCATTATAAAAACATAGATCTTATCCCTTCTCTTATTCATTGATCTGTTTAGGCCCTTCATTTCGTCAGCATTTATTGGATATTGGCATTAGGTATTTTCACAAACATTAACTCATAGAATTTTCACAACTCTATGAAATAGTAGATGAGGAAAGTACAATTCAGAGGTGTTAATTAATTTGCCTGAGAGCCTATAGATAATGTAACAAAAATGATTAAAGCAAACTGTCTGACTCAGACTTTGAGCTTTATCACTATGCCATTTGGCTCTCTGTTGATAAACCTGATTAGTCTGACGTTGGCAGTCCTATCTTATTATAAAAATGCTATGGGGGTACTTTGTCTTGTGCAGTTGGCCGAAAGTATTGTGTGAGTTGAAATTTTGAGTTGATTGATAGAATCTGTGCCTTAGGCATACTTGGTTAATGGAATCACTTGCTAAAGGTTCTTCTTTGTAAAGTTAATAACCATATTTCAGTTTTGTGTAAATTTATGTCTTCACTTATTGGATTTGATGACAAAATCACTTGAGTATATGGCTAAATTACATGACTATATGTATTAATACTTACAAACATGTAGGCAATAGAATCACATTCTAAAAGTATTACAGATATGATATTTATAAACGAGTCCTCTTTGGTCCTCGGAATGTCTAGTAATCTTTTCTCATCATGTCTTCATCTATATAATGATTTTCTTGTCCATTCTGGAAAACCTTCTCAAATTTGTTTTATATGGCAAATTTTCCTCTTCTTATAATAATTCTGTTTTCTGTGACTTCTAATGAAATTTTAAGTTCTGTTAAAATTATCACAGTAAAGTTCCTTGACTTTAAAAGCTTGCTTTTAAAATGGAGCTGGCCAAAAAGCAGGCAGAGACTTTAAAAGCGTCTCTGCCTGCTTTTTGGCCAGCTCCGTTTTTCATCACTGACGCTTATAATTGTTATCATTCCTTGTTTACCAGAGCCTGTCATTTGTTTTCTTGAATTTTGTGAGGGTGCAGAGCAGATGCTTTAAAAAAAAAAAAAAAAAAGATTTAACAAGGCATAAGTTTGTTTCTTGCTCCTATCAATGTATGTTAGCAGGGGCCTGAATCATGTATAGTCATTTCAGGACCAAAATTCTTCAATTGTGTGGCTCCTCTACCTTTTTTAAAAGTTTATTTTTATTGTGGTAAAATATACATAGAATTTACCATTTTAACCATCTTTGAGTGCACACAGTGGCATTAAGTACATTCACATTGTTATGCAAAAAACAGATGCTCTTTAAACTTTAGTTTTCATTTCAAATCTTTCAAAAGTAAAAAGTTTGCTTTTTTGTCTCTGGTGTGCTGTAGTCTTATTTTTATATTTCGAAATGTTTTCAGAGTCCCTTTGTTGTTTTTAAATGAGTCATCCTTGAAGTATGAAAGGCTGAGTCAGGCCTGGTATTTTTTCAGATGAGTTTGTGCATATGAGACAGAGCACGACCTGGCAAGTAGCAAGTGGGATGTAAGTGTGCATTAAAGAAATCAGTATAAGATGGATGAGTTAAACTTAGATCTTCCCACCTGTGTTCTCTGAGACTACTCTTCTATCTCAGGCTGGAAGCCTGATGCAATTAATTTTACATTTGCAGTTTGGTGACCCAGTAGTCTAAAGAATACACTGAGGGGTTCCAGAGGTAGCCATAGCCTTGGGCCTTGCCAGCAGAAGCTCATCATTGTGTAATTGACTCTCTGACATACTGGCTTTATATGCTAACTTATTTGTTGTAGCTTTTTGTTTGTTTTTGTGTTTTGACCCAGTTCCCTAGTAAAAGATGTAACTGTGCCTGGACTCCTCCTGTTACTACTTTCTGTCATGTCATCTACACCCTAACTACTTATCTTTTCTTTTTTTGTAGCAACTATCATCCACTTTTTTGTTCCACTGCTTTCAAAAACCATTGATCCATAAAGACAAATGGAATTCCAAATTAGACCTCTGAACCAGAACTCACTCTCAATCTTACTCTTCCCACTTGAGGGCTGTTGTAGGGTTCTGCAATATTGCACTGCTAAGTCAGCAAGGTTAGGCATAGGTCAGGCCTTGTTGTCTTTCTTTAGTCTGGTCAGCCCTATATGAGACAGAAATGTGTATTAAAGCATAGGAATAATACTCTCTGGGACGTCAGCACTGAAACAGGTATTGCCCTGTTCTTCTGATCCCTTTTTCCATTTGTGTCGGTTGGCATATGGCATATGGACGGGGGATTAGACACAGAAGTCTTACTGACTATTGTATTTCTAGGTTGAGAATGAAGATGAGATTAAGAATCTCAGAGAGCTTCATGATTTGGTTTACTCTCAAGCCTGCAGCTGGTTTCAGAATTTAAGAGACAGATTTCGAAGCCAAATTCTTCAGCATTTCGGATCAATGCCCGAGAGGGAGGAAAACCTTCAGGTATGGTGGCTTTTCTGTTCTTCCAAAAGTCACTTTTTTATAAACCCAAATTTGCACACTTCTACATTTGTTTTCTCATTGTCCTTTCTGCACTACTTTTTCTTTGACTGTCCCCTCCCCCGCACCAGCCCCACCTCATCTTTGCAATCATGAGTTCTCTAGAGCAGTGGTCTCCACTACATTCCGTACAGATAGAGGCTGGAAATACGTGTCAGCTGAGATGCCTGTAGGAGAGAGTGCCAGAAAGGGAGCAAGTCCTTAAGAGGATTTTTAGGAGTGGGTAAGGAATTAAAAACGGGATGTTACTATCTAGAAACTGTGACTGTGGGACAACTAACCATGCCTTTGAGCCCATCGCCTGTTGCTGTTATTCTTTGACAGCAGAGAGACTTACCATTTTCTATACATTTGAAACATCTTTTCTCACCTTTCTTTGTATCTCCCAACATTTGACCCAACCACTTCAATTCATTTTTGTCTCTTCATGTTTAATACCTCGCTTCTCATGAAACTATTATTCTTTTAGTCTTGCAGGTACTTAGGGTTTACACTTAAGCTTAGTCTAATGAATGTGTATCTGGCACTTTCTGTGCAAGCAAAACTGCAGGAGGCATAAAAGAAGGGTCTGGCTCCTGGAAAATCTGATCATAGACTTACTAAAGCACTACGTTTTAGGCATCGTAGCATTTTGAATTGAACTAAATGTTTTTGATCAGAAGGTGATAGATTTTACAAAGGAATGGCTGTCAGTAAATATGTGAAGATGGAGAGATAATAGATCTCATTGTAATGCACACTGCCTCATTCCCGTTTTCAAGGGTTGGTCTACATTTGTCTGAATCCCAATTGAATCCTTCACCTGAACTTGAAACACCAACATTAGGCCATCTCCAAATTTAGTATTCATTCTGTTTAGCATATTATCAGTTGCCATCTATTTGTTTTAACTGATTACTTGAATCTGATTAAACATCACAGAAATGGGCTTTGATAAGAACAATATTGAATAAGAAATTTTAAATAACAAAACAGCTTATAGAAAAATTCAGCATAACTTTTCCATCACCTTCACCACCCTTGCCTTTTATTATCCTGTCCTGTATCACTGCTTTCTGTTAGCAGTGTTGTGTGAGTTAGGATTTGGGCAGGAAAGCAAAAGCAACCACCCGTCATTTTCCCAGAATGAAGGGTTTGACGTAGGATGTAGACTTTGTATAGTAGTTGGGAGAGCTGTGGGAGTGAAGGTCAGGGATGTCACCTACAGAAGTCAGGGAATCTGCCACCAGAGATCCTGCATCAGAAACAGCCAACAGCGTGCTTCTGAAGAACTAGTGGGGAAGTGGCTATAATTCTTAGGAATCCCAGCAAGTCTGCACCACTGTCTCAGTCTACAGCAGTGGAGAAAGGGGTTTCCAGGAGCTCTCTGGAAAGTTCCTGCCCACACTTTGCAACAATCTTCAGAGGATAATGGCTTCTCTTCCAGCTTCCACACCCAACAAGAGTGCCTTTCATCGGCCAACTCTAACCTGGAACCCTATGGCAGAGGGGATTTTAGAAGACAGTTTGTAATGTCTGTGGAATGCAGATGAAGAGGTAGCAATGCTTAGTTGACAGCGGACAATACACAAATATAGAAACCGAATCTGATTCTAGAGGGGCCTACTGAGATCAGCACTGATGTCGTAGCTCCTTTTGTCATTCTGAAGCTTTATATTTTAAGTCCGATAAATAGCAATTTAAGGTTCAGTGAAGGTGGCTTACAAGTCCTTTTATGGAAATTTCTAGTTGTTTCAATAGCCAATAGTCAGCCCTCACAGCATTACCAGGACCTTTTCACTGGAGATATGTTTCTTTTTTGAACAACATTGGAAGCTGGGGCCTTTTTCTTCTGTCTTTCCAAGGGTTCCATAATACTTTGAGGAAATTTTAAATCTCAATTAACATTTCTTAATGCTTTAAATCTATAGCTCAAGAAAGTGGCTGTCAACTAGGGGCATGTTGCCCCCACAGGATATTTGGCATTACCTGGAGACATTTTTGGCTGTCACAGCTGGATGGGAAGGTGCTACTGGCATCTGGTGGATAGAGATCAGAGGTGCTGCTGAATGTGCTCTAGTGCATAGGACAGCCACATGCAACAAAGAATTATCTGGCTCAAAGTGTCAGTAGCCTGAGGTCGAGAAGCCTTGCTAGTGTAATAGGAGGAAAGAGCGTGTGTTGACTGTGGGGAGTCAGGTCTAGATTTGAATCTCGGCTCTGCCACATAAGAGCCAAGAGATCTTGGACAATTTGCATTACATTGCTGAGCTTCAGTTTCTCCCATTTTATACTTTGCATAATTGTTAAGGACATTGGAGATAGCACCTGGCACATAGTACAAGTGCTCAATAAATAGTAATTTTTTGGTGGTTTGCTACTGTTGTTACATAAATCCTTGTTTTATTAATGCTATAAACTGTCCATTGTTTTTAGGCAGCCCCTAATGGACCTGCATGGTGTTGGTGGCTTCTTGCAGTTCTCCCTGTAGACCCACGATACCAGCTGTCGGTTTTGTCAATGAAGTCTTTGAAAGAACGGTTGACCAAGATACAGCATATACTGACCTATTTTTCTAGAGACCAATCTAAGTAACTAACTCTTTGGATCTCCCTTTAAAGTGACCCTAATCTGGCTGCATTGATGGCCAGATTGTCTGCTGCCTTTGCACATCTAGTGCTGGTTTCAGAAATTTAATGAAACTTTTCTTTTTCCTTCGACCTCCTGAATCATGTGGTTCTGCAAATGAATACCTTCAACTAGGATTTAGACCACTAAGAACTTGCACAGAAAAACACGCATTGAATGTGTGTCGAACCTCTACATTGTGAAGTTGCACTATGTACCATACTCTAAAATGAAATAAGAACTCTTTATGTCTGTGAGAGAGTGTGTGTGTGTGTGTGCGTGCGTGTGTGCTTGTGGGGGTTGGGTAGTGTGTGTGTATTTTCTCTGGCTTTAAAATTTTAAAACAAACAAACAAAAAAGCCATAGAGAGCAGAACTTGCCGAGGGTCATTTATTGCCCAAGTTTACAAGAGTAGCGATACAAGTTTTTGCAAATTGAATTTGCCTCAGATATATCTGTCCTAATGCTTATATTTGCACAAGTATGTAAAATATCGTGTTGAGGATCATTCTTTGTTGGAAACACTGCTCTTGCTGAACTGTCTTGACCATTGACTATGACACAGTTTCTTATTTATGTAAATACTTGCATCACAGTGGCCGACAGGCATTGGATGCAGAACCTAGAGCCAGTTTTCAGGAACAATTGTAAACCTGACATGGTACTGTGCATCTATTCATAAAACACTCAAAACTGTGAAAATATGGTTTACATTTAATTGTACATAAAGGTAAAGGGAGAACTCAATTCAGTACCAGTTAGTTTGTACATTTTAGGGGGCTTTTCACATTAACTGCCCATTTGTGTAATTTATAGTTTGACATGATGTGTTTGTTTTAAAAAAAAATGCATAGTATAAACCCATTAAGGATCTGGGAAAAGAGAAGAAGTTTAATATAGAACTAAGCTTTTAAAGTTTGTTTTTGTTTTTAATTCTGGTCTCGGTGCAAATGTTAGTTATGCCTTATTCATATCACAGTTAGATCACCATGCTGCAACATGGTTTATATTCATGCTGCCCTAGAAACTTTTGTAATTATTTGTTGCAAATTTGTGACTGTCCTTATTAACTTTCTTTTATGTAAGTAATTTGTAAAAGTTTCTTAAAATTTTTGCTTTTGCTTATTTAATTTTGAATAAAAGCTAAATTCCTAATACTTTTTCTTAAATTGTAGGTCAGTGTTATAAAAACAAGTCAGTAGAAGAACCAAACTGCATATGTTAAAGAACAGATGAGTTTTGCTTATGGTTTGGTGGCATTAGATATATGCTATGGTTTCCAAAAACTTTGGCCATTTTTATTTTTTGAGAAAAAAAAAGCAATTTATTGAGGGTTTAGGCCTCGGAACCATCCCTAAAGCACTATTTTTCAACCTTTTAAAAATCCATGTCCCTTTAGGGTAAGGCTAAAATTCTTTCTTTGATGCCTCACCATTTGAGACTTCTCTTGGTTACACAGACTGGACTGTTTCTGCCCCCAGTTCCTCAGCTAGGATTTTGCAAATGTCAGTCAATCATCTTTTTTTTTTTAGAGACAGGATCTTGCTCTATGGCCAAGGCTGGAATGCAGTAGCACAATCATAACTTGCTGCAGCCTCAAACTCCTGGGCTCAAGTGATTTTCCTGTCACAGGATCCTTGGGGTGGCACTTTGCCAGCCAGAAATGTCTGTGGCCGGTGGTGCCTTCTGCCTGAGTAATGCTCATGCCCACTGGGCTTGTTCTGGCCACTCAGCCTGGCAGGCCGTGCTTGGCTTTTGCTACCAGCCCAGATCCCCCACCTGCCAAGAGCGAACCAGGCACGGAGCAGCGAGGGGTGTGTGGGCAAGTGCATGCAGGGTCCAGACACTGCACACAGCCAGGCACACCAGCTGCTGTGTTGGGGTGGGCACCTTCATGCGAGGTTGCAGCTGGACCAGATGCACCACGTGGCTTCCACTGCAGGCACCCACATCTGGACAAGGGGAACACTGTGGCACCCAGAAGCTTGGAGATGCCAGGAACCACAGAGCTCCAAAGAGGGTGTCACAGCCCTGGCTTAGGCACCCTTTAGGTCTGGACTCCCCAAATAGCTGTAGCTCTTCTTGTCACCCACAATGTGGTGAGTTGGGGTGCAAGGGGGGTATGTGTTTCAGCCCTGTTTGTGTTATAGTTCTTTCAGTTTCACCATTTAGCAAGTCCTGAGTTCTTTCCCTGCATCCAGGAAGAATGAGGTGGACAGACAACTGGAAGGTGAGCAAGGCAGAGAGGAGCTTCACTGAGTGATAGAACAGCTCTCAGGAGACCCAAAGTGGGTAGCTCCTTTCTGCAGGCAGGTCTTCCTGATTTGAGTGTCCAGCTTTCAGTGGAGAGAAGACCCTCAGTGGGTAGCTCTTTTCCACAGGCAGGTCATCCCATAGAGTGTCCAGTTCTCAGCAGAGAAGAGACCTGAAGTGGGTAGCTGTTTTCCACAAGCAGGTCATCCAGAAGAGTCAAGGAGACTCACAATGGGTAGCTCCTTCCTGCAGCTGGTAGTCCTGAGGGTCTGTTTGAGTCTTACTGACTCTAGGGTTTTTATGGGCTCAGGAGGGGAAGTGTGTGCTGATCGGTCCATGGGCGGCCATGGGTGGGCTGGGGAAAAAGCTCCATATGTACTCACTCCAGGCAGTGGACTCCAGCTGGAACTGGCAGCTCAGGCCCCAGGCTTCAGGCCATCCCTGGCTTGAAGGTGAGGTTTCACCAGGACCCACCCTTTTCCATCCTGCCACCATCAACATGCCATCCACAGCAACCAGGCTGTTCCTACCAAGAGGCACCGGCAGGCTTGTGCCAAACCGCCCTCAGGGCCCCCTTGGCCTCCCGCCCCTGCTTGTTGGTGCCCAAAATTCAAAGGGGGTCAAGGTGGTGGGACTGGTGTGTCAGCACCACCCCTAGCACGCACACATCCAGCCAGGTTGAGATAGCACCCGGGTTCAGCCTCAACTTTGCTCCAGAATTGGAGCAGGTGTCAGGAGAGGGGAGAAGCAGGAGCAGGCACTTCTGAGCCTGTGGGGCCAGGGGGGGCTTCCAGGAGTGCAGGCATGCCCAGGTCTGGAGCCATAGCTGGGTGGCTGCAACTGCATCCATGAGTGTGGGGCTCCTGCCCTGCCAACTCAGTAGGGGGTGGGGCTCCCACCTGTTCCCTCCCCTATTGGATCCACTGTGTAGTAGTGTGTAAACCTACGGTGATATTAAAAGTTATATCTCCCTAGGGTATTGCGAATAACATCACAGTGGGTGTACAACCACTCTGATATTCGAAGTAATACCTCCCTAAGATATGACAAAAAATATCAAAGCGTGGACCCAGTCGTGGCATCAAAAGTAACGTCTCTGTGGATATTCCGAATAATATCACAGGGTGTACACAGCCTGTGACATTAGGAGTAGCATCCCCATAAGATATTCCGAGTAATATCACAGGGTGTACACCCCATGTGACATTAAGGGTAACATCTTAGGATGTTACAAACAACATCACAGGGTGTATACCCCCTGTGACTTTTTAAGTAACATCCCCCTAGAATATTACGAAGAATATCATGGGTGTACACCCCGTGTGACATTAGGAGTAACATCTCCCTAGGATATTACGAAGAATACCACTGGGTGTACGCCCTCTGTCATATTAGGAGTGACATCCTTCTAGGACATTATGGATAATATCACAAGGTGTACACACACTGTGATATTCGGAGAGATATCTCCCTAGGATAGAAGGTATCATATCACAGAATGTACGTGCATGGTGTACACCTACTGTGATATTAGAAGCAATATCTCCCTATGAAAGTATGAGAAATACCAAAGGGAGTACACACTCTGTGCTATTAGATGTCATGTTTACCATGGATATTACAAATAATATCACAGGGTGTACACACATGAGGTACACCCACTGTGGTATTATTTGTACTGTCTTAGAGAGATATAACTCTCTAATATAACAGAGAGAGTTATAACTCTGTAATATCTCTGAGATATTACAAATAATATCACAGTGAGTGTAAACACAGTGTACATAGTGTACACCCACTGTGAGATTTACAGTAATATCTCCCTATAAGACTACAAATATTATCGAAGGGTGTACACCCCCTGTGACCGCAGGAGTAACATCCTTCTGGATATTGGGAATGATATCATAAGCCATACCCACCCTGTGACATTTTGTACACCCTTTGTGACATGAAAAGTCACACCCCCTGGTATATTACGAATAATATCAAAGGCAGTTGACGCACACGGTGTACACATCCTGTTGCATTAGGCATAATCTTTTTCTGTGATTTCCGAATAATATCACAGAAGGTGTACACACATTGTGTACACTCCAGGTGACATTAGGAGGAACATCTCCTCAAGCTGTTAGAAATAATATTACCAGCGTTGCATACACATGGTGTACCCTCCCTGTGACATTAGCAGCAACATTCCCCTAGAATATTACGAATAACATCAGAGGGGGAGTACACACATCATGTACGCACCTTGTGAAATTAGGAGTAGCATCTCCCTACGATGTTATGAGTAATATCACAGAATGTGTACTCATATGGCATATACCCCATATGATGTTAGGAGTTACATCCTTCTAGTATGTTAGGAAGAATATCACAAAGGTGTTCACACATGGTTAATAGCATATGGAATATTAGGATTAACATCCCTTGAGATCATTACAAATAACATCATAAGGGCTGTGCACACATGGTGCACATGCCCTGTGACGTTAGGAGTGCATTTCCCTGACACATTATGAGAAATATCACAGAGTGTACACCTTCTGTGACATTTGGAGTAATGTCCCCTAGGGTAGTACGAATAATATCCCAGGGTGTGCATCCCCTGTGACCTGAGGAGTAACGTCTTTCTAGGATATTGTGAATAATATCACTAAACGCACAGCCCCTGTGGCACAAGGAGTAACATCCACCTAGGATATTAGGAATAATATCACAGGGAGTACACCTCATGTGACAGTAGGAGTAACCTCGCCCGAGGATATAACGAACAAATACAGAGGATGTACACGTGTGGTGACATCAGCAGTAACATCCATTTAGGATATTACGAATATTATCACAGTGTGAACACCACCTGTGACATTAGGAGTAACATCTCCCTGGGATATTAAGAATAATGTCACTGGGGGCACACCCTCTGTGATATTAGCAGCAACATCTTTCTAGGAGATTACGAATGATATCACAGGGTGTCAACTCACTTTGATATTAGAAGGACTGTCTCCCTAGGATATAAGCTATCTCATGTCACAGAGTGTACACACATGGTGTACACCCACTGTGTTATTAGCAGCAATATCTCCCTATGATATTATGAAAACTATCACAGGGTGTACCCTCTGTGGATTACTAGAAGTAATGTTTACCATGGATATTACAAATAATATCACAGGGTGTACACACATGGGGTACACCCACTGTGATATTAGGAGTGATATCTCTCGAAGATATTACAAATAATATGCCAGTGGGTGTACCCCATGTGTGTACACCCACTGTGATATTTAAAGTAATATCTCTCTATAAGACTACAAATAACATCGAAGGGTGTACACCCCCTGTGACACTAGGAGTAACATCCCCCTACAATACTTGGAACAATATCACACGGTGTACACCCCTGTAACGTTAGGAGTAACATCCCCCCTGAATATTACTAATAATATCACAAGGTGTACAGGCATTGTGACATTAGTCATAATATCCTGCTAGCATATTTTCAATAATATCACAGAAGGAGCACACCTGTGACATTAAGAGTAACATCCCCCTAGAATAGTAAGAATAATATCACAGGGGGTACACCCCCTGTGACATTAGGGGAATCATCTCGCTAGAACATGATGAAGAATGTCACAGGGTGTTATCCTCTGTGCCAATAGGAGTATAGACCCCTGGGAAATTATGAATACTATCAAAGGGTGTACACCCCTGTGACATTAGGAATAACGTATTTCTAGAATATCACGAATAATATCACAATGTGTACATCCCCTGTGTCATTAAAAGTAAAATTGCCCCAGGATATTACGAAATAGAACACAGGGAGTACACCCCATGTGACATTAGAAGTAACATCCCCCAAGGATATAGCGAATAATATCAGAGAACGTACCTGCATTGGGACATCAGTAGTAACATCTCTTCAGGAAACACGAATAATACCAAAGGGTGTACACGCATTGTGAAATTAGAAGTGAACTCCCGCTAGGATATTATGAATTTTCTGACAGGGTCTACTTGCCCTGTGACATTAGCAGTCATGTTTTCCTAGACTATTACGAGGACTGTGAAAGAGTGTACAGGACCTGTGAATTACGAGTAACATTTCTATAGAATATCGCACGTAACATCACTCTGTGTACACACCGTGTGACATCAGGGGTAACATCCCACAAAATTATAACGAAAAGTTTCACAAGGTGTACACCCTCCGTGACATGAAAAGTAACATTTCCCTAGAATACGACCTCTAGAATCCCCTAGAATTCCCTAGAATCTCACCTCTCTGATATGAGGAGTGACACCTTATAAGGATAATACGAGTAATTTGACAAGGTGTACAAACCCTGTGACATAAGCAGTGACATCCCTCTAGGATGTTGTGAATACTATCAAAGGGAATATATCCCGTGTGACAATAAAAGTAACCTCCGCTTAGGAGAACAAGAATAACATCAAAAGGTGTACACACATTGTGACATTATTATTAATGACCCGATAGGATATTGGGAATAACATCACAGTGTGTAGAGTCCTGTTACAACAGGATTAACATTCCCCTACAATATGACGAATAATATCGCAGGGTGTATATCCCCTGTGACTTTAGTAGTGGCATCTTGCTAGAATATGGAAAACAATGTTCCAGGGTGTGAACCAAGGGGGGCAGTAGACAAAAGATCCCAGGAAAAAGGGGGGAGTCCTATCAACCCCCTCTCCCCCCGTGAATATGAGGATCCTCGGTGGTCACACAGCGTGTTCACGTTATTGTCAGTAATATCTTCTCCGCCTCTGGAAATTACCAACTATGTCACCGACGGGTGCACATCCTCTGCACTCTTTGGAGTAATAGCATTCTCTTTCCCCTTGATATTAAGAACAATATCACAGGAGTGTTTTTACCCCTAGGGGCATTCCGTGTAGTATCATCCTCTCCCACGATGAAATTAGGAACAATATCACTGGGGGTGTGTCCACCCCGTGCGATATTGAAAGTAATATCATCCTCTTCTCTCCTGGATCATGGGAACCATATCACTGGGGTGGTGTACACTTTCTGCAGTATTGGGAGTAAGATCATCCTCTCCGCCTTGGAATATTAAGGACCATATCACAGTGGGGCTGTACACACCCAGTGCTATTAAGAAGAATATTATCCTCCCCTGCCCTGCACATTGGAAAAAATATCACAGAGTGGGTGTACACCTCCTGTGATGGGGGGGGGGGGGTGATATCATCTTCTCTTCTTCTGGATAGTAGAAACAATATCACACGGGTTTGTACACTTTCTGTGATATTGGGAGTAATATCAACTTCTCCGCCTTTGAATATTAAGAACAGTATCAAGACTGGATGTACACCCCCTGCGATATTGGGAGTAATATCAGCCTCTCCTCTCCATGGATATTAGGAATAATATCCCCGGATGGGTGTACACCTCCTGCTGTGTGGGGAGTCATATCGTCCTCTCGCTTCCGGGCTACTAGGAACAACATTAGAGGGTGGGTGTACACAGCCTGCGATATTGCGAGTAATATCACCCTCTCCCCCTCCGGATATTAGGAACAATGTCACAGAAGGGGTGTACACTTCCTGCCATACTGGGAGTAATAGCATTCTCTTCTTCCGTGAATATTAGGAGCAAAATCACCGGGTGGATGCACACCCAGTGCTATATTGGAAGTAACGTCATACTCCACCCCCTGGAGATTATATTCGGATCAATATCACCGGGTGGGTGTACACCTAGTGCGATATTGAACGGAATATCATGCTCTCTCCCTCCCTGGACATTAGGAACAATATCACAGGTGGGTGTACACCCACTGAGATATTAGGTGTAAGATTCGTATTCATCTTTCCTCATTTATTATTCACATGAATATGAATTACCAATATTAATATTAATAAATAATTGCTAATAAAGTGTTCAGGTTATTAATATTAATATTAATTATTAGGAGCTAATATTACTGTTTTCTAATGAATAAGATCAATATCAGTTATTAATATCAGGCGTTATTAATCATTAATATGAATCATTTATTATCATTTGTATAACTATTTAATATTAATTATCATTATTATTGGTATGATTTTTAAAATTATATTATCAGTTATTAATATTGATAATTATTAGTATCAATTAATAATTGATATTATTAATAGCGATAAGTAATATTGATATTAAAATGGATATTATAGATTATTAATTATTAATTGCATTACTATTATTATTATTAATTGCGATAAGTAATATTGATATTGAAATTGATATTAATTGCGATAAGTAATATTGATATTAAAAGTGATATTATTAATTGCGATAAGTAATATCGTGCCATTCCACTTAATATCTGTGATCTTGTTGCTAATATCCGGGCGGGGACAGCACGGTATTAATCCCAATAATCCAGAAGGTGTAGACCTCCCCTGTGATATTGTCCCTCACATCCAAAGGTGGAGAGGAAGATATATCTCCCAGTTTCGCAGGGGTTGTACACCACCCCTGTGACATTGTTCTTGATGTCCAGGGGTAGAGAAAATGACGTGACTCACAATATGGCAGGGGATGAACACCCCCTCCATGATATTGTTCCTAATATTCAGGGGGGAAGAGTATGATATTTTTCCCAATATGACAGCGGGTGTACTCCCCATATCCCAGGGGGTGGATAGTATCCTGATCTGTGATAGACTCTGCCACGATGCGGGGAGTAATATCATCCCCCTCTCCTTCCCTTGCTATTACGATACACATCGCACGGGGGCGGGCGACCCCCGCGATGCGGGGAGAAATATCACCCCCCCCACCCCCGATATTACGAGCCACATCGCGGGGGGGTAGACACACCCAGTGATGTGGGGAGTAATATATATCCCCCTTCCCCATGGATATTAGGAGCCACATCTCAGGGGCGTGGACACCCTCCGCTGATGCGCAGAGTAATATCAACCCCCTTCCCTCCCTGCATGTTAGCAGCCACTGTGGACACACAGCGTATTTACCATATTTCCAGCAAGATCATCTTTTCCATTGAACCTTATGAACAAGATCACAGAGGGGTGTACACTTCCTGCGATATTGGGGGTAATATCGTTCTCTCCTCCACTGCCTACTGACAACAATATCACAGGGGCGTGTATTCCTCCTTTCATATTGAGAGTCATATCATACTTGCCTTCCATATATGAAGAACAATAGCAAAGAAGGGGGTGGACACTTTGACTATATTAGGAGTAACATCATTCTCTCTACCCCTGGATATTAGTAGCAATATCATAGGGGGATGCACATTTCTTGTGATATTGAGAGTAGTATTGTTGTCTCCCCCGCTGGATATGAAAAACAATACCACAAGGGGCGTGAAACCACCTGCCAAATTTGAGGGAATGTTATCCTCTCCGCCCCCGGATACTAGAGACAATAACACAGGGGTAATGTGCACCCACTGCTTGACTGGGAGAAGTATCATCCTCTCCCTTCTTGGATATTAGGAACAATATCACGGGGCGGGGGGTGGTGTACTGCCTCTGCGATATTGGGAGTAAAACTATCCTCTCTTCCCCTGGATATTAGGAAGTGTATCAGAGGCGGAGGGTGCACATTCCCTGCGATATTCAATGTCATCTTATGCTCTCCCTCCCAGGGTATGAAGAACAATATTACAGGAGGGGTGTACACCCCCTGCGATATTGAGAGTCATATCATCCTCTTTCGCTCTGGATATTAGGAACAATATCACAGGGCTGTGTACGCCCCCTGCGATATTGGGAGTAATATCATCCTGTCGCCCTGAGGAGAGAAGCCATTTCTCTACTGTCTCTTGTCTCTGAAGAGGAGGGGGAAGTAAAACTGGAAAAACAACAGGAATGAAGTCGGTGGCAAGACCAGCTGGTGGCAATGATGAGCCGGCCTGAGATGAAAAGATTAACCACCCCCACTCTAAGCACATGTGCTCTCAATCCATCACGACCCTTTCACGTGGAACCCCTTAGAGTTGTAAGCCCTTAAACGGGCCAGGAACTCTGTCTTCCTTCAGGGAGCTGGGCTCTTAAGATGCGAGTCTGCCGACGTTCCCGGCTGAACAAAAAACCTCTTTCTTCTCGAATCCGCTGTCTGAGGGACTTGGTCCCCTGCTTCTCCTATTTGATTTCTTGGTTCCCTGATCAGGAATCGAATGCGGGCAGCAGCAGTGAGAGCGCCAAATCCCAACCACTAGACCACCAGGGGAACTTAGAACCTTGTCAGAACTAGATTGCCCACCATTAGAAGTGGGTCGGCCATCAGAAGGAAGCCTGGACAGGTCCCTTGTTTCTAAGGTGTGGCACAAGGTAACTGGTAAAGGATACCTAGACCAGTTCGTATACATAGACACTTGGTGACGGCTGGTGCTAGACCCTCCCACAGTGGCTAAGAGGGCAGGCAGCAACAGTACTAGTAGCAAAGGGACAGATACCTAAGGAAGGATCCTGCTCCACCCGCCCAGGGAAATCAACTCCTGAAGTCCTATTCCACCCAGCATAAGAAGATGCATTGCAGGAGATGGCACCAGTGATCCTAGTGGTGCCCTCCCCTTACCAGGGAAAGAGGCTCCCCACTCTTGAGCCCACAGTGCTTGCACCTCCGCAAGACAAGCATATCCCTAGGCCACCGAGAGTAGACAAGAGAGGAGGTGAGGACTTAGGAGAAACCCCTCCCCTGGCAGCTCCTTTACAACCCCAAATGGGGATCCAAATGCCCCCGAGAGAGCAGCGGTATACTGGGATAGATGAGGATGGTCACGTAGTGGAGAGGCGCATTTTTGTGTACCAGCCCTTCACCTCTGCCAACCTTCTCGACTGGCAAAACAATACCCTGTCCTATACTGAAAAGCCACAAGCCCTAATTGATTTGCTCCAAGCTGTTATCCAGACCCACAACCTCACCTGGGCTGACTGCCACCAGTTGCTCATGTTCCTCTTTCACAGAGATGAAAGGCAGAGAGTGCTCCAAGCAGCAACTAAGTGGCTAGAGGAACATACACCAGCTGATTATCAAAAACCCCGAGACTATCTAAGGACCCAGTTAGGAGGAACCAACCCCCAGTGGGACCCACATGAAAGAGGGGATATGCAAAGGCTCAACTGAGACAGGGAAGCTCTCTTGGAAGGATTACAGAGGAGAGCTCAGAAGGCCACAAACGTTAACAAGCTCTCTGAGGTCATTCAGGGAAAAGAAGAAAGTCCAGCACAATTCTACGAGAGACTGTGGGAGGCCTATCATATGTATACTCCCTTTGATCCCGATAGCCCTGATAATCAGCGCATGATTCACATGGCTTTAGTCAGTCAAAGCGCAGAAGACATGAGAAGAAAACTGCAGAAACAGGCTGGGCTTGCAGGGATGAATACATCGCAATAATTAGAAATAGCTAACCAGGTGTTTGTAAACAGGGGTGCAGTAAGCCGTGAGGAAAACTGCAAAGAGAATGAATGTCAGGCCCGGGGAAACACCGACCTGTTTGTTAGCTGCAGCAATCAGAGGGGCCCCCTGAGAGAGGCAAGGGAAGGGGGGCCCTGGGAAAGAAACTCAGCTTGGCTGTCAGAGTTTGCAGTGTAACCAGTGTGCTTATTGTACAGAAATAGGACGTTGGAAGAACAAATGCCCTCAGCTCAAAAGAAAACAAGGTGACTCAGATCAGGAGGCCCCAGACAAGGAGGAAGGGGCCCTGCTCAACCTGGCAGAAAGGTTATTGGACTGAGGGAGACTGGGCTCAAGTGTCCTCAAAGAGCCTCTGGTCAGAACGACAGTCGGGGTAGAGACACTGATTTTCTTGTAGATACCGGTGCTGAACATTCGCTAGTAACCACCCCGGTCGCCCCCTTATCCAAAAAGACTATTGACATCATCGCAGCCACGGGGGTTTCAGCAAAGCAAGCTTTCTGCTTGCCTCGGACTTGTACTGTAGGAGGACCTAAAGTCATTCAGCAGTTTTTGTACACGCCTAACTGTCCCTTGCGCTTGTTGGGAAGGGACTTGCTTAGCAAGCTGAGAGCCACTATCTCTTTGACAGAGCACGGCTCTTTGCTGCTAAAGTTACCTGGAACGGGAGTCGTTATGACCCTTATAGTCTCCCGAGAGGAGGAATGGAGACTTTTCTTCACTGAGCTGGACCAAGAGATAAGACCAGCTCTGGCTAAGCGATGGCCAAGAGTACGGGCGGAAGACAACCCTCCAGGGCTGGCAGTCAACCAAGCCCCTGTACTCATAGAAGTGAAGCCTGGGGCCCAGCCGGTTAGGTAAAAACAGGACCCGGTCCCCAGAGAAGCCCTTCAAGGTATCCAGGTCCATCTCAAGCACCTAAGACCTTTTGGAATTAGAGTTCCTTGTCAGTCTCCATGGAACACTCCCCTCCTGCCTGTTCCCAAGCCACGGACCAAGAACTACAGGCCAGTACAGGATTTGCGCTAGCTTCATCAAGCTATACTGACTTTACATCCAACAGTACCTAACCCGTCCACATTGTTGGGGTTGCTGACAGCTGAGGACAGCTGGTTCACCTGCTTGGACCTGAAAGATGCTTTCTTGCCTATCAGATTAGCCCTTGAGAGGCAGAAGCTGTTTGCCTTTCAGTGGGAAGATCTGGAGTCAGGTGTCACTACTTAGTACACTTGGACTGGGCTTCCCCAAGGGTTCAAGAACTCCCCCACCATTTTCGGGGAGGTGTTGGCTGGAGACTTCCAGAAGTTTCCCAGCAGAGACCTAGGCTGCATGTTTCTCCAGTAGGTTGATGACCGTTTGCTGGGACACCCCACGGCAGTTGGGTGCGCCAAGGGAACAGATGCCCTACACCAGCACCTGGAGGACTGTGGGTAGAAGGTGTCCAAGAAGAAAGCTCAGATCTGCCAACAGCAGGTACATTACTTGGGATTTACTATCCGAAAGGGGGAAGTCAGCCTGGGATCAGAAAGAATGCAGGTCATTTGCAATCTAGCAGAGCCTAAGAGCAGAAGGCAGGTGAGAGAATTCTTAGGAGCCCTGGGGTTTTGTAGACTGTGGATCCCAAATTTTGCAGTATTAGCCAACCTTTGTATGAGGTCACAAGGGGGCGGGGACCAGGAATTTTTGAATGGGGATCCCAACAACAGCAAGTCTTTCATGTGTTAAAGAAAAAACTTATGTCAGCCCCAGCCCTGGGGCTACCTGATCTGACAAAGCCTTTTCCATTGTATGCATCAGAGAGAGAAAAAATGGCAGCTGGACTTTGAACCCAAACTGTGGGGCCCTGGCAGAAAGGATGGCCCCCGTGTTTGAGGGCCTTGGCAGCAACTGCCCTGCTAGTACAAGAAGCACATAAGCTGACTCTTGGCCAAAACCTGAACATAAAGGCCTCCCGTGTTGTGGTGACTTTAATGAATACTAAAGGACGTCATTGGGTAACGAATGCCAGACTCACCAAGTACCAAACTTTGCTCCGTGAAAATCTCCGTATAACCATTGAAGTTTGTAACACCCTAAACCCTGCCACCTTGCTCCCGGTATCAGAGAGCCCTGTCGATCATGATTGTATAGAAGTGTTGGACTCTGTTGACTCTAGCAGACCTGACCTCTGGGACCAGACTTAGGCATCAGCAGACCAGGAACTATAGGTGGATGGGAGCAGCTTCTTCAACCTCCAAAGAGAGAGAGGTGCAGGGTATGCAGTGGTAACCCTGGACACTGTTGTTAAAGCCAGATCTTTGCCCCAGGGCACTTCAGCTCAGAAAGCTGAACTCATTGTTTTAATTTGGGCTTTAGAACTCAGTGAAGGTGAGACTGTCAACATTTACGCTGATCCTCTGTATGCCTTTTTAACCCTTCAAGTGCATGGAGCATGATAGAAAGAAAAAGGCCTGCTGAACTCTGGGGGAAAAGACAGAAAGTAACCACAAGAAATCTTGCAATTATCAGAAGCAGTATGGAAACCCCACAAGGTGGCAGTTGTGCATTGCAGAGGACACCAGCGAGCTTCCACCTTGGTGGGTTTGGGGAACTCCCGTGCTGACTCAGAGCCTCGACAAGCAGCATCTGCCCCCTTCCGGGCATCAGTCACAGCCCCTCTGCTCCCTCAAGCACCTGATCTTGGACCTACTTATTCTAAGGAAGAAAAGGACTTTCTCCAGGTAGAGGGAAGGACAAGTGATGGAGGAAGGATGGATTCAGTTACCAGATGGCAGAGTAGCTGTGCCACAGCTGCTAGGAGCTGCAGTTGTACTGGCTGCGCAGAAAACCACCCATCTAGGTCAGGAGTCACTGGAAAAGTTGGTAGGCTGGTATTTCCACATCTCGCATTTGTCAGCCCTTGTCAAAACGGTGCCCCAGTGGTGTGTTACCTGCCGACAGCATAATGCGAGGCAAGGTCCAGCTGTTCCGTCCGGCATACAAGCTTATGGAGCAGCCCCCTTTGAAGATCTCCAGGTAGACTTCACAGAGGTGCCAAAGTGTGGAGGTAACAAGCATTTACTAGTTCTTGGGTGTACCTACTCTGGGTGGGTGGAGGCTTATCCAACACGAACTGAGAAAGCTCATGAAGTAACCCCTGTGCTTCCTCCAGATCTGATTCCTACATTTGGACTGCCCTTACGGATCGGCTCAGATAACGGGCCTGCGTTTGTGGCTGACTTGGTACAGAAGACGGCAAAGGTATTGGGGATCACACGGAAACTGCATGCCGCCTCCTGGCCTCAGAGTTCTGGAAAGGTGGAGCAGGTGAATCGGACTATCCAAAATAGTATTAAAGTCTTCCCCGCTGCATATTTAAAACAACACCACAAGGGGCGTCAAACCGCCTGCTAAATTTGAGGGAATGTTATCCTCTACTCCCCTCCCCCGGCTCCGGATATTAGAGACAATAACACAGGGATAATGTACACCCACTGCTTTACTGGGAGTAATATCATCCTCTCCCTTCGTGGATATTAGGAACAATATCACACAGTGCGTGTACGTCTGTCGCGACATTCAATGGAATGTCATCCTGTGCCTCCCTGGATATGACGAACAATATCACGGAGGATGTACAACTTCTGAGATATTGGGAGTGATATCAATTTCTCCCTTCTGGAAGTTAGGGACAACATCACAGGGGTGGTGTACAGCCTCTGGGATGTTGGGACTCATATCATCCTCCCGCCCCCTGGATATTAAAAACCATATCACAAGGGGCGTGTACACACACTTCGATGTTGGTATGAATACCATCCTCTCCCTCTTTGGATATTCGGTGCGATATTTCAGGTGGGGTTTACACCACCTGCAATCTTGGAAGTAATATTATTTTCTCCCCCCCGAGGATATTAGAAACAATATCACAGGGGGGTGTGAACAACCCCTGCGATATTTGGAGTAATATCATCGTCTCCCCTCAAGAATATTGAGAGCAGATCGTAGGGGTGGGGTGTGTACACCCCCTTTGATATTTGATATCATCCTCTTCCCCCATGGATATTAGGAACAATACGAGGAAGGGATGTACAGACTCTGTGACATTTGCTGTCATATAATTGTCTCTCCCCTACATATTAGGAAATATGAAACTGGGGATGTGAACAGCCCTGCGATATTGGGAGTAGTATCATCCTGTCCCCACTTGCATATTAGGAACAACATCACAGGAGGGGTGTACTGCCTCTGCGATATTGGGCCTAAAATTATCCTCTCTTCCCCTGGATATTAGGAAGGGTATCAGAGGAGGAGGGTGTACATTCCCTGCGATATTCAATGTCACCTTATCCTCTCCCTCCCAGGGTATTCAGGACAATAGTACAGGAGGGGTGTATACCCCCTGTGATATTGAGAGTCATATCATCCTCTTTCGCTCTGGATATTAGGAACAATATCACAGGGTTGCATAAGCCCCCTTCGATATTGGAAGTCATATCATCCTCTTTCCCTGTGGATATTAGGAAGAGTATCACAGGGCTGTGTAAACCCCCTGCAGTACTGGGAGTAATATTATCCTCTCTCCCTCTGGATATTAGGGAGATTTTCACAAGGGTGTGTACTCCCCCTGCGATATTGGGAGTAAGATCATCCTCTCCACCCAGGAAATGACTAACAAGGTCACGGGAGTTGTACTCCCCCTGCGATATTGGGAGTAATGTCGTTCTCCCCAAACCTGGACGTTAGCAACAAATCACAGAGGGGGTGTACACGCCCTGCGATATTGGAAGCAGTATGATCCTCTCCCCTCCTGGATACTGGGAAAGATATCATAGCGCAGGTGTACATTTCCTACGCTGTTGGGAGTAGTATCATTCTTTTCCTTTCTGGATATAAGGAAGAATATCACAGGGGTGCTGTAGAATTACTTCGATATTGGGAGTAATATCATCCTCTATTTCCCTGGATATTGGGCGCAATAACACAAAAAGTTGTACAACCCCTGCCATATTGGGAGTAATATCATACTCTCCTTCCCTGGAAGTTAGAAAACAATATCAGCAGGGCTGAACACCCCCTGCGATAATGGGAGTAATATTTACTCTTTCACAGGCCATTTGGAGCAATATCACAGGGAGTGTTTACAAACAGGGGTGGTGTACACCCCCTGTGATATTGGAAGTAACATCATTCTCTCCACCTCCGGATATTAGCAACAATATCCCGGCGGGAGGTGGTACACCCCCAGTGATATTGGGAATAATATCATCCTCTCCTTCCCTGGATATTAGGAACAATATCACAGGGGGGTGTACACCTTCTGTGATATTGGAAGCAATATCATCCTCTCCCCCACTGGATATTAGAAAAAATATCACTCATGGTGTACACCCACAGTGATATTAGGAAGAATATTACAGGGTGTACACCCACTTTGACTTTAGGAGAAATAGCTCCCTAAAAGGTCACAAATAATATCACAGGGTATAGAGTAATATCTCCCTAGGATATTACAAATACTATCACAGGGTGTACACCCACTGTGATAACAGGAGTAATACATCCCAAGTATACTACCAATAATATCACAAGGCTGTACACCCACTATGACATAAGGAGTGATATCTCCCTAGGATATTACGAATAACATCACAGAATGTACACCCATGCTGTGCACCCATGGTGATATTAGGAGTAATATCAACCCAGGACGTAACCAATAACACCACAGGGAGTACAGACATGAGGGACACCCACGGTGATATTATAACTATCTCCTTAGGATAATACGAATAACATCACAGAGTGTACACACATGGTACACACCCACTGTGGCACTAGGACTAGTAACTTTCTAAGATATTATGAATAGCATCACAGAGTAGAAACACATGGTGTACACCCACTGTAATATTAGGCGTAATTTCTCCCTAGGATATTACGAGTAACATCTCAGTGTGTATACACCTGGTGTACACGCACTGTGACATTAAGGGTAATATCCACCTAGGATATTATGAATAACATCACAGGGTGTCCACCCATGGTGTACATGCACTGTGATGTTCGGAATAATATCTCCCTAGGATATTACAAATAACACCACAGGGTGTACAGAAACTGTGATATTACAGGTAATATCTCTCTAGGATATTATGAATCATATCACAGGGTGTACACCCACTGTCATACTGGGAGCAATATCTCTCTAGGATAGTACGAATAATATCACAGAGTGTACACTCACTGTGATATGAGGAGAAATATCTTTCTGGGATATTACGAATTAGATCACAGAGTGTACACACATAGTGTACGTCCACTTTGATATTAGGAATAATATGTTCCTAGGACATTACAAATAACATCACAGAGTGTGCACCCACTGTAATATTAGGGATCATATTTCCCTGGGTGATTACAAATAATATCACATGGTGTACGACCACTCTGATGTCAGGAGCAATATCTCCCTAGGATATCAAAAATCATATCACAGGGTGTACAATCTCTGCCTTCCAGGTTCTGAGGGATTCTCCTGCTTCAGTCTCCCGAGTAGCTAGGGTTACCTGCCACCACGCCCGGCTAATGTTTTTTTATTTTCACTAGAGATGGAGTTCCACCACGTTGGCCAGGCTGGTCTGGAACCCCTGATCTCAGGTGATCCATCAGCCTCGGCTGCCCAAAGTGCTGGGATTACAGGTGTGAGCCATCGCGCTCGGCCAAGAGTTCTATATTCAATTAATTTGGAAACACAGCTCCCATATTTGAGTGTGCATGTACTTTTATGAAGAAATGATGTCAGAAAACCTAAGGATGATAATAAATGTGAAAAGTAACTGGCATGGGAA
Organism: Homo sapiens; assembly: GCF_000001405.40. Classification (NCBI taxonomy): domain Eukaryota; kingdom Metazoa; phylum Chordata; class Mammalia; order Primates; family Hominidae; genus Homo; species Homo sapiens. Next base: position 12,704,543 of record NC_000008.11, on the reverse strand, counting down.
AAGGTCTTCCGATTAAGAACTCTAAGGTTCCATTTCGTTTTTAGAGAATGCGGTCCTAGCTCTTGTATCATCCTTTGAGATATTCTACATCAAAGGAATTGGTAGCACGGTGTCAGAATAAAATAGAGTGTATTTCCCTGCTCTTAATTTCTTTCAATTAGTCTGAGATCTTTTTCTTAAAGAGAGAAGAACATTTGTATTGCATTTTGTTTTTTCTGAAAAGAGTAGGCCGTATTTTACTGAGATTAGGGATTTCTTATGTATTACCTTTTGGTCTTCTAACATTCTTCAGTGGATTTTCTCTAAAGTAGTATGTACAGAAAGAGTTGAAGAGGAAAAAAGTAAATCATGTCATAATTCTGAGATTTTGGGGTTTGTCACAACTGAGAAATATTGCTGATGGTGTATGGTCCTCAAGTGTGAAAATATTCCTTGTGAATTGCTGGCATCCAAAATGTGCACACAGCATTAAGGCTGGTTTTTATCTTTTCATTTTTCCAATCCTCTTTTCTTCTCAAGGTGTCCAAGTCACACAGAGCCACGGAATCTCACAGGTGTCTGAAAAGTGCTCCTGGGACTCTCTCTGAGAGGATCCAGAACTGCAGCCCATCCTCGCTGGGCTGTCCCTGTCCATGTATCTGGTCACGGTGCTGAGGAACGTGCTCATCATCCTGGCTGTCAGCTCTGACTCCCACCTCCACACCCCCATGTACTTCTTCCTCTCCAGCCTGTGCTGGGCTGACATCGGTTTCACCTCGGCCACTGTTCCCAAGATGACTGTGGACATGCAGTCGCATAGCAGAGTCATCTCTTATGTGAGCTGCCTGACACAGATATCTTTCTTGGTCCTTTTTGCATGTATGGAAGACATGCTCCTGTGATGGCCTATGACAGAGTTGTGGCCATCTGTCACCCCCTGCACTATCCAGTCATCATGAATCCTCACCTTCGTGTCTTCTTAGTTTTGCTGTCCTTTTTCCTTAGCTTGTTGGATTCCCAGCTGCACAGTTGGATTGTGTTACAATTCACCTTATTCAAGAATGTGGAAAACTCTAGTTTTGTCTGTGACCCCTCTCAACTTCTCAACCTTGCCTGTTCTGACAGCGTCATCAATAGCATATTCATATATTTCGATAGTACTATGTTTGGTTTTCTTCCCATTTCAGGGATCCTTTTATCTTACTATAAAATTGTCCCCTCCATTCTAAGGATGTCATCATCAGATGGGAAGTATAAAGCCTTCTCCACCTATGGCTCTCAACTGGCAGCTCTTTGCTGATTTTATGGAACAGGCATTGGCATGTACCTGACTTCAGCTGTGGCACTACCCCCCAGGAATGGTGTCGTGGCATCAGTGATGTAGGCTGTGGTCACCCCCATGCTGAACTTTTTCATCTACAGCCTGAGAAACAGGGACATACAAAGTGCCCTGCGGAGGCTGCGCAGCAGAACAGTCGAATCTCATGATCTGTTCCATCCTTTTTCTTGTGTGCGTGAGAAAGGGCAACCACATTAAATCTCTGCATCTGCAAATCCTGCCCCTTAGTCACATTATTTTTGTGGCTTGATGGCTTTTATTCCTTTCCGCATTTCCTATGCGAATATTGCTTTCTTTGTTATGTCTTTAACTGCAATGGGTGAGGATTCTGGGATCCTTTGTTGAGCAGAAACCTCATGACTGAATCCTCTATATCTAGGCAGCCTCCTTTAGTTTCTGCGCAATAACACTGTCATCCAGGTGGAATCACAACCATCTTTTTATACACACGAAGTCCTCACTTCATTTTGGAATTCCCTGAAAATTGACTTTATGGAGACAATGTACAGAAGGTCCTCCGACACCATTGGTGTGTTCAAAGTTGTTTGGTTATAATATTGGTGAGGAATCCGTGGTTTCACTATACAGAATTTTGCCTAAAGGTGAGGTTTCCAAGAGACTTTCAAAGATGTTAAGTGAGGATATACTGTACATGAAATTCATATCCTCTTCCAGAGTTTATGTGGAATTTCTTTATAAACTGTTCTAGAGAATCTATTTAGGCAGTTTGTGTGTAGAGATCCATGTCACTGGTCCTCAATCTTGGTTTTGAGTCATATGAACTGGGGAGCTTACAAATGATGAGGCCTGGGTCTCAATACCTGAGATTCTGATTTACTTGCACCTGTGTGAGTATGTGGTTTTTTTTTTTTTTTTTTTTAAGCACCAGAGGTTGTTCCTATGAAGAAGTTTTTAGAGGCATCAAGCTCCAATGAGTAAGAAGAGAAGTTAATTGTAATCTGATTTCTTCAACTATGATCTTCAAATGCATTGTCCATCAACACCATACAAATGTTTATTATGCTGTTTTTTCTTACCATTTAGCATGTTCTATTTTGTTTCTTTTTCTTTGTTTTTGTTGAGGCAGAGTTTCACTCTTGTTGCCCAGGCTGGAGTGCAATGGCATGATCTCAGCTCACTGTAAACTCCGCTTCCCATATTCAAGCAATTCTCCTGTCTCAGCCTTCCAAGTAGCTGGGATTACAGGCATGCGCTACCATGCCTGGCTAATTTTTTATTTATTTTATTTATGTTTGTATCTTAACTGGATACAGTGTTTCTCCATATTGGTGAGGCTGGTCTTGAACTCCCGATCTCAGGTGATCCGCCCTCTTCAGCCTCCCAAACTGCTGGGATTACAGGCGTGAGTGACCACGCCCAGCCACCACTTAGCATTTTCATTTTACATTTCTTCAAGTTGGAGATTTATACACACATTGATTGCTGCTTTGTTATACACTCACATATACATAAGATGGGAAATAGAAAAGAATAAAATGGGCACAGTATCCCTGAAGTTTCACATTCCGAGATATTTTAAAAATATTTCCTTTTTAGAAATTTGTTTCAATTTAGAAACTGTGGTATGCACACACAATGAAGTATTATTCAGCCTAAAAAGGAATGAAATCCTCTCCACTGCAGACAAAATGGATGAGATGGCAGGTCTGTATATGAAGTGAAATAAACCAGGCAGAGAATGACAAATATTTCATGTCCTCACTTATATGTAGGAACAAAAAAGAAAATCTTGGCCAGGTGTGGTGGCTGAGGCCTGGAATCCCAGCATCTTGGAAGACAGAGATTGGCGGATCACCTGAGGTGAGGAATTCAAGACCAGCCTGACCATCTTGGTGAAACCCTGTCTCTACAGAAAATGCAAAAAAATTAGACGAGCGTGGTGGCATGTGCCTATAGTCCCAGCTACTCAGGAGGCTGAGGCACAAGAATCGCTTGAACCTGGGAGGCGGAGGTTGCAGTGAGCCCAGATTGTGCCACTTCACTCCAGCCTGTGTGACAGAGTGAGACTCCATGTAAACACAAAACAAAACAAAACCAAGAAAGAAAGAAAGAAAGAAGGAAACAGAGAGAGAGAGAGAGACAGAAAGAAAGAAAGAAAGAAAGAAGGAAAGAGAGAGAGAGAGAGAGACTGAAAGAAAGAAAGAAAGAAAGAAAGAAAGAAAGAAAGAAAGAAAACAAAAAAACCAGACAGGCAGTTCTGACACAGGCTGCAACGTGGATGAACCTTGAAGACATTATCGTCAGTGAAGTAAATAAATCCCAAAAGGATAAACACGACCAGGCTCAGTGGCTCGCACCTGTAACCCCAGCACTTTGGGGCGCTGACGCAGGCAGATCACTTAAGGTCAGGAGTTCGAGACCAGCCTGGCCAATAAGGTGAAAGCTCGTCTCTATTAAAAATACAAAAATTAGCTGGGCGTGGTGGCGCACACCTGTAATCCCAGCTACTCGGGAGACTAAGACACAAGAATCGCTTGAATCCCCGATGTGGAGGTTGCAGTCAGCCCAGACCATGCCACCGCACTCCAGCCTGGGCTACAGAGAAAGACTCTGTCTCCAAAACAAACAAATAAAAAAATTAAACACGGTAGGATTCCACCTACATCAAGGGTCTAGAGTAGTTAAACTCATAGAGCTGCAAAATAGAATGGTGGCCCCCAGGGATGGGCGAGAGAGAGGAATGGAGAGTTTGGTTAATGGGTGCAATTTCCATTTTGAAAGATAAAACTGTTCTGGAGATGATGGCGGTGATGGTTGCTAAACACTGTGAATGTACCTAATGTGATTAAACTGTAAACTGAAAAATAGTGGAAATTGTCAATGTTGATACTGGCCATTCTATATGAAATAATATATATTTATAATTTTTAAGATGTATACGTGGTATATTTTCCCATCATAACAGATGAAAACAAAAGCACTTCGGTCTTGCAAAAGGAAAGAAAGAAGCGAATAATCCACACAAGCTTCCTCCTGATTAGAGGAAAAGCCCCAGAGCTTCTATGGACACTCACTTTTCTCTTCTTCTTTCATAATTATGAGGAAATCCTTAGAGGTTGGGGAACTTGGGCGACTTTGGCTAATGAGGAGCTCTGTGCCTTGAGCCTCCCAGGCCACAGAATAGTAAATAGTCAGTCTGTGCCTCCAGCCCTGCATGTGAGGTTCCAGTCCTGTGGGTTCCACACCCGTCACCTGTATCAGGAGGCTCATGTCTCACCCTGTCTTCTTGCCAGCCTTGAGGACGGAGTCTGAGCCCCCAATGTGCACCACGCAGGGAGGACAGTGGACCTGTTCTCCGTGGTCATGGCCCAGCAGAGGGGAAGGGCGGTTCCGTGAGTGCTGAGGGACGGTCGGGAGCCTTGTTTGGTTTCCTCCTCCTCAGGACAAACAGGAGAGTGCCGTGGGCAGATGGGAGGAGACCAATGTGCAAACTGTCAGCTCAGCAGACTGTGGAGTTTCTGTTCTTGGTTATGGTGGGGGGGTCTCTCTCGGAAATCTCATTCAAAATGTTGCTTTCCTCCCCAACTGGTTATCCTTTTCATAGACATCTCACCCATGATAGCAGGGAATGAGTCCCTCTAAACTAATCCATCAGAACAACAAAAAGAGGATGAAGGTGATGATGAGGATAAAGACGATGATGACGGACACCATGGCATCATGAACCCTTACTGAGGGTTTCCTGAAGGCCAGGCTCTGAGCTCTGTGCTCTATGCAGCTTGTTTCATTTCATCTGCATAGTCTCCACGTTATTAGTGCACATTTCATGATGATTTTACAGACTAGAAAAGGAGCAACGCATTTTCATAGAACTTGTAGCAGATCGTGAAGTCAAAAAGGGTGAAGTCCAATTTGAACCAGGCAGTCTAAGTCCAGACACATGGCATTTGGCCAGTTCTCTCCCTGCATCCAACCTGCCTTCTGAAATCCTTGTCACTCAGGCCGACGCCCCTGCTCCCTGTGCCCTTCCCTTTGGGGGTCCCTTGTAGAACACAGCTAGAGCAGTGGGTGCCACAATCACTGCGTCAAGTATGGAAAGGGTAGCTGAGATCACATCAAAGATTCCAGAAAGAATGGGCACAGGATCATTCGGGATGCCTCTCTCCCTTGCCCCTGTTCCTGGCTTTCCTTACAGCTCTGGGCTTCCTCAAAGGGGTCATCAATTCAGAGTTTGGCTTCCATTCATATTGAGGAAGCTAGAAACCATTTCAAAAATGCTCCTCCAATGTGCCTGTGATTAAGACCTCTGAGCTCTGCTTAAAACTTTTTGAAGCTGGGCGCGGTGGGTCATGCCTGTAATCCCAGCACTTTGGGAGGCTGATGCAGGTGAATAACAAGGTCAGGTGTTCGGCTGAGGCAAGAGAACAGCTTGAACCTGGGATGCGGAGGTTGCAGTGAGCCGAGATCTGTCCATTGCACTCCTGCCTGGGCAACAGAGCGAGAATCCATCTCAAAGAAACAAAAACAAAACCCCCCAAAAAAACCCCACAACTTTTTGAGAGTTGGGAGACCATCAAGTATAGTACCTGGGACTTAGAGTCTGGCCATTAATTTTCAGTACCACCCTTTCTACTTATCTGTATGGCAAGGGGTGAGATGTCCATCCTCTGGGACTCAGCACTCTCATCTGAGTTGATTTCTAGTTGATCCAATAGAACTGAGCGATGATTAAACAGATCGTCGGTGCCCTTCGTTAATATTTTAGGCTTAAACTCCACACAGTCCAACAGAAATATCCCCTGACCTGAAGTTCTGGTTTCCCTGTATTCCACGCAGGACATTTTTTTTGTCCTTCTCTCAGTAAGTACTGGGTACTGTGAGAGGAACAAGTGAGTCTCTTTTGTTTCTGATTCCCCAGAGCCGATATCTTGCTTGGCATACAGGAGACAGCAAAAGTAAAAATCTATGTGAATTATTGAATTGACACTTCCTTGGTTCACAAAAATTGGCTGTCATCAGTGTGACATCAGTGTGACAGAGTGCGTGTTTTTTATTTTTTGTTTTTTGAGATGGAATTTTGCTCTTGTTGCCCCGGCTGGAGTGTAGTGGTGTGATCTCGGCTCACTGTAGCCTCTGCCTCCCAGGTTCAAGCCATTCTCCTGCCTCAGCCTCCCGAGTAGCTGGGACTACAGGCACGCGCTGCCATACCGGGCAAAGTTTTTGTATTTTTAGTAGAGGCGGGGTTTCACCACGTTGGCCAGGATTGTCTTGATCTCCTGACCTCGTGATCCGCCCTCCTCGGCCTCCCAAAGTGCTGGCATTACAGGCGTCAGCCACCGCGTCCAGCCAAATGTTCTGATGAAAACTCTAAGTCCACCTAACCTAAGGACAGGAGTTAGAGCTTCCATGAATTTTAAAACAAGACCCACCGATTTGAGGAAGCAATTACTCTCTGGAAGGAGAAAAGTCAGAAAACATAATGACAAAATCACTAGGACCTATCTGGCCTGTGGAACTATTTTCTGCTTATGAACTATCAACTTTCATTTCATTTCCAGATGGCATCGTCTCAGCTGTTATACAGTGCTTATAAATCTTCTACATCAAGGGAATTTGTATCAGTGTATTCGAATCAAAGAAAATGAGATCTTAATTTCCTTTAATTAGAATAACCTTTTTCTTAAAGTGAGGAAAATGGTTCCATTACAGAGTTTTCTTCGGAAAAGATAGGCTGTATTTTCTAGTAATTGTGAATTTGTTCTATATTATGATCTGGTTCTTGGAACATTCTTGAATCTAGTGTCTCTAAGACAGGTGTGTACAGCAAGAAGTGAATAACACAGAAATCAATGATGAAAGCATTAGAAGACAATTAAGTTTGTCAGAACTGCAAAATATTGCTGAGTGTGGATTGTTCTGAAATCTGAAAACATGACTTGTGAATTGCTTCTATCCAAAGTGCAGACACGATGCTGGGTGTTGGTTTACTTGTTTCCGATTTTTGAACCCTCTTTCCTAGGCAAAAGGTGTTCAATCTCTACATACCCGCAGAATTTAACAGATGTCTCTTTATTCCTCCTCCTAGAAGCTCAGAGGATCCAGAACAGCAGCCTGTCCTCGCTGGGCTGTTCCTGTCCATGTGCCTGGTCACGGTGCTGGGGAACCTGCTCATCATCCTGGCCGTCAGCCCTGACTCCCACCTCCACACCCCCATGTACCTCTTCCTCTCCAACCTGTCCTTGCCTGACATCGGTTTCACCTCCAGCATGGTCCCCAAGATGATTGTGGACATCTAATCTCACAGCAGACTCATCTCCTAGGCAGGCTGCCTGACTCCCATGTCTCTCTTTGCCATTTTTGGAGGCATGGAAGAGAGACATGCTCCTGAGTGTGATCCCTATGACCCGTTTGTAGCCATCTGTCACCCTCTATATCATTCAGCCATCATGAACCCGTGTTTCTGTGGCTTTCTAGTTTTGTTGTCTTTTTTTTCTCAGTCTCTTTTAGACGCCCAGGTGCACAACTTGATTGCCTTACAAATGACCTGCTTCAAGGATGTGGAAATTCCTAATTTCTTCTGGGAACCTTCTCAACTCCCCCATCTTGCATGTTGCGACACCTTCACCAATAACATAATCATGTATTCCCCTGCTGCCATATTTGGTTTTCTTCCCATCTCGGGGACCCTTTTCTCTTACTATAAGATTGTTTCCTCCATTCTGAGGGTTTCATCATCAGGTGGGAAGTATAAGGCGTGCTCCACCTGTGGGTCTCACCTGTCAGTTGTTTGCTGATTTTATGGAACAGGCTTTTGGGGGTACCTCAGTTCAGATGTGTCATCTTCCCCGGGAAAGGCTGCAGTGGCCTCAGTGATGTACACGGTGGTCACCCCCATGCCGAACCCCTTCATCTACAGCCTGAGAAACAGGGATATTAAAAGTGTCCTGCGGCGGCCGCACGGCAGCACAGTCTAATGTCAATATCTCCTTATCTGTTCCATGCCTTTTGTAGTGTGGGTTAAAAAAGGCAGCAAGGTCAAATAAGAATGATATCACAGGGTGAACACGCACTGTGATATTAGGAGTAATACCTCCCTAGGATATAGAACATACTGTCATAGAGTATACACATATGGGGTACACTCACTGTGATATTAGAAGCAATATCTCCCTAAAGTATGATGAAAAATATCACAGGGTGTGCACTCTGTGTGATATGAGGAGTAATATTTACCCTGGATATTACGACTAATATCAAGGGTGTACACACACGAGGTACACGCACTGTGACATCAGGAGTTGTATCTCCCTAGGATATTATGAATACTATCACAGGGTATACACTGTGTGTGTACATCCACTGTGACATTTGAAGTAATATCTCTCTATGAGATTATAAGTAACATCAAACTGTGTACGCCCCTGTGACATATTAGGAGTAACATCTTTCTAGGGTATTACAGATAACGTCACAATGTGTACACCTCCTATGACGTTTTGTACACTCTTTGTGACATTAAAAGAAACATCCCCCTAGGATATTGTGAATAATGACACAGGAGGCGTACACACATGGTGTACACTGCCTGTGTCATCAGGAGTAACATTCCCCTAGGATATTACAAATAATATCACAGCAGGTGTACACGCATGGTGTACACCCCATGTGACATTCAGAAGAGTATGCCCCTAGGTTATTAGGAATAGTGTCACAGGCGTGGAATACACATTTTTAATGCGTAATGTCACCCCCGGTGACATTAAAAATAACATCCCCCTTGTATATTACGAATAATATGACAGGGAGTACACCCCGTGTGACATTAGGAGTAACATCCCCCGAGGATATAACGAATAATATCAGAGGGTGTACATGCATTGTGACTTTAGTAGTAACATCTCTTTAGGATATGACAAATAATATCACAGGCTGTACAGGCATTGTGACATCAGTAGTAACATCCCTCTGGGATATGACGAGTCATATCACAGGGCGTACACCCCCGTTACAATAGTAGCAGCATTCCCATAAAATATTATGAATAATATCACAGCAGGTACAGCCCCTGTGATTTACGAGTAACATGTCTATAGACTATTACAACTCATATCACTGTGTGACTCTGTGTACACCCCGTGTGACTTTAGGAGTAACACCCTACAAAACTATGAGGAAAAATATCACAGGGTGAACACCCCCTGTGAGCTGAGGAATAACGTAGTTTTAGGATATTGTGAATGAAGTGACGAGGTGTACACACCCTGTGACGTTAGGAGTAATATCCGTCTAGGATGTTAGGAAGAATATCACACGGAACACACCCCTTGTGACGTTAGGATATGACAAATAACATCACAAGGTGGACACGCATCATGGCATTAGTGCTAATATCCCTCTGGTACACTGTGAATAATATCACAGGGTGTACATCCCTGTGACATTTGGAGTAACATCCCCCAAGAATAGTAAGAATAATAACACGGGGTGTACACCCCCTGTGACATGAGGAGTATCATCTCGCTAGAATGTTAACGGATAATGTCACAGGGTGTTATCGACGGTGCCAATAGGAGTATAGACCCCTGGGAAATTATGAATAATATCACAGGGTGTACAGCCCTCTGACATTAGGAGTAACATCTTTCTAGATTACCACAAATAAAATCACAATGTGTACACCCCCTGTGTCATTAAAAGTAAAATTGCCCCAGGATATTACGAAATAGAACACAGGGAGCACACCCCGTGTGACATTAGAAGTAACATCCCCCGAGGATATAACGAATAAAATCAGAGAACGTACCTGCATTGGGACATCAGTAGTAACATCTCTTCAGGACATTACGAATAATATCAAAGGGTGTACACGCATTGTGAAACTAGTAGTGAACTCTCGCTAGGATATTACAAATATTATGACAGGGTCTACAGGCCCTGTGACATTAAAAGTAACGTTTTCCTAGAAGATTACGAAGAATATTAAAGGGTGTACAGGACCTGTGAATTACGAGTAACATTTCCATAGCATATTGCACGAAACATCACTGTGTGTACACGCCGTGTGACATTAGAGGTAACATCCCACAAAATTATAACGAATAATTTCAGAAGGGGCGCACCCTCTGTGACATTAAAAGTAACATGTCCCTAGAATACGACGACAAGATCACAGAGTGTACACCCTCTGTGATATGAGCAGTGACATCTTATGAGGATAATACGGGTAATTTGACAAGGTGTACAAACCCTGTGACATAAGAAGTGACATCCCTCTAGGATGTTATGAATACTATCAAAGGGAACATACCCCGTGTGACAATAAAAGTAACCTCCGCTTAGGAGAACAAGAGTAACATCACAAAGTGTACACACATTGTGACATTATTATTAATGACCCGCTAGGATATTGGGAATAACATCACAGTGTAAAGAGTCCTGTGATATCAGGTTTAACAATCCCCAACAAAATTACGAAAAATATTGAAGGGTGTATAGCCCCTGCGACTTTAGCAGCCGCATCTTGCGAGAATATGGAAGATAATGGGCCAGGGCGTGAAACGAGGGTGGCAGTACAGAAAGAATCCAAGGAAAAATCGGGGAGCAATATCACTCCCCACGACCCGCCTTAGATATGACGAAGCACATCGCAGGGGGGTGAGGAGCACCCCACGATGCGGGGAGCCATATCACCCCGCTCTCGCCTCCTGGATATGACGATCCACATGGCAGGGGGGTGAGGCGCCTCCCGCGATGCGGGGAGTAAGAGCCAGCCCCTCTTGCCCGCCTGGCTCTTAGGATCCGCGGTGGTCTCACAGCCTGTTTATCATATTGTGAGTAATATCATCTCCCCTTCTGCAGATTATGAACTGTTTCACAGACCTGTGTACACCCTGGATGTGCAGAAGTTGTACACTCGTCTGTATTGGGAGTCATATCATCCTCTTCCTCCCTGAATATTAGGTACAGTATCTCAGGGCTGTTTCTACTCCCTGGGATATCGGGTGTCATGTCCTCCTGTCCCACGTTGCAATTAGAAACAATATCATTGGGGGCATGTCCGCCTTTTCTGATATTGAAAGTAATATTATCCTCTTCCCTCCAGGATCATGCCAACAATATCCTTGGGGGTGTCCCCTTTCTGCCGTATATGTCGTCACATCACCCCCTCGGCCTTGGAATATTTTTAGGGACCATCTCACTCGGGGGTGTACACTTCCTGCTATTTTGGGAGTAACAGCATTCTCTTCTTCGGTGAATATTAGGAGCAAAATCAACGGGTGGATGCACACCCAGTGCTATATTGGGAATAACGTCATACTCCACCCCCTGGAGATTATATTCAGATCAATATCACCGGCTGTGTGTACACCTACTGCGATATTGAACTTAATATCATACTCTCTCCCTCACTGGACTTTAGGAGCAATATCACAGGTGGGTGTACACCCACTGAGGTATTAGGGTGTAATATGAGCATGAATTATACCTCATTTATTATTAACATCAATATGAATGACCAATATTAATATTAATATTAAGAAATAATTGCTAATAAATAGTTTTCAGATTATTAATATTAACAAGAATTATTAGGAGCTAATATTACTGTTTTCTAATGAATAAGATCAATATCAGTTATTAATATCAGGCCTCATTAATCATTAATATTAATCATGTATTATTATCGTTAGCATAAATATTTAATATTAATTATCATTATTATCAGTATTGATTTTAAAAATTATATTATGGGTTATTAATATTGATAAATATTAGTGTGAATTAATAATTGAGATTATTAATTGCGGCAAGTCGCATTGCGCCATTGCACCCCTCCCTCGGCAGCTCGTTTATGACCCTAAACCGGGACACAAATGCCCCTGATAGAGCAGGGGTAGACTGGGATAGATGAGGATGGTCACGTGGTGGAGAGGCGTGTTTTTGGGTACCAGCCCTTCACCTGCGTCGACCTTCTCAACTGGAAAAACAATACACCGCCCTATACCGAAAAGCCACAATCCCTAATTGATTTGCTCCAAGCTGTTATCCAGACCCACAACCACACCTGGGCTGATTGGCACCAGTTGCTCATGTTCCTCTTTAACTGCGAAGAAAGGCGGAGAGTCCTCCAAGCAGCAACTAAGTGGCTAGAGGAACATGCACCAACTGAGTATCAAAACCCCCAAGACTATGGAAGGACCCAGTTGCCAGGAACCGACCCCCAGTTGGACCCACATGGAAGAGAGGATATGCCAAGGCTAAACCGAGACAGGGAAGCTCTCTTGGAAGGATTAATGAGGGGAGCTCAGAAGGCCACAAATGTTAACAAGCTCTCTGAGGTCATTCAGGGAGAAGAAGAAAGTCCAGCACAATTCTACGAGAGACTGTGGGAGGCCTATCGTATGTATACTCCCTTTGATCCCGATAGCCCTGAAAATCAGCGCATGATTCCCATGGCTTTAGTCCGTCAAAGCGCAGAAGACATGAGAAGAAAACTGCAGAAACAGGCTGGGCTTGCAGGGATGAATCCATCCCAATTACTAGAAATAGCTGGCCAGGTGTTTGTAAACAGGGATGCAGTAAGCCGTAAGGAAAACGACAAAGAGAATGGAAGTCAGGCCCGGCGACACGCCGACCTGTTTGTCAGCTGCATCAATCAGAGGGGCCCCCCAACAAAGAGGCAAGGGAAGGAGGGCCCTGGGAAAGAAACTCAGCTTGGCTGTCAGAGTTTGCAGCGTAACCAGTGTGCTGATTGTAAAGAAATAGGACAGTGGAAGAACAAATGCCCTGAGCTCAAAAGAAAACAAGGTGACTCAGAGCAGGAGGCCCTGGACAAGGACGAATAGGCCCTGCTCAACCTGGCAGAAGGGTTCTTGGACTGAGGGAGACCGGGCTCAAGCGTCCCCATTGAGCCTCTGGTCAGAATGAGAGTCGGGGGTGGAGACATTGACTTTCTTGTAGATAGCGGTGCTGAACATTCGGTAGTAACCGCCCCGGTCACCCCCTTATCCAAAAAGACTACTGACGTCATCGGAGCCAAGGGGGTTTCAGCAAAGCAAGCTTTCTGCTTGCCTCGGACTTGTACTGTAGGAGGACATAAAGTCATTCATCAGTTTTGGTACATGCCTGACTGTCCCTTGACCTTTTCGTTAAGGAACTTGCTCAGCAAGCTGAGAACCACTATCTGTTTGACAGAGCACGGATCTTCGTTGCTAAGGTTACCCAGAACGGGAGTCATTATGACCCTTACGGTCCCCCGAGAGGAGGAATGGAGACTTTTCTGAACTGAGCCGGGCCAAGAGAGAAGACCAGCTCTGGCTAAGCGGTGGCCAAGAGTACGGGCAGAAGACAACCCTCCGGGATTTGCCAGTTAAGACTGGGGCCCTGCCAGTAAGGCAAAAACAGGAGCCGGTCCCCAGAGAAGCCCTTCAAGGTATCCAGGTCCATCTCAAGCACCTAAGAACTTTTGGAATGATTGTTCCTTGTCAGTCTCCATGGAACACTCCCCTCCTGCCTGTTCCCAAGCCATGGACCAAGGACTACCGGCCGGTACAGGATTTGCGCTTGCTTCATTAAGCTACACTGACTTTACATCCAACAGTACCTAACCCGTCCACATTGTTGGGGTTGCCGCCAGGTGAGGACAGCTGGTTCACCTGCTTGGACTTGAAAGACGGTTTCTTTCCTATCAGATTAGCCCCTGAGAGGCAGAAGTTGTTTGCCTTTCAGTGGGAAGATCCAGAGTCAGGTGTCACTACTCAGTACACTTGGACCGGGCTTCCCCAAGGGTACCATCTTCGGGGAGGCATGGGCTCCAGACCTCCAGAAGTTTCCCAGCAGAGACCTAGGCTGCGTGTTGCTCCAGCAGGTTGATGACCTTCTGCTGGGACACCCCACGGCAGTCGGGTGTGCCAAGGGAAAAGATGCCCTACACCGGCACCTGGAGGACTGTGGGTAGAAGGTGTCCAAGAAGAAAGCTCAGAACTGCTGACAGCAGGTACGTTACTTGGGATTTACTATCTGACAGGGGTCGGAACGCAGCCCGGGATCAGAAAGAAAGCAGGTCATTTGCCATCTAGCAAAGCCTAAGAGCAGAAGGCAGGTGAGAGAATTCTTAGGAGCCGTGGGGTTTTGTAGACTGTGGGTCCCAAACTTTGCACTATTAGCCAAGCCTTTGTATGAGGTCACAAAGGGGGTGGGGACAGGTAACCTTTGGAATGTGGATCCCAACAACAGCAAGTCTTTCATGAGTTAAAGGAAAAACTTCTGGCAGCGCCAGCCCTGGGGCTACCCAATCTGACAAAGCCTTTTCTATTGTATGCATCAGAGAGAGAAAAGATGGCAGCTGGAATTTCAACCCAAACTGTGGGGCCCTGGCCGAGGCCGGTGGCCTACCTCTCTCAACAACTAGACGGGGTTTCTAAACGATGGCCCCCCTGTTGGAGGGCCTTGGCACCAACTGCCCTGCCAGTATAAGAAGCAAATAAGCTGACTCTTGGGCAAAACCTGAACATAAAGGCCTCCCGTGCTGTGGTGACTTTAATGAATACTAAAGGACATCATTGGCTAACGAATGTCAGACTCACCAAGTACCAAACTGCTCTGCGAAAATCCCCTCATAACTATTGAAGTTTGTAACACCCTACACCCTGCCACCTTGCTCCCAGTATCAGAGAGCCCTGTTGATCATGATTGTATAGAAGTGTTGGACTCTGTTGACTCTAGCAGACCTGACCTCCGGGACCAGCCTTGGGCATCAGTAGACTGGGAACTATACGTGGATGGGAGCAGCTTCTTCAACCCCCAAGGAGAGAGAGGTGCAGGGTATGCAGTGATAACTCTGGACACTGTTGTTGAAGCCAGATCGTTGCCCCAGGCCACTTCAGTCCAGTAAGCTGAACTCATTGCTTTCATTCGGGCCTTAGAACTCAGTGAGGGTGAGACTGTCAACATTTACACTGATTCTCGGTATGTCTTTTTAACCCTTCAAGTGCATGGAGCGTGATAGAAAGAAAAGGGCCTATTGAACTCTGGGGGAAAAGACAGAAAATATCAAGAAGAAATCTTGCAATGATTAGGAGCAGTATGGAAACCCCACAAGGTGGCAGTTGTGCATTGCAGAAGACACCAGCGAGCTTCCACCTTGCTGGGTTTGTGGAATTCCCGCGCTGACTCAGAGGCTCGAAAAGCAGCATCTGCACCCTTCTGGGCATCAGTGCTCCCTCAAGCACCTGATCTTGGACCTACTTCTTCTAAAGAAGAAAAGGACTTTCTCCAGGTAGTGGGAAGGACAAGTGATGGAGGAAGGATGGATTCGGTTACCAGATGGGAGAGTAGCTGTGCCACAGCTGCTAGGAGTCGCAGTTGTACTGGCTGTGCAAGAAACCACCCATCGAGGTCAGGAGTCACTGGAAAAGTTGTTAGGCCGGTATTTCTACATCTCGCCTTTGTCAGCCCTTGCCAAAACGGTGAGGCAGCGGTGTGTTACCTGCGACAGCATGATGCGAGGCAAGGTCCAGCCGTTCCGCCCGCCATAGAAGCTTATGGAGCAGCCCCCTTTGAAGGTCTCCAGGTGGACTTCACAGAGATGCCAAAGTGTGGAGGTAACAAGTGTGTACTAGTTCTTGGGCGTACCTACTCTGGGTGGGTGGAGGCCTATCCAACACGAACTGAGAAAGCTCGTGAAGTAACCCCTGTGCTTCTTCGAGATGTGATTCCTAGATTTCAACCGCCCTTACAGATCGGCTCAGAAAATGGGCCTGCGTTTTTGGCTGCCTTGGTACAGAAGACGGCAAAGGTATTGGGGATCACACGGAAACTGCATGGCACCTCCCGGCCTCAGAGTTCCGGAAAGGTGGAGCGGATGAATCGGACTATCAAAAATAGTACTATTGTCTTCCCCTCTGGATATTTAAAAGAACACCACAAGGAGCGTCAAACCACCTGCTAAATTTGAGGGAATATTATCCTCTCCCCTCCTCCCCTGGCCCCGGATATTAGAGACAATAACACAGGGGTGATGTACACCCACTGCTTTATTGGGAGTAATATCATCCTCTCCCTTCATGCATATTAGGAACAATATCACACGGTGGGTGTAGGCCTGTCGCGAAATTCAATGGAATGTCATCCTGCTCCTCCCTGGATATGAAGTACAACGTCACGGGGGATGTAGAACTTCTGAGATATTGGGAGTGATATCATCCTCTCCCCTCTGCAAGTTAGGGACAATATCACAGGGGTAGTGTACACCCTCTGGGATGTTGGGACTAATATCATCCTCCCGCCCCCTGGATATTAAAAACCATATCACAAAGGGCGTGTACACACACTTCGATATTGGTGTGAATACCATCCTCTCCCTCTTTGGATATTCGGTGCCATATTTCAGGTGGGGTTTACACCACCTGCAATATTGGAAGTAATATGCGTTTCTCCCCCTCTGGATATGAGAAACAATATCACAGGGGTTTGTGAACAACCCCTGCGATATTTGGAGTAATATCATCGTCTCCCCTCACGATTATTAAGAACAATATCGTAGGGGGGGATGTACACCCCCTTTCATATTTGATATTATCCTCTTCCCCCCTAGATATTAGGAACAATATCAGGAAGGGATGTACATACCCTGTGACCTTTGCTGTCATAGAATTTTCTCTCCCCTAGATATTAGGAAAAAATGTCACTGGGGATGTGAACAGCCCTGCGATATTGAGAGTAGTATCATCCTCTCCCCCCTTGCATATTGGGAACAACATCACAGGTGGGGTGTACTGCCTCTGTGATATTGGGAATGAAATTTTCCTCTCTTCCCCTGGACATTAGGAAGGGTATCAGAGGGAGAGGGTACACATTCCCTGCGATATTCAATGTAACCTTGTCCTCTCCCTCCCAGGGTACTCAGAACAATATTACAGGAGGGGTGTACACCCTCTGCGATATTGAGAGTCATAGCATCCTCTTTCGCTCTGGATGTTAGGAACAATATCACAGGGTTGTGTACACCTCCTGCGATATTGGGAGTCATATCATCCTCTCTCCCTGTGGATATTAGGAAGAGTATCACAGGGCTGTGGAAACCCCCTGCGGTAGTGGGAGTAATATCATCCTCTCTCCCTCTGAATATAGGAAGATTTTCACAGGGGGGTGTACACCCCCTGCGATATTGGGAGTAAGATCATCCTCTCCACCCAGGAAATGACTAACAAGGTCACGGGGGTTGTACACCCCCTGCGATATTGGGAGTAATGTCGTCCTCCCCAAACCTGGATGTTAGCAACGAGATCACAGAGGGGCTGTACACACCCTGCGACATTGGAAGTAATATGATCCTGTCCCCACCTGGATACTGGGAAAGATACCACAGCGCGGGTATACGTTTCCTACGCTGTTGGGAGTAATATCATTCTTTTCCTTTCTGGATATTAGGAAGAATATCACAGGGGTGCTGTACAATTACTTCGATATTGGGAGTAATATCATCCTCTATTTTCCTGGATATTGGGCACAAAAACACAAAAGGGTGTACAACCCATGCGATATTGGAAGTAATAGCATACTCTCCTTCCCTGGATGTTAGAAAACAATATCATCAGGGCTGAACACCCCCCGCTATAATGGGAGTCCTGTGTACTCTTTCACAGGCCATTTGGAACAATATCACAAGGGGTGTTTACAAACAGGGGTGGTGTACACCCCCTGTGATATTGGGAGTAACATCATTCTCTCCACCTCCGGATATTAAGAACAATATCCCGGCGGGAGGTGGTACACCCCCAGTGATATTGCGAATAATGTAATCCTCTCCTTCCCTGTATATTAAGAACAATATCGCAGGGGGGTGTACATCTTCTGTGATATTGGAAGCAATATCATCCTCTTCCCCGCTGGATATTAGAAAAAAATATCACTCACAGTGTACACCCACTGTGATATGAGGAGTAATATCTTCCTAGGGTATTACGAATAATTTCACAGTCTGTACACACATGGTGTACACTCCCTGTGATATTAGGAGTAATATCTACCTAGTAGATACAAATAACATCGCAGGGTGTACACCCACTTTGATATTAGCTGTAATATTTTTCTAAGTTGTTACAAATAAGATCACAGGGTGTACATACATGGTGTACACTCACTGTGATATCAGGAGTCGTATCTCTGTAATGTATTATGAATAATATCACAGGTTGTACACCCACTGTATTATTAGGAGTAATATCTCTGTAGGATATTACAATTAATATCACAGGGTGTAGAGACACCGTGATATTAGGAGCAATATCTTTCTAGGATATTACAAATAATATCAGGGTGTACACCCACTCTGCTGTCATAGCTAGGGTTACCCGCCACCACGCCCAGCTAAATTTTTTTTATTTTCACTGGAGACGGGGTTTCACCACGTTGGCCAGGCTGGTCTGGAACTCCTGACCTCAGGTGATCCATCAGCCTCGGCTGCCCAAAGTGCTGGGATTACAGGTGTGGGCCATGGTGCTGGGCCAAGAGTTATATATTCAATTCATTTGGAAACACAGCTCCCATTTTTGAGTGTGCATGTACTTTTATGAAGAAATGATGTCAGAAAACCAAAGGATGATAATAAATATGAAAAGTAACAGGCATGTGAAAAGGTCTTCCGATTGAGAACTCTAAGGTTCGATTTCGTTTTCAGATAATGGGGTCTTAGCTCTTGCTTCGTCCTTTTACATATTCTACATCAATGGAAGTTGTAGCACGGTGTCAGAATAAAGTAGAGTGTATTTCACGGCTTCTTAATTTCTTTCAATTAGACTGAGATCTTTTTCTAAAAGAGAGAAGGACATTTTCATTGCATTATATTTTTCCTGAAAAGAGTAGGCTGTATTTTACTGAGATCAGGGATTTGTTATATATAACGTTTTGGTCTTCTAATATTCTTCCGTGGATTTTCTCTAAAGTAGTATGTACAGAAAGCCTTGTATAGCAAAAAAGCAAATCACGTAATAATTCTGAGATTTTTGGAATTGTCACAACTGAGAAACATTGCTGGCGATGTATGGTCCGGAAGTGTGAAGATGTTCCTTGTAAATTGCTTGCATCCAGCATTAAGGGCTGGTTTTTATCTTTTATTTTTCCAATCCTCTTTCCTTCTCAAGGTGTCCAAGACACACAGAGCCACGGAATCTCACAGGTGTCTGAGAATTCCTCCTCCTGGGACTCTCAGAGGATCCAGAACTGCAGTCGGTCCTCGCTTTGCTGTCCCTGTCCCTGTCCCTGAATCTGGTCACGGTGCTGAGGAACCTGCTCAGCATCCTGGCTGTCAGCTCTGACTCCCCCCTCCACACCCCCATGTACTTCTTCCTCTCCAACCTGTGCTGGGCTGACATCGGTCTCACCTCGGCCACGGTTCCCAAGGTGATTCTGGATATGCAGTCGCATAGCAGAGTCATCTCTCATGTGGGCTGCCTGACACAGATGTCTTTCTTGGTCCTTTTTGCATGTATAGAAGGCATGCTCCTGACTGTGATGGCCTATGGCTGCTTTGTAGCCATCTGTCGCCCTCTGCACTACCCAGTCATAGTGAATCCTCACCTCTGTGTCTTCTTCGTTTTGGTGTCCTTTTTCCTTAACCTGTTGGATTCCCAGCTGCACAGTTGGATTGTGTTACAATTCACCATCATCAAGAATGTGGAAATCTCTAATTTTTTCTGTGACCCCTCTCAGCTTCTCAACCTTGCCTGTTCTGACAGCGTCATCAATAGCATATTCATATATTTCGATAGTACTATGTTTGGTTTTCTTCCCATTTCAGGGATCCTTTTGTCTTACTATAAAATTGTCCCCTCCATTCTAAGGATGTCATCGTCAGATGGGAAGTATAAAGCCTTCTCCACCTATGGCTCTCACCTAGGAGTTGTTTGCTGGTTTTATGGAACAGTCATTGGCATGTACCTGGCTTCAGCCGTGTCACCACCCCCCAGGAATGGTGTGGTGGCATCAGTGATGTAGGCTGTGGTCACCCCCATGCTGAACCTTTTCATCTACAGCCTGAGAAACAGGGACATACAAAGTGCCCTGCGGAGGCTGCGCAGCAGAACAGTCGAATCTCATGATCTGTTCCATCCTTTTTCTTGTGTGCGTGAGAAAGGGCAACCACATTAAATCTCTGCATCTGCAAATCCTGCCCCTTAGTCACATTATTTTTGTGGCTTGATGGCTTTTATTCCTTTCCGCATTTCCTATGCGAATATTGCTTTCTTTGTTATGTCTTTAACTGCAATGGGTGAGGATTCTGGGATCCTTTGTTGAGCAGAAACCTCATGACTGAATCCTCTATATCTAGGCAGCCTCCTTTAGTTTCTGCGCAATAACACTGTCATCCAGGTGGAATCACAACCATCTTTTTATATACAGGAAGCCCTCACTTCATTTTGGAATTCCCTGAACACTGACTTTATGGAAACAATGTACAGGGTGTCCTCCAACAGCATTGGTTGTTCAAAGTTGTGTAGTTGTACTGTTGAAGAAAAATAAGTGGCTTCACTGTACATAATTTTGCTTCAGGGTGAAGTTTCCAAGAGACTTTCAAAGATGTTAAGTGAGGACATACTGTACATTAAATTCATATCCTCTTCCACAGTTCATGTGGAATTTCTTTATAAACTGCTTCTAGAGAATCTATATAGGCAGGTTCTGTGTAGAAATCCATGTCGCCGTTCCTCAATCTTGGCTTTGAGTTAAATCACCTGGGGAGCTTAGAAATGATGAGACCTGGGTCTCAATACGTGAGATTCTGATTTCCTTGCACCTGTGTGAGTGTGTGGATTTTTTTTTCTTTTAAAGCACCAGAGGTGTTTCCAATGACGAAGTTTTTAGAGGCATCAAGCTCCAATGAGTAAGAACAGAAATTAATTGTAATATGATTTCTTCAAATATTATCTTCAAATGCTTTGTCCATCAACACCATAGAAATGTTTATTATGTTGTTTTTTCTTACCATTTCGCGTTTTCTATTTGTTTCTTTTCCTTTTTTTTTTGAGTCAGAGTTTCACTCTTGTTGCCCAGGCTGGAGTTCAATGGCACGGTCTCGGCTCACTGCAACCTCTGCCTCCCGTATTCAAGCAATTCTCCTGTCTCAGCCTTCCAAGTAGCTGGGATTACAGGCATGCGCTACCATGCCTGGCTAATTTTTTTTTTTTTTTGTATTGTTAATAGAGACAGTGTTTCTCCATTTTGGTCAGGCTGGTCTGGAACTCCCGACATCAGGTGATCCGCCCGCTTCCGCCTCCCAAAGTGCTGAGATTACAGGCATGAGCGACCGCGCCCAGCCACCACTTAGCATTTACATTTTACATTTGTTGAAGTTATAGATTTATACACACATTGATTGCTGCTTTGTTATACACTTGCGTATACATAAGATGGGAAATAGAAAAGAATAAAATGGGCACAGTATCCCTGAAGTTTCACATTCCGAGACATTTTTAAAATATTTGCTCTTCAGAAATTAGTTTCAATGAAGAAACTGTGGTATATACACCCAATGAAGTATTAGTCAGCCTAAAAAGGAAGAAACTTCTCTCCGCTGCAGACAAAATGGATGAGATTCCAGGTCTTTATATTAAATGAAATAAGCCAGGCACAGAATGACAAATATTTCACGTCCTCACTTCTATGTAGGAAGAAAAAAGGAAACCTTGGCCAGGTGTGGTGGCTCAGGCCTGTAATCCCAGCTGTCTGGGAGGCCGAGTCGCACGGATCACTTGAGTCCAGGAGTTCAAAACCCACCTGGCCAACATGGTGAAACTCCGTCTCTACGGAAATCACAAACAATGAGCCAGGCATGGTGATTTGTGTCTGTAGTCTCAGCTACTCGGAGGGCTGAGGCCCAAGAAGCGCTTGAACTCGGGAGGCAGAGCTTGCAGTGAGCCCGTATTGTGCCTGTATACTCCAACCTGGGCAACAAAAAGAGACTCTATCCCAGACACACCTACACACAAAAGGAATCTCAGGAAGGTGGAGAGTATAAAGGTGTTTAGCAGACGCTAGGAAGAAAAGGGGTGGGATAGGGAATGAAGACAAGTGGATAATTGGGTCCCAAAATACGGAAAGATGGAATAAGTGAGTGCTAGTGTTTGATAGTACAGTATGAAAACTTTAGTTCACAAGAATTGCTTGCATATTTCCAGATGCTTTGGTAAGAAGCTTCCTAACTTTCTCATTATGCTGGTTTTTAAGCTCTTCTCTTTCTGCTCTTGAAATCATCCGTCCGCTTCGGCCTCCCAAAGTGCTAGGATTACAAGCCTGAGCGACCGCGCCCGGCCCATGCTGTATCCTTATCTGTTGTCTGTTGTTTGTTTGCTTTGGAGCCCAGAAATAACTTCTCACCTATAGGTTCAAATGATTTTTCACATGAGTGCTAAGAAAGCTCATTGGTGGAAAAGCAGCCTTTTCAAGAAATGGTGTTGGAGAAACTTGATTTCCACATGCAAAAGAATGAAGGTGGACCCTATGTCACACCAGGTGCAAAAATTAACACAAACTGGATCAAAGACCTCACCCCAAGCACTAAACGTATCATACGCCTAAAAGAAAACATTGGCCACTCTTTCATGACATCAGATTGGGCAATGTTCTCTGGGATATGACACCAAAAGCATAGGCAACAAAAGAAAATTAGATTCCTTGGATTACATCTAAATGACAGACACTTTTGTGCAGGAAAAAACACTGCGAACTGAGTGAAAAGTTAACCCATGGATTAGGAAAAATATTTGCTAAGCATATATCTGAAAAGAGGCTGATAGCCATCGTATATAAAGAACAGCTAGAACTAAACAACAAGAAACCCAAAGCATCCCATCAACAATGGTCAGAAGACTTGAGTAGACGTGTCCCTAAAGAAGATATTGCAATGGCCAATAAGCATCTAAAATGATGTTCAAAGTCACTCATCATAGGGAAGCGCAAATCAAACCAAGAATGTGACACCACACATTAGGATGGATATGATAAACAAACAGGCATTGGTGAGACTAGAGGGAAATAGGAATGCTCGCATATGATCAGAGGGAATGTGAAACCGTGAAGGAACGGGGAAAATAGTATGGCGTCTACTGGAAAAATTAGAAACAGTATGATCAGATGTTCCCGCAGTTGCATTTGTGGGTACCTACCAAAAAGAATTAGAAGCCAGGAGTGGAAGACAGATTTGTGTACACCCATATTCATAGCAGCATTATTCACAAGAGCCAAAATGTGGAAGCAACCCAAGGGTTCGTGGACAGATGAATGAAAAAGCACACTGCAGTTCCTTCATACAATGGAAGACTATTCAGCCTTCAAAAGGCAGGCACTTCTGGCCGGTGCAGTGGCTCACACCTGTAATCGCAGCGTCTTGGAGGACCGAGGTGGGCAGATCAACTGAGGTCAGGAATTCAAGACCAGCCTGGCCATCTTGGTGAAACCCTGTCTCTACTGAAAATGCAAAAAATTAGGTGAGCATGGTGGCCTGTGCCTATAGTCCCAGCTACTCGGGAGGCTGAGGCACAAGAATCGCTGGAACCCAGGAAGCGGAGGTTGCAGTGGGCCCAGATTGTGCCACTGCACTCCAGACTGTGAGACAGAGTGAGACTCCATGGAAACACAAAACAAAACAAAGTCAAACGAACAAACAAAAAACAACAACAACAAAAAACAGACAGGCACTTCTGACGCAGGCCGCAACATGGATGAACCTTGAAGACATTATCGTCAGTGAAATAAATAAATCCCAAAAGGATAAACAGGCCCAGGCTCAGTGGCTCACACCTGTAACCCCAGCACTTAGGGAGGCTGAGCCAGGCAGATCATTTAAGGTCAGGAGTTCGAGACCCGCCTGGCCAATATGGTGAAAGCTCATCTCTATTAAAAATACAAAAATTAGCTGGGCGTGGTGGCGCACACCTGTAATCCCAGCTACTCGGGAGACTGAGACACAAGAATCGCTTGAATCCCCGATGTGGAGGTTGCAGTCAGCCCAGACCACGCCACTGCACTCCAGCCTGGGCGACAGAGAAAGACTATGTCTGCAAAACAAAAAAATTAAACACGGTATGATTCCACTTATCTATCAAGTGTCTAGAGTAGCTAAACTCATAGATTTGCAAACTAGAAAAGTGGCCTCCAGGGGCGGGCGAGAGAGAGGAATGGAGAGCTTGGTGAATGGGTGGAATTTCCATTTTGAAAGATAAAACTGTTCCGGAGACGATGGCGGTGATGGTTGCTAAACAATGTGAACGTACTTAATGTGGTTAAACTGTTAACTGAAAAAGAGTGGAAATTGTAAATGTTTATACTGGCCTTTCTCTATGAAATAATATGTATATATAATTTTTAATATTTATACGTGGTATATTTTCCCATAATAAAAGACAAAAATTGAAGCAGTTGGATGTTTAAAAAGAAAAGAAAGAAGCGAAGAATACCCACCAGCTTTCTCCTGATTAGAGGAAGAGCCCCAAAGCTTCTATGGACACTCACTTTTCTCTTCTTCTTCTTGCAATATTATGAGGAAATCCTTAGAGGTTGGGGAACTTGGGCGACTTTGGCTAATGAGGAGCTCTGTGCCTTGAGCCTCCCAGGCCACAGAATAGTAAATAGTCTGTCCCTCCAGCCCTGCAGTGTGAGGTTGCAGTCCTGTGGGCTCCACTCCTGTCACCTGTATCAAGGGGCTGATGTCTCACCCTGTCTTCTTGCCAGCCTTGAGGACGGAGTCTGAGCCTCCAATGTGCACCACGCAGGGAGGACAGTGGACCTGTTCTCCGTGGTCATGGCCCAGCAGAGGGGAAGGGCAGTTCAGTGAATGTAGGCAAAAGAAAGTGAGATCAGACACTTACTGTGTCTATGGAGAAAGGAAAGACATAAGAGACTCCATTTTGAGAAAGACCTGTACTTTCAACAGTTGCTTTGCTGAGATGTTGTTAATCTGTAGCTTTGCCCCAGTCACTTTGAACCAACCACTTTGAACCAACCTGAAGCTCACAAAAGCATGTGTTGTATGAAATCAAGGTTTAAGGGATCTAGGGCTGTGCAGGACGTGCCTTGTTAACAAGATGTTTCCAAGCAGTATACTTGGTAAAAGTCATCGTCATTCTGTAGTCTCAATAAACCAGGGGCAAGATACACTGTGGAAAGTCGCAGGGACCTCTGCCCTTGAAAGAGGCTTATTGTCCAAGGTTTCTCCCCATGTGATAGTCTGATAAGTGGCCTCATGGGAGGAGAAAGAAATGACTGTCCTCCAGCCTGACCCCCGTAAATGGTCTGTGCAGAGGTGGATTAGTCAAAGAGGAAAGACTCTTGCAGTTGAGAGAGAGGAAGGCCGCTGTCTCCTGCCTGCAGCTGGGAACTGAATGTCTCGATATAAAACCTGATTGTACATTTGTTCAGTTCTGAGATGGGAGAAAAACCGCCCTATGGTGAGAGGCGAGACGTGTTTGCAGCAATGCTGCCTTTTTATTCTTTACTCCACTGAGATGTTTGGGTGGAGAGAAACATAAATCTGGCTTACGTACACGTCCAGTCATAGTACCTTCCCGTGAACTTCATTATGACATAGATTCTATTGTTCTCATGCTCGTTGCTGACCTCCTTATTATCACCCTGCCCTCCTACTACATTCCTTTTTGCTAAAATAATAAAAATAATAATCAATAAAAATGAGGGAACTCAGAGGCAAGTGCCAGTGCAGGTCCTTGGTATGCTGAGCGCCAGTCCCCTGGGCTCACTGTTGTTTCTCTGTACTTTGTCTCTGTGTCTTATTTCTTTTCTCAGTCTCTCGTCCCACATGACTAGAAATACCCATAGGTGTGGAGGGGCAGGTCACCCCTTCAAGTGAATACTGAGGGATGGTCGGGAGCCTTGTTTGTTTCCTCATCCTCAGGACAAACAGGAGAGTGTGATGGGTGGATGGGATGAGACCAATATGCAACTCTCTGCTCAGCAGACTGTGGCGTTTCTGTTCTTGGTTGTGGTGGGGGTCTCAGAAATCTTATTCAAAATTTTGCTTTCCTCCCCCACTGGTTGTCCTTTTCATAGACATCTCACCCATGATAGCAGGGGATCAGTCCCTCTAAACTATTCCCTAAGAACAACAAAGAGATTATGAAGGTGATGATGAGGATAAAGAGGATGACGACAGACACCATGGCATCATGAACCCTTACTGAGGGCTTCATAAAGGCCAGACTCTGAGCTCTGTGCTCTATGCAGCTTGTTTCATTTCATCTGCATAGTCTCCACGTTATTAGTGCACATTTCAGGATGATTTTACAGACTAGAAAAGGCGCAACGGATTTTCATGTAGCTTGTACCAGATCACGAAGTCAAAAAGGGCGAAGTCCAATTTGAACCAGGCAGTCTAAGTCCAGACACATGGCATTTGGCCAGTCCTCTCCCTGCATCCAACCTGCCCTCTCAAATCCTTGTCACTCAGGCTGATGCCCCTGCTCCCTGAGCCCTTCCCTTTGGGGGTTCCTTGGAGACCACAGCTAGACCAGTGGGTGCCACAATCACTGTGTCATGTATAGAAAGGGCAGCTGAGATCACATCAAGGATTCCAGAAAGAATTGGCACAGGATCATTCGGGACGCATCTCTCCCTTGCCCCTGTTACTGGCTTTCCTTACAGCTCTCGACTTCCTCAAAGGAGTCATCAATTCGGAGTTTGGTTTCCATTCCTATTGAGGAAGCTGGAAAGTGTTTCAAACATGATCCTCCGATGTGCCTGTGGTTAAGACCTCTGAGCTTTGCTTAAAACTTTTTGAAGCTGGGCGCGGTGGCTCACGCGTGTAATCCCAGCCCTTTGGGAGGCTGAGGCAGGCGAATCACAAGGTCAGGAGTTCAAGACCAGCCTGGCCAACATGGTGAAACCCTGTCTCTACTAAAAATACACACACACAAAAAAAATTAGCCATGCATGGTGGCGTATGCCTGTAATCCCAGCTACTGGGGAGGCTGAGACAGGAGACTCCTTTGAAGCTGGGAGACAGAGGTGGCAGTGAATCGAGATCACGCCACTGCACTCCAGCCTGGGCAACAGAGCAAGAATCTCTCTCAAAAAAATAAATATATAAAAATTACGAAAAAAAGTGATTGGATGGGCTTGGCAAACTTTAGCCATTAGCTCACGTACCACTTTGGAAGGGCATACCTTCAGTCACTTCACCCTTTAATCTCTTTGCTCAAGACTAAAGTTCTGAGAACAAGTCTAATCGGCTGAGTTGTGTCCATGTGGGCAGTGCAGAAAAGGATGCAGCGGGAGGCGCCTGCAGGGACGTCTTTGGCTTCTATCATGGGGGAGCAGGCCCCTGGATTATCCACCCTAACAAATCTGGACAAAGGAAAACGAGGTTCTCTGAGGAAGGAGACATGGAGCCCAAGGAGCTACCCAAGAGACAAATAGTCATCCTGTCTTGTCATTTTCTTTTACACATGTGTGTACATTATCTTACACTTATCACTTTGTTTTCTTTCTCTCCTTTAATTGCACCCTACTGCAAAAGTTAAAATGAAATGAAAGTATTGAGATAGCTCAGTAACTGACTTTTAGTCAATTGCCTTTTCCTATAGTGAACAGCTGCCCAAAAGATTGTGTCTGTCACTGTGCAAATTTGCAAGCATTTGCATGATCACTCCCAATCCGCCAACACAGAGCTGTGTTACAGCACAATTTAGTTCAGTGTTTTGCTCTCTGCAACAGGGAGGTTCTCATCCATTACAGGTTGCAGTAAAAACAGGGGTACCATAAGCAACCACCTCTTTCCTCAACGGTGTGATGAAAGCAAACGCCAAGTAGCTCCATGTAGCCAACTTAAAAATATAAAAATTACGCCCGTGGGCTGCAGTTGGACCTATGGCGGCGGCAGCTGTCACTGGGCCTAGCCCGGGCTGTGGACCTGGGGACTTCCCAGAAGGGCCCGAGTGGGAGGCTCACGGAGTGTCGGTGGAAGGCGCACAGGATGCTAAAGCTTTACAGTGGCCTCTCGGAAGGGGAGGCGGTGGGACACCTCGCGGGTCCAGACCCCCTGGACCCCACTGATCTGAACGGGGCGCAGTTCAACCCAGAAGTTTACCTAGACAAGCTGCCTAGAGAGTGCCCTCTGGCCCAGCTGATGGACAGTGAGACGGACATGGTGCAGCAGATCTGGGCTCTAGACAGCGATGCAAACCCTGGTCTATGAGAACTATGATAAGTTTATCCCAGCCACAGAAATTGACAAACAGCATAAAACTGTATGAGGATTTGCAGGAAACCCAGAATTTCCCAGATAACCTTGTAAAGGAAGAACAAAGTTGGAAGACTCACAAAGAAAAATACATATATATATATATATATATATATATATATATATATGTAAATATGTATATATATATGTAAATATGTATATATATATAAAGTTGTATTTTCGTTCTGTTGTAAATGTCTAGTAATTTCTATTGTGATTTTTCATTTAACTCATGAAAGGATATTTTTAATTTTCCAAATGTGTGCTTGTGTTTATCTATCTTCTTGCTGTTGACTTCTAATTTTATTGCATTATGGTCAGGAAAATGTGGTCTGGACAATGTCAATTGTATAGTGGATTTTGCTGAGACTTCTTTATGGCCTAATATGTGGCCAGTTTTTTTTTTTTTTTTGCAAATTTTCCACATGTGGTTAAAAGGAATGTGGATTATTTGTTTTTTTTAGGAGAGTTTTTATTTTTAAATAGATAAGGTTCTCAGTGTAATTGAAATCTAGCTTCAGTTAACAATATGCTAGATCTCTCAAACCTTAGGATGTTAGTCAGTGTAACAATAGACTGCTGCTGAGACGAATAAACCCTGAACTCTCAGTGGGTTGGCACCCATAGTATAGTCTGGTGCAGGGCAGGGGTTCTCCTTGGGGGCCCTTGTCCAACAGTGATTCAGAGATTCTGCAGGTTTCCATCTTTTAATTCTGCCATCTCAGAGTTTTTCACTTGCAGCCATATGGATAGGGAGAGAGGGAACATAGCTCACACTTGCCTTTGATAACCTTGGCCCAGAAGTGATTTCTTACATTCCTATTGGTGGAAATGCAGTCACATGGTTCCAAACTAACTGCAAGTGAGGCTGGGAAATGTAGTCTTTCTGCATGTAGAGGAAGAGGAATGGTGTGAACACAGCATTGTCTTTGACACACTAAGCATGTGCTGAAGAGTTCTTACTCTCATAGGAGGTTTGTCTGTCCTGTGTAACTTTGTCAGTTTTTGCTTAGATAGTTTCAGGCAATGTTGTTTGGTGCATTCAGCTTGATGATTATTATGTCCTCTTGGCAAAGTAGTCAAGATTCCCATCAGTTTGAATGAAAGTGTTTTACAGATAGGTCAGGAAATATTAATACTTTAAAAGACCCTTCTATTCCTCCACTCTACAGATAAGAACAACAGAGTCCTAGAGAGAGGAGGTCATGGGTCTCAGTCATGAGTGGCAGAATTGAAACCTACATGGCAGTAACTTTGCTTTCCCCCATCATGTTGTTCTCCCTCTATCTTTACTCTGCTGATTTCCTCACTTGCTCCATACAGACCTCCCAGTGCCAAGTGTGTAAGTGTGTCCGGAATTGGTGGGTTCTTGGTCTCACTGACTTCAAGAATGAAGCCGCGGACCCTCCTGGTGAGTGTTACAGTTCTTAAAGGTGGCGTGTCTGGAGTTTGTTCCTTCTGATGTTCCGATGTGTTCGCAGTTACTTCCTTCTGGTGGGGTTCCTGGTCTTGCTGGCTCAGGAGTGAAGCTGCAGACCTTCACAGTGAGTGTTACAGCTCTTAAGGCTGCACGTCTGGAGTTGTTCATTTCTCCTGATGGGTTCATGGTCTCACTGGCTTCAGGAGTGAAGCTGCAGACCTTCTCAGTGAGTGTTACAGCTCATAAAGGCAGTGTGGACCCAAAGAGTGAGGAGCAACAAGATTTATTGCAAAGAGCAAAAGAACAAAGCTTCCACAGTGTGGAAGGGGACCCCAGCGGGTTGCCACTGCTGGCTCGGGCAGCCTGTTTTTATTCTCTTACCTGGCCCCACCCACATCCTGCTGATTGGTCCATTTTACAGAGAGCCTGAGTGGTCTGTTTCGACAGGGTGCTGACTGGTGCGTTTACAATCCCTGAGCTAGACACAAAGGCTCCCCACATCCCCACTAGATTAGCTAGATACAGAGTGTCCACACAAAGGTTCTCCAAGTCCCCACCCTAGTAGCTAGATACAGAGTGTCGACTGGTGCATTCACAAACACTGAGCTAGACACAGGGTGCTGATTGGTGTGTTTAAAAACCTTGAGCTAGATACAGAGTGCCGATTGGTGTATTTACAATCCCTTAGCTAGACATAAAGGTTCTACAAGTCTCCATCAGACTCAGGAGCACAGCTGGCTTCACCCAGTGGATCCCACACAGGAGCCACAGGTGGAGCTGCCTGCCAGTCCCTCTCTGTGCGCCCACACTCCTCAGCCCTTGGGTGGTCGATGGGACTGGGCACCGTGGAGCAGGGGAAGGTGCTTGTTGGGGAGGCTCGGGCTGCACAGGAGCCCACAGAGGGGGGAGGCTAAGGAATGGCGGGCTGCAGGTCCTGAGCCCTGCCCCATGGGGAGGCAGCTAAGGCCCGGCGAGAAGTCAAGCACAGCAGCTGCTGGCCCAGGTGCTAAGCCCCTCACTGCCCGGGCCGGCTAGGCTGGCCAGCAGCTCCTAGTGCAGGGCCGCCAAGCCCATGCCCACCTGGAACTTCAGCCGGCAGACAAGCAGCATGTGTAGCCCCAGTTCTGGCTCATGCCTCTCCCTCCACACCTCCCTGCAAGCTGAGGGAGCCAGCTCCGACCTTGGCCAGCCCAGACAGGGGCTCCCACCATGCAGCCACGGGCTGAAGGGCTCCTCAAGTTCCGCCAAAGTGGGAGCACAGGCAGAGGAGGCACCAAGAGCGAATGAGGGCTGTGAGGGCTGCCAGCACACTGTCACCTCTCATAAGGAGTGATTAATCTGAGCTTCTCCAGAAAGTCCTTTCCTGGTAGGCACTGGGAATAAGAAATCTCAGAGTATAAAAAAAATCAAGTGGTAACACTTTTGTGAATGGCTCCCCAATTAGATCCTTTACCTTTTTTTTTTTCCATGAAGCACAGTTGCCCAAAACACACTTAGCCTGAGATGAAGCACATATTAGAGAAAGGTTCTCTCTATAGCATTATGTATTACTCAAATGAGCATTAAAAAGAGGAGACGGGACATGCTCTCTCTAGATATTATTACCTCCACTATAGAGTTGACATACACAAGCTCATTATTGCAATATGTTTTTTTTCAAGAAAATAACTTTAATGTTGAAGCTTAAATTGAATTCGCTAAAACATCTTTGTCTCCAGCATAATGTGCCTCAGGTGTCTCCTTGGTGCCTGAATTTTCTCCAGAATTATAGTGCTGAAGCTATGGAAATGGTGAAATTACATGCAATCTGAAAAACAATGTAGCGATAACGTGGTAATTGGCCTTCCACATAATTAAAGGAACATTTCCTCATCAGAGCTGTTCCATCAGAGACCCAAAGGCTATCGTTGTACAAATCACCCACTTAGGAAAACCTTTATTCCCAGTAGCCTATAAAAATCTGGTTATGTAAACAGATTTGCTTATTCAGTAAGATTAATGGCTTCTCATAGTTAAAAAGTCATCAATGTGATTGACCTATAATCTGTTTCCTCTGTGACCAAGTGTCATTTTTATTTTGACAGTTAGGAGCCTTTTGACTCTTTCACAGCTGCCATGAAGGCACAGGGAGAGAAATCTCAAAAACAAACAACCTGTGTATTCCCAGCCTATTAATCAATAGAAAATCACTTCAATTGGATTAGGGTCTTGTACCTGGCAGAAAGGCTTTTAAGGACATTGGAATTGGATTTTTACACTTGATATGACACCTCCTTGAGTCAGATCAGATTCGTGTTTGATAGACTCTTGCCGAAAAATTGCTCCAGGGTCTGTGCGGTAGCTAAAGCCTTTTTGTTGTTGTTGTTGTTTTAAAAGCAGAATTAAATGTTTTCATGAAGACCTTCCCACCAGTGATTTTATTGGGAATATGGTCTTTAGCTCTGGTCCTGAATAACTCACACTGAGGAAACCTCTAACAAGTGTTTTATTGGGAGATGTCTGATGGATGGTTGGTTTTAATAACAAATCTCTTCCCTTTTTCTGTCCCCTGTGTTCTATTCTCCTTTCTCTACACATTATTCTGGGAGGATTCACCTATTCCCAAAGTCCTTTCCTCTTTATTTCCATTCCAGAGTTCTCTGTATAACTCCAGGCTGATGAATCCAACTGCCCACTTGTTATCTCCACTTGGCTGTCTGTCTTGCATTGACCTCATCTTACCTTGCCTCTCCTGATTTCCTCTTCTGCCTGGGCTCACCACGTCAGATTCACACCACCATCCACCCAGCTTCCAAAACACCTGGGCCTCCTCCTTCATTCCTCCCTCTTTCTCAGTCAAGTTAGTCTACTGTCTCCTCTCCATCCTCACTGCCACAGCCTTGGTCCAGCCAACCATCTTGTCTCACTTGGTGTATTGCAGCCTCCTACCTGGTCTACTCACCTCCCACTCTCCTCCAGCCAGACTGCTCTTGTTCTAGCACAAAGTGGATCATTACTCCCCTGTCTAAAAACATCTACTGTCTCCCTTTGTCTACAGGATAGACACGACAAAGAGCCTTTAAGATTTGGCTCCGGCCGGGCGCGGTGGCTCACGCCTGTAATCCCAGCACTTTGGGAGGCCGAGGCGGGTGGATCATGAGGTCAGGAGATCGAGACCATCCTGGCTAACAAGGTGAAACCCCGTCTCTACTAAAAATACAAAAAATTAGCCGGGCGCGGTGGCGGGCGCCTGTAGTCCCAGCTACTCGGGAGGCTGAGGCAGGAGAATGGCGTGAACCCGGGAAGCGGAGCTTGCAGTGAGCCGAGATTGCGCCACTGCAGTCCGCAGTCCGGCCTGGGCGACAGAGCGAGACTCCGTCTCAAAAAAAAAAAAAAAAAAAAAAAAAAAAGATTTGGCTCCAACTTACCTCTATGTTAGTCACTTTTTATAATTATATGAACATCTCTCAGCTCCTCACCCTCTCACGTCTCGATTTTTGCACATGCTCTTCCCTCTGCTGGGAATGATCTTCCACACCTCTCCTATCGACCTGGCTAGTTCCTACCATTTTCTAGTCTTCAACTGAGGAGTCCTGTGGTGGAGAGGGATTTCTCACAACCTGATATAGATTGCACGCCCACCCACCTCCGGGCTTTTTCTTTTTTCTTTCTTTTGTTTTTTTTGAAGGAGTCTTGCTCTGACCATGCAGGCTGGAGTGCAGTGGTGCGATCTTGGCTCACTGCAATCTCCACCACCCGGGTTCAAGCAATTCTCCCACCTCAGCCTTCTGAGTATCTGGAATTACAGGTGCCCGCCACCACATCTGGCTGATTTTTTTGTATTTTTAGTAAAGACAGGATTTCACCATGTTGGCCAGGTTGTTTTCGAACTCCTGGCCTCAAGTGATCCACCCACCTTGGTCTCCCGAAGTGCTGGGATTACAGGCATGAACAACTGCACCTGGCCGATTGGGTGCCCCTTCTATGTGCTCCCATTGCCCCAGGCATACTGTCACCGTAACTCTTACCATTCTGAGTTGAAAATGATTTTTTTTTTTTGCTTTTTATTTCTCTCATTAAATGCAAAGCTCATGGAAAAGAGGACAGTGGTTGTTCACTGTTGTACTCCTAACCTTTGACTCAGTGTCCTGAGGTTGGCTCTAGAGCTATGCACACATGTTCAGACATTGGAGCACATCTTGTCTAGCACCTCTTTTGAGGTGGCTTAGAGAAAAGTCAGTAGGTACTTCCCCAAGGATGAAACAGAAGCTTCACCTAAACCAGTTCTTCAACTTCAGCCTGCATTAGAATCCTCTGAGAGCTTGTTAAAAATACCGTCTCCTAGAGCCCACTCTTCAAGAGTCGGTGAGTTGCTTCATCATCAAAATATATACAGAATTCAGCCAGTCTTCAGCCCCAGCCTGGTCTGAGCCACTGTGGACTCCCACCTGCAGAATGTCCCTGCTGGTCTCCTTGCTTCTGCTCTTACCTTCTTATTACCCATTCAAGTAGCCGGGGCGATCCTTTTTAAAAATATTTTAAAATTTTTTTGAGATGAAGTCTCACTCTGTTGCCCAGGCTGGAGTGCAGTGGTGCTATCTCAGCTCGCTGCAGCTCTACCTCCTGGGCTCAAGCCATCCTCCCACCTCAGCCTCCTGGGTAACTGGGACCACAGACATACACCACCACACCCGGCTAATTTTTGTATTTTTTGTAAAGACACGGTCTTGCTATGTTGCCCAGGCTAGTCTTGAACTTCTGTGTGCACCCACCTCAGCCTCCTGCATTTTTAGGAGGCCCCTCTTGTAGGGATTTTGATCCAGAGGCCTGGGTGCCTCCTGTGTCCCCCCATCTCTCTCTGTCTTTCTGTCTCTGTCTCTCTCTCTCTTTCTCTTTGCCTTATAGTTGCCCTGGGGTCTAGACTCTGCCTTAGGCATCCCTCTGGCTCTTGTTTGCTTTTACACTGAGGCTGCTTTAAATTGCACCTTGATCTGAAGCCTTGGGCTTCTGCTCCTATTCCTTGCTTTTGTTGGAAGGGCCGTGCAGCTTCTTGACAAATTGCAAAGGTGCCCACGAGTTTCCAAGTCCCCAAGAACCAAACCAGATGACAAACAAGGATGCAGCCCACAGCTGGGGAGACAGATTTCATGTCCACACAGAGACTCCAAGATGCTGAACTGAAATCCACCCCGAAACCTGTTTTCTCTCTCATTTAAGTTCATTGTCACCTGGGGGCTTGCAGGGCAGGGCTGGTGACCATTCTCAGGGCAAAGATGCTTTGAAAGGGCAACTGAGAATGGTGTGGTTGTTGACAGATGGCACGTCAGAGCATAGATTAACATGGAAAGAGAAACTCACCCCTTGGGGGGAGTGTGTGAGGCTGGCAGCCACACAGAGGGCTTTTCCTGCGAGCTCTTGCATAGATGCAAACAGCCAGGAGGTTTTGCTTTCTGATCCTGAGTGGAAGCATGTTCCTCCCTGCACATTGCCGCTCTGCAGCAAATGTTTATTCCTGTTGCATTGATTAAAAGTGCTTACCAGGCCAGGCGCGGTGGCTCATGCCTGTAATCCCAGCACTTTGGAGGCAGAGGCAGGCAGATCACAAGGTCAGGAGATTGAGACCATGCTGGCTAACACGGTAAAACCCCGTCTCTACTGAAAATACAAAAAATTAGCCGGGCATGGTGGCGAGTGCCTGTAGTCCCAGCTACTTGGGAGGCTGAGGCAGGAGAATGGCATGAACCCAGGAGGCAGGGCTTGCAGTGAGCCGAGATTGTGCCACTGCACTCCAGCCTGGATGACAGAGCAAGACTCCATCTCAAAAAAACAAAGCGCTTACCGAAGAGGTTTGAGGGCAGTGGTGACAGTGTGAGTTATTACTCTGCCGGCTGCCAGTGGAGCCAGCCACTCTGCACAGCCGTGCAAGGGCGTTTTGAAAAGTGGCTCAGCCGGCCAGGAGTGACTGGCTGTAAATATTGCTGCCACAACATCTTGTAGCCTGATTGGGGCCGTGTTTGCAGAACCCCTAAATCATTACACTTGTTCAGGCTTAAAAATAAGCTTACTTTTTTTGTTTGTTTTGTTTTGTTTTATGAGATGGAGTCTAGTTCTGTCACCGGGTTGGAATGCAGTGGCATGATCTCGGCCCACTGCAACCTCTGCCTCCTGCGTTCAAGTGATACTCCTTCCTCAGGCTCCCGAGTACCTGGGACTACAGGCGTGTGCCATCATGACCAGCTAATTTTTGAATTTTTAGTACAGACGGGGCTTCACCATGTTGGCCGGGATGGTGCGATCTCTTGACCTCGTGATCTGCCCGCCTTGGCTTCCCAAAGTGCTAGGATTACAGGCGTGAGCCACCGTGCCTGGTCAAACATAAACTTACTTTCTTACCTCTTCTGCTGAACTCTATTTGCTTCTTTTCGCAACTTCTGCTGAACTCTATTTTGCTTCTTTTTCCTGGTAAAGCTCTTCTTTATCCAGAAGAGCTTTTAGTAACAAAGTTACCCAATGCCCTTCCCTAGTCTCTCCTTGCAACTGGCTCTCAGTGGTGGGTGGGGTGGGTAGGAGGAAATCCTTGACAGAACCAATTTACATGACTGTTTGGAGGACTCTCGCTAGCCCCAGGAGGTGTTTGCATTTTTAAATTGGTTAGTAGTGTCAGAATGTTTCATGAGTAAGAGCACAGCCTCTAAGTTGGATACCCTGAATTTAAATCTCAACATGGCCATTTTGTATATAACCAGAGGATGGATTGGGGGACCCAATGGATCTACCATGACATGAACTTGGACCAACATTCACCTGACCTAAAAAATGTGTATTCTGACTGGTAGACCCTAGTCTCAGCCTAGTGCCAGTTCAGAGCCTGTGTCCAGTGATCCTGCACAGGTCTCATTAGTTCCTTTTCTCCTGTTCAGTCATCCTGGTAAAGGCTGTGTATTCCCTTGGGGGCAGGCTGGGAGAAAGATTGACAGTATAAATTTTTGGCAGTGGAGCAGAGTCCTTTCTGGAGGGGACCTGGCTTCCCATTCAGACAAGGGACTCCGGGTCTGTGAACTGGCTTATGGCTGGGAATTGAATGGGGTCTGTGACACTGTTTTTATGATTCAGATTAGACTTCTGCTCACCTGACCTAGAACTCTTCTGCAAACACAGATCAAGTAAAAATGTGGCAGGCTTCTTATCTATTTCACTTCTAGGAAAGCCACGATCAGCAGGCACCATAGGTCTCTGCGAGTCAGGGTATTCTGGTTGCAGCTTTGACTCTGCTGTCTTTTATGGTAACTGCATCCACCTTGCCTTTGGGGATTGAGTGCTCTGATCACTTAGCCCCAGCCACTGTAGTGTGCCTATGTCACTTACCCTCTTTATACCTCAATCTCCTCCTCTATAAAATGGGCATCCTCATTGCACCCACCCCCAGGGCTGCTGTGAGGTATAGATGGATTAGCATATGGAAAGTAATAGAAGAGGGTCTCAAAGCCCATGTGTCGTTATCAGAATTATTTCGTGACAGGGGAGAGCTGGAAGAGAGAGGAAGGTGCTGAGCAGACCCGAGTGCTCTCCCACCAGTGTTTCCTGAGCACCTACTATGTGCTGTCCACTGTGAGAGCTGTTAGGGTTGAAATAGGGAGCACAGCAGGGTAGGGGCTGCCATCAGGAGCTTAGTGGGGAGACCATTGTGCAACACGATTCCAGCGCTTGGGGTGGGGAAGCTCAGGGAGTACAGGGGCCTAGGATCCTGGGCAGAATCATGGAAAGGACACAGCCTCCCCAGCCTCTCCTGCGTCCCCTGCCTCCCTGGCCTCCTCTGCTTCCCTGGCCTCTCCTGCCTTCCTGGCTTCCCCTTCTGCCCCGGCCTCCCCAGTCTCCCCTGTCTTTCCTGCTTCTGAGGTGGGCCAGGAGCTGCTGGTGCTCACTTAGCCTGTCCTGGACTCTGGGTGTAGCACTTCGATGTCCAGAAAATACCCCCGGGTTCAGCTCATCACACAACCAAGGAAGGAGCTCCACACTGACACTAAGGGTGCATCCTGGGCTCATTCATCAGGGCATGCCTCCAAAATATTTCTCCACGTCTCCTCCCTTTGCCCACCTGCATTGTCTCTGTGCCTGAGCCCCGGCTGGGGGTCTGGAAGGATCCCCTATCTCCTCTGCCCCTGCACGGCTGGGTCCCAGGCAATCTGTCCGCCCACCACGCCTGTCGCCCCTTGCCCACCACGCTCCATCCCCACAGTCCTCTTTCTGCTTCTTTCCCAGCCTCTGGGCTTTTGCACACGCTGTTCCCTCTGCCTGAACACCCTCCACTGGGCTGAGAACAACTCTCTGAGACCTCTCTCAGCTGTTGCTTCCTTTGGAACAGCCGCTGCTGCTGTCCCTCTCCCAGCTGCAAGACCGGCTGAGCCTCCTGTCTTTTTCAGTTCCCATGCCCCTAGCACTTCTCCTTGGCCTCCTTTGGCCGAGTTGACAATGTCCATTCTCAATGCCTTCTCACCCAGCGCTGAGCCCCACTGGATGAAGGCAATGCCTGTCATGTCCACCGCAATATCCCCTCCCCCATCACCACGCCTGGTCCACAGTGATGTTCAAAAAAGATCTGTTGGTAGGCAATGGGAAGGTGCATTCATGTCATCCTGCAGGCGGAATTCTCCACGAGTTTTGAGCAGCCTCGGTTTTCCCACCACCTCCAAATCATGGAAGAAACAGGGTAAGAGCAAAGACAAGGTGGCTGTGGCCGATGTCCACCCTCTCCGGGCGTCCCTTCTCTTCTCTCCTCCTTCGGCAGGGAGACTATCGGGGTGCAACCTGGCTGGGGCGGGGAGGAGGTGCAGGGCCTGGCCAGAGCGGGCCTGGCCACGGGCAAGGGACAGCGACTTCCTGGGCCAGGACAGGTGAGAGCGGCGCAGGCCCGAGCCCGGCGTGGCGGCGGTGTGCGGGAGAGGCCAGCAGAGGGCGCCAGAGAGCCAGGAGCGGCCCGCGGAAGAGCCCGCGCCGCCCGGATGCCCAGCTCCGCGCCGCGCGGACCCAACGAGCCCGCGCTCAGACTCCCCAGCTCCGCCGAGAGGACGCTCGCGCTGGGTCCTTCTTCTTCCCCAAGTGCAGGCAGAGCCCCCGGAGTCATGGCCAGCCCTTCCGGCAGCTCCGAAGCCACTGGCAAGCCCTGAGGTAGGGATGGCTGGCCCAGGAGGGAGGAGGACGACGTCCCTCCCGAAGAGAAGAGGCTGCGGCTGTTGCTGGAGGGGGGAAGCGCACAGCCCGAGGACTGCGAGGACGGGGAGGACGCGCCGCGGCCGGGCAGGGAGGAGACCGGCACCCAGACAGGTGGCGACGGCAAAGGAGTAAGTGACGCGGGCGCGGGGGTCCGGGGGTGCCGGGGGCGCGGGGGTGCCTGCGACACGGGGTAGAGGTGGCGGGAGGCTCCGTGGCCGACCCCGGGTTGAAGATGGGAGGGCGGCCTTCATTCTGAACCCATTTAGGCAGCACGGGCAGCCCTCCTCGCCGCGGGCTGCATCAGAGCCCCCCCTGCCCTGTCTTGGGGTTGCTCCCGGTTGCTGTCTGGGAGGCTTGCTCATGGTGACATCCTCATCTCCCCGTGCACGTTACTGCATTCAGAGCTTGGGTCACCTGGACACTGAACTCAGGTGAATTTTCTCTGAGATCCCGGGAGAAGGAGGACAGTTCTCTGGAAGGTTTTCCAGGGCCGATCACGGAAAGGATGAGAAGGGAGAGGTCCTGGTCGGGAACACAATTACGGTGGCAGTGTAACACCAGGAAACTTTATTGCGTGAAGTCCCTCTCACTCCTTCCACCTCCTTCTTTTACGTGGACTCTGCCAAAGACCAGGATACCAGAATGCAGTGGAGTGACCAAGTGTAGTGGGACCTTGGGAACGCGAGTCTGGAGCCAGGCGGCTGGGGTTTGCATCCTGGTTCTGCCCCTCCTTAGCTGGCTGACATGGCACAAGCCTCTTATCCTCTCTGAGCCTTACTGTCTTCAGTGGCAAATGGATCTGTCAACAGGTCCCATTGCCTGGGGTTTACTGCTGAGATTAAGGGAAGCTTATCCACAGAAGCACTTAGGATTGTGCCTGGCACATAGTGTATGGTGGATAAATGAGAGTTAGGACTAAAACTCATGCCTTGGTGTGTTTTTGCAGTGATGTTTTGTTCTGGGGTGCATCACAAGAGACAAGGTTCTTGGCTGGGCATGGTGGCTCAAGCCAATAATCCCAGCACTTTGAGAGGCCGAAAGGGGAGGATCGCTTGAGCCCAGGAGTTTAAGACCAGCCTGGGCACGGTGGTGAAGCCTCATATCAACCAAAAATAAAAAAAATAAAAAATAAAGCCAGGTATGGTGGTGTGTGCCTGTAGTCCCAAGGACTTTGGAGGCTGAGGTGGGAGGATTGTTAGAGCCTGGAAGGTCGGGCTGCAGTGAGCTGTGATCATGCCACTGCACTCCAGCCTGGGTGACAAAGTGAGACTCTGTTTCAAGGAAGAGAGATAGAGAGAGAGAGAGACACAGACCCACAAGAGTCTTAAGCCAGAATCTTCATGTTAAAATGCTTTCTAGAGGCTAAAAGGATGATATGTTGATAATGAAATATTTAAAAGACAGAAACCCCACTGAATTGTTTGGTCCACAGAGGGAAATGGGAATCGCATGACCTGAAGGTTGATGGAGGAACTAAACAGAAACCATCCTTGTTTCCTGAATCTGAACATGGCACCCTCTTTTCACGGTGTTTGTATCTGCTCAGTCCGGCGGCCCCTCAAAAAGAGGCAATCTTGATTTTCAAACTTAAAATTTGGCCCAAAGCCCACTGCTGCCCACAATGCCCGCCAGACACATTCCTCTTCCCTTTTAGTTCCTATGGGAATACTCTCTTTGAAGAACCCATGAAGCAGTGTCAGGCTGGTGTGAGAATCAGCAGTGATTTCTTTGAGGAGGAGAGCCGTTTCTTCACTCACAGGCCATGTCTGAGTGGATCAAGAAGAACAGAGTGCCCTTTTATGAGATTTTGTCTGTGTAGACCATTAGCTTGGTAAAAATGCCAAAACCATCCTCGTTCTTTAATAGCAGATTATTTTGGACTTTTCTCTGCAAGAAGCAGCATGGGCATTCAGATGCTTTTAAGGACAAAATGTTCTTTCTCATCACCAGGCCTGGTGCTCTGGATGGCTGAGGTTTTAATGTGACTGGATGTCCCTTGGAGTGGCTCCCAGGCTGTGCTCTTGTGGTTGGGTGGCAAGGGGTTGCTTTATTCGTTGGTGGCTAGAGGATGTTTTAGCAGATAAATCGGGACCCCAGGAGCCCTTGAGTGCCAAGTCCTGCCCTGCAGGGCATGTGTTTATGGTGGGGATGTGGGGAGGGGTGGAGGGTGGGGTGCATTGATTTCCTGCCAATATCAGAAGTTTCACAGGCTTCTTGTGTATCCACAAACACCCACCCCATTGAGAAGGCCTAGAAAACCTGGCCCTCCCCAAGTCTTTATTGACAACTTGTGAATGATCCCAGGGTGTGTCTGACCCACAGCTCCTCCTGGAGGGAGAGAAAAGTCTCTCCTAGGTATTTGGTTGTCAACCTCAACCACTTGCTGAGCCTTCCCCAAGACCAGGCATCTTGTCAGAGATTTCTGGGTTGTCAGGCAGAACCGAGCATTCGAGGGTAATAACTCACTGGAGTCCCTGAAATCCCTGATGGACGCACCTGGTAAAAGCATCCAGGGTTGAAACCAGATCAGGAAGGTTATTGTCAGCCTGGGGCTCCTGTAGAGGTGCATCCACGTTGCAGGGATTTTCCTTCTTGCTGAGGAGAAACCTGGGTTTCTCAGCTTTGGCACAGTCAGAATATTTGTGGTGAGACCATTCGTGGTGCTGGTGGTGGGGCTGTGCTGTGTATTGAAGGATGGTTAGCAGCATCTGTGGTCTCCATCCTCTAGGTGCCATTCTACCCTCCCTGCTATGGCTACCCCAGACGTCTCCAGATGGTTTCAAATAATGTGGGGCAAGGGAGCGGTACGTGAGCAAAACCACCCCAGTTAAGAGCCATTGGTCCACACTTGTGGAAATGTTTGAGGGTGAGAGTGTCGAGCTTGGGTCCCTGCTGTACCCTTTATGAGCAATGTGGTCTTGGAAAATTAATACTACTCCAGGGGCCTCAGTTTTCTCATCTATAAAATGGAGATAAATGAGATACACTTTGATAGGAAGGTTATATGGGATTCACCGAGATAATAAGACAGTACATGGAAAATGCTGCGCATAGCATTTATTTATTTTAATTTTTTTTTAAGACAGAGTCTTACTCTGTTGCCCAGGTTGGAGTGCAGTGGCATGATCTCCGCTCACTGCAATCTCCACCTCCTGGGTTCAAGTGATTCTCCTTCCTCAGGCTACTGAGTAACTGGGACTACAGGCGTGCGCCATCATGTCCATCTAATTTTTGAATTTTTAGTAGAGACGGGGCTTCACCATGTTGGCCAGGATAGTCCGATCTCTTGACCTCGTGATCTGCCCGCCTCGGCCTTCCCAAGTGCTGGGATTACAGGCGTGAGCCACCGTGCCTGGCCAAACATAAACTTACTTTCTTACCTCTTCTGCTGAACTCTATTTGCTTCTTTTCCCATACGTCTTTATCCAGAAGAGCTTTTAGCAACAAAGTTACCCAATGCCCTTCCCTAGTCTCTCCTTGCAACTGGCTCTCAGCAGGGGGTGGGAGGAAATTCTTGACAGAACCAATTGACATGACTGTTTTGGGGACTCTGGCTAGCCCCAGGAGGTGTTTGCACTTTTAAATTGGTTACTAGTGTCAGAATGTTTCATGAGTAAGAGCCCAGGCTCTATGTTGGTTGCCCTGAATTTGAATCTCAACATTGCCTCTTTGTATATAACCAGAGGATGGATTTGGGGACCCAATGGATCTACCATGACATGAACTTGCACCAACATTCACCTTACCTCCAAAATGCCTATTCTGACTAGTAGACCCTAGTCTCGCCCTAGTGCCAGTTCAGAGCCTGTGTCCAGTGATCCTGCACAGGTCTCATTAGTTCCTTTTCTCCTGTTCAGTCATCCTGGCGAAAGGCTGTGTATTCCCTTGGGGGCAGGTTGGGAGGAAGATTGACAGTATAAATTTTTGGCAGTGTAGCAGAGTCCTTTCTGGAGGGGACCTGGCTTCCCATTCAGACAAGGGAGTCCAGGTCTGTGAACTGGCTTATGTCTGGAAATTGACTGGGGACTGTGACTCTGTTTTTATGATTCAGATTAGACTTCTGCTCACTTGACCTAGAACTCTTCTGCAAACACAGATCAAGTGAAATGTGGCAGGCTTCTTATCTATTTCACTTCTAGGAAAGCCACGATCAGCAGGCACCATAGGTCGCTGCGAGTCGGGCTATTCTGGTTGCAGCTTTGACTCTGCTGTCTTTTATGATAACTGCATCCACCTTGCCTTTGGGGATTGAGTGTTCTGATCACTTGGCCCCAGCCCCCGTAGTGTGCGTATGTCACTTACCTTCTTTATACCTCAGTCTCCTCCTCTATAAAATGGGCATCCTCATTGCACCCACCCCCAGGGCTGCTGTGAGGTATAGATGGATTAGCATATGGAAAGTAATAGAAGAGGGTCTCAAAGTCCATGTGTCGTTATCAGAATTATTTCGTGACAGGGGAGAGCTGGAGGAGAGAGGAAGGTGCTGAGCAGACCCGAGTGCTCTCCCACCAGTGTTTCCTGAGCACCTACTATGTGCTGCCCACTGTGAGAGCTGTTAGGGTTGAAATAGGGAGCACAGCAGGGTAGGGGCTGCCATCAGGAGCTTAGTGGGGAGACCATTGTGCAACATGATTCCAGCCCTTGGGGTGGGGAAGCTCAGGGAGTTCAGGGGCTTAGGATCCAGGGCAGAATCATGGAAAGGACATAACCTCCCCAGCCTCTCCTGCCTCCATTGCCTCCCTGGCCTCCTCTGCTTCCCTGGCCTCTCCTACCTTCCTGGCTTCCCCTTCTGCCCCGGCCTCCCCAGTCTCCCCTGTCTCTCCTGCTTTTGAGGTGGGCCAGGAGCTGCTAGTGCTCACTTAGCCTGTCCTGGGCTCTTGGTGTAGCACCTCAATGTCCAGAAAATACCCCCGAGTTCAGCTCATCACACAGTCAAGGAAAGAGCTCCACACTGACACTAAGGGTGCATCCTGGGCTCATTCATCAGGGCATGCCTCCAAAATATTTCTCCACGTCTCCTCCCTTTGCCCACCTGCACTGTCTCTGTGCCTGAGCCCCGGCTGGGGGCCTGCAAGGATTCCCTATCTCCTCTGCCCCTGCACGGCTGGGTCCCAGGCAATCTTTCTGCCCACCACACCTTCCTCCCCTTGCCCACCACGCTCCATCCCCACAGTCCTCTTTCTGCTTCTTTCCCAGCCTCTGGGCTTTTGCACACGCTGTTCCCTCTGCCTGAACACCCTCCACTGGGCTGAGAACAACTCTCTGAGACCTCTCTCAGCTGTTGCTTCCTTTGGAACAGCCGCTGCTGCTGTCACTTTCCCAGTTCCAAGACCTGCTGAGCCTCCTGTCTTTTTCAGTTCCCATGCCCCCAGCCCTTCTCCTTGGCCTCCTTTGGCCGAGTTGACAATGTCCATTCTCAATGCCTTCCCACCCAGCGCTGAGCCCCACTGGGTGAAGGCAATGCCTGTCATGTTCACCACAATATCCCCTCCCCCATCACCACACCTGGTCCACAGTGATGCTCAAAAAAGATCTGTTGGTAGGCAATGGGAAAGTGCATTCATGTCATCCTGCAGGCGGAATTCTCCACGAGTTTTGAGCAGCCTCGGTTTTCCCACCCCCTCCAAATCATGGAAGAAACAGGGTAAGAGCAAAGACAAGGTGGCTGTGGCCTATGTCTACCCTCTCGG
The DNA here is from genome assembly GCF_000001405.40 of Homo sapiens. Classification (NCBI taxonomy): domain Eukaryota; kingdom Metazoa; phylum Chordata; class Mammalia; order Primates; family Hominidae; genus Homo; species Homo sapiens. The sequence goes on along the minus strand of NC_000008.11, from coordinate 12,659,715 downwards.
GGCGTCCCTTGTCTTCTCTCCTCCTTGGGCAGGGAGACCATCGGAGTGCAACCTGGCTGGGGCGGGGAGGAGGTGCAGGGCCTGGCCAGAGCGGGCCTGGCCACGGGCAAGGGACAGCGACCTCCTGGGCCAGGACAGGTGAGCGCGGCGCAGGCCCGGGCCCGGCGTGTCCGCGCTGCGCGGGAGAGGCCAGCAGAGGGCGCCAGAGAGCCAGGAGCGGCCCGCGGAGGAGCCCGCGCCCGCCCCGATGCCCAGCTCCGCGCCTCGCGGACCCAGCAAGCTCGCGCTCAGACGCCCCAGCTCCGCCGAGAGGACGCTCGCCCCGGGTGCTTCTTTTTCCCCAAGTGCAGGCAGAGCCCCTGGAGCCATGGCCAGCCCTTCCGGCAGCTCCGAAGCCACTGGCAAGCCCCGAGGCAGGGATGGCCGGCCCAGGAGGGAGGAGGACGACGTCCCTCCTGAAGAGAAGAGGCTGCGGCTGTTGCTGGAGGGGGGAAGAGCACAGCCCGAGGACTGCGAGGACGGGGAGGACGCGCTGCGGCCGGGCAAGGAGGACACCGGCACCCAGACAGGTGGCGACGGCAGAGGAGTAAGTGACGCGGGCGCGGGGGTCCGGGGGCGCGGAGGTGCCGGGGACGCGGGGTAGAGGCGGCGGGAGGCTCCGTGGCCGGTTCCGGGTTGAAGTTGGTTACTGAGCGGCAACTCCGGCGGCACGGAGTGACAGCTGGTGACGGCCTCCGAGACGCCAGCTGCCCCTTCTCGGCTGTGTGGCTTCGACTTCCTGATTCTCCCACGACGTCCCTGGCTGGGATACCCGCTGGACTCTGCAGCTGGCCAAAAGGGGAGGGGGAGCCCCGCGTCCTGGGGCCCCCAGCAGGGGAAGGGGCGGGGGTTGCCCTGGGCATCCTGTCTGGGGCATCTGTCTGGGACTCTGTCGGTGCCTCTCACCTGGCGAGGGGCCTGTGGTGGGGGCAGGGGGGAAGTCCCTGGTGCCAGGCTTGGCCAAGCCCTGCTCTGCTGGGCTGCGGGCTGGTGGCGCTCACCCAGCTCGTCACCTGTCCCGCATCTTCCTGTTTTTTTTTTCCCTTTCTAGTTGGGCAGCCAGAGTTGAGAGGAGGCAGATGGCTTCCATCCCAGAAATCGTTCTCTTTCCATCCCTACAGAGAGGGACAGAGAGGCAAAGTTCCTTGCATTCCCTGGGGCGCTGTCCCTATGAGCTCCCGGTGTCCTGCACACGTGGGCCCCTGAGTCACCGGGCCTGTGTGTGTGGGATGGTGCTCCGTGGCCAGCCTGGCCTCCTGGGGTTCACTTTCTGCTTTCCTACCCCAAATCTTCCTGTGTGGCTTTGCTGGCCTTCCACTGGGGAGGCACGTGAGTTTGGAGAGCAGATGAAGGCCAGCTGGAGAGCTGTACCCCTCAGTGACTGCTGCCACCTTGATGGTTTTTGATGGATAATGGGGTTGACCTCTTTGTTCCTTCCACATGTTTTTATGTTTGACCATTTACTTAACTGAGCTTGTCTTAATAATTGGATTCGTGGTTAATGAGCCCCACATGGGAGAGAGGGCGGCCTTCATTCTGAACCCATTTAGGCAGCATGGGCAGCCCTCCTCGCCGTGGGCTGCATCAGAGCCCCACCCTGCCCAGTCTTGGGGTTGCTCCCGGATGCTGCCTGGGAGGCTTTCTCATGGTGACATCCTCATCTCCCTGTGCTCGTTACTGCATTCAGAGCTTGGGTCACCTGGACACTGAACTCAGGTGAATTTTCTCTGAGATCCCAGGAGAAGGAGGACAGTTCTCTGGAAGGTTTTCCAGGGCCAATCACGGACAGGATAAGAAGGGAGAGGTCCTGATCGGGAACACAATTACGGTGGCAGTGTAACGCCGGGAAACTTTATTGCGTGAAGGCCCTCTCACTCCCTCTACCTCCTTCTTTTACGTGGACTCTGCCAAAGACCAGGATACTATAATGCAGTAAGGTGACCAAGCGTAGTGGGACCTTGGGAACACGAGTCTGGAGCCAGGCAGCTGGGGTTTGGATCCTGGTTCTGCCCCTCCTTCGCTGGCTGACATGGCACAAGCCACTTACCCTCTATGAGCCTTACTGTCTTCAGTGGCAAATGGATCGGTCTACAGACCCCAGTGCCTGCGGTTGTTACTGCTGAGATTAAGGGAAACTCGTCCATAGAAGCACTTAGCGTTGTGCCTGGCACATAGTGTATGGCGGATAAATGGGACTCAGGACTGAAACTCATGCCTTAGTGTGTTTTTGCAGTGATGTTTTGTTCTGGGGTGCATCACAAGAGACAAGGTCCTTGGCCGGGCGTGGTGGCTCAAGCCAATAATCCCAGCACTTTGAGAGGGTGAAGGGGGGATCGCTTGAGCCCAGCAGTTTAACACGAGCCAGGGCAACATGGTGAAGCCTCATATCTACCAAAAAACAAAACAAAACAAAACAAAACAAAACAAAACAAAAGCCAAGTATGGTGGTGTGTGCCTGTAGTCCCAAGTACTTTGGAGGCTGAGGTGGGAGGATTGCTAGAGCCTGGAAGGTCGGGCTGCAGTGAGCTGTGATCATGCCACTGCACTCCAGCCTGGGTGACAAAGTGGGATCCTGTTTCAAGGAAAAGACAGAGAGAGAGAGAGAGACAGACAGACCCACAAGAGTCTTAAGCCAGAATCTCCATGTTAAAATGCTTTCTGGAGGCTAAAAGGATGATATGTTGATAATGAAATATTTAAAAGACAGAAACCCCACTGAATTGTTTGGTCCACAGAGGGTAATGGGAATCGCATGACCTGAAGGATGATGGAGGAACTGAATAGAAACCATCCTTGTTTCCTGAATCTGAACATGGCACCCTCTTTTCACGGTGTCTGTATCTGCTCAGTCCAGTGGCCCCTTGAAAAGAGGGAATCTTGATTTTCAAACTTAAAATTTGGCCCAAAGCCCACTGCTGCCCACAATGCCCGCCAGACACATTCCTCTTCCTTTTTAGTTTCTATGGAAATACTCTTTCTGAAGAACCCATGAAGCAGTGTCAGGCTGGTACGAGGATCAGCAGTGATTTCTTTGAGGACAAGAGCCAGTTTCTTCACTCACAGGCCATGTCTGAGTGGATCAAGAAGAACAGAGTGCCCTTTTATGAGATTTTGTCTGCGTAGACCACTAGCTTGGTAAAAATGCCAAAACCATCCTCGTTCTTTAATATCAGATTATTTTGGACTTTTCTCTATAAGAAGCAGCATGGGCATTCAGATGCTTTTAAGGATAAAATGTTCTTTCTCATCACCAGGCCTGGTGCTCTGGATGGCTGAGGTTTTAATGTGACTTGGTGTCCCTTGGAGTGGCTCCCAGGCTGTGCTCTTGTGGTTGGGTGGCAAGGGGTTTCTTTATTCGGTGGTGGCTAGAGGATGTTTTAGCAGATAAATCGGGACCCCAGGAGCCCCTGTGTTGCAAGTCCTGCTGCAGGGCATGTGTTTATAGTGGGGATGTGGGGAGGTGGAGGGTGGGGTGCATTGATTTCCTGCCAATATCAGAAGTTTCACAGGCTTCTTGTGTATCCACAAACACCGACCCCATTGAGAAGGCCTAGAAAACCTGGCCCTCCCCAAGCCTTTATTGACAACTTGTGAATGATCCCAGGGTGTGTCTGACCCACAGCTCCTCCTGGAGGGAGAGCAAAGTCTCTCCTAGGTATTTGGTTATCAACCTCAACCACTTGCTGAGCCTTCCCCAAGACCAGGCATCTTGTCAGAGATTTCTGGGTTGTCAGGCAGAACCGAGCATTCGAGGATAATAACTCACTGGAGTCCCTGAAATCCTTGATGGACGCACCAGTTGAAAGCATCCAGGGTTGAAACCAGATCAGGAAGGTTATTCTCATCTTGGGGCTCCTGCAGAGGGATTCCTGCAGAGGTGCATCCACGTTGCAGGGATTTTCCTTCTTGCTGAGGAGAAATCTGGGTTTCTCCGCTTTGGCACAGTCACAACATTTGGGGTCAGACCATTCATGGTGGTGGTGGTGGTGGGGAGGCTGTCCTGTGTATTGTAAGATGGTTAGCAGCATCTGTGGTCTCCATCCTCTAGGTACCATTTTACCCTCCCAGTTATGGCTACTCCAGATGTCTCCAGATGGTTTCAAATGCCGTGGAGCAAGGGAGTTGTACGTGAGCCAAACCACTCCAGTTGAGAGCCATTGGTCTACACTTGTGGAAATGTTTGAGGGTGAGAGTGTCAAGCTTGGGTCCCTGCTGTACTCTTTATCAGCAATGCAGTCTTGGAAAATTAATACAACTCCAGGGGCCTCAGGTTTCTCATCTATGAAATGGAGATAAATGAGATACACTTTCATAGGAAGGTTACATGGGATTTACTGAGATAATAAGACAGTACATTGAAAATGCTGGGCATAGCATTTATTTATCTTTATTTTGTTTTTAAGATGGAGTCTTACTCTGTTGCCCAGCCTGGAGTGCAGTGGCATGATCTCCGCTCACTGCAACCTCCACCTCCTGGGCTCAAGTGATTCTCGTGCCTCAGCCTCCCAAGTAGCTGGGAGTACAGTTGCCCACCACCACACCTGGCTAATTTTTGTATTTTTAGTAGAGATGTGGTTTCACCATGTTGGCCAGGCTGGCCTCAATCTCCTGACCTAAGGTGATCCACCCAGCTCGGCCTCCCAAGGTGCTGAGATCACATGTGTGAGCCACCACCCTGGGCTGGGCATAGCATTGTAACACAGACAAATCACAAAATACTTGGGCAATATCTTTCTACATTTGGGTTGTCTAGACTCCATCCTCCATCCCCTCATGTACTGGTGTGGTGCAGAGCAGAATGTCACCCACCTAGACTGCAGAGTGGATTTGGGTGGCATCTTGGCTTTCTGCACAAGACTTGCCTGTTCCCCACCATGTCCCCCTGGTTCTCAGGGTCCAGGATTCCAGGAAGCAGGGATGTGGGCAGGAAGGGCAGGTGGCCCACCCGGTTCACTCCCACGCTGGGGACCTGCAGAGCCAGCTCCCTGAGACAGGGTGTTTGGACCAACATCTGGGTTTCTGGATTTCCATTTGAGCACAGCTGGACTACACAGGCTGAAGCTCTCTCTGCCGAGATATAGATATTTCCCTGGTGATGATCTTTCAAGCTGACATGAAGACATGGCCACCTGCTGGAACGTGTTGTGTCTGCTGTGGCGCTCTTGTAATTTGTGAGGCAGGCTCCTGAGGAATGCAGTGCGTAAGTGGGAAATGGTGGGAAGTTCTAGCATCCTCCCCTGGCCAAAAGTGCTGCCTGCACAGGTTGGTGGATGGTCCTTCGAGCAGGAAGAAGACATGAAACACATTCCTGTTAGCTACGACAGAGAGGGGCAGGGTACACACTGGACATTTCGAGCCCATCCAGAGAAGCAAGTCTTACTATGTTGGGAGTACTTTGGAATGGGGGCTGTGTTGCCCTGGGCTTTAATTATTTCAGGAACATTTAACCCCAGGGTTGGCAGGCTGGATCTTGATATGTGTTTCTCAGTTGGAAAGACTTTGGACCATATGGAGATGTCTTCTCAATTCTTTTAATTTCAGTAAGGTTGTCATTTTTCTTCTTGTGGCCTCTGGAATGTGACACAGAACTCAAGGGACAGGAAGGAGATGATTTGGAGGCTGGGACAGGGGTCCCTGCCAGGGATGCTGGTGACTCACGTGACGGTGTTGATGTGTGGAGTCCGGTGCCTGGTTTGGGGAATGTTCGTGGGATATGTTCCAAAGGACTGACGGACCTATCTGGTACTGGAGGTGAATGGTCAGGTCTGATCTCAGGGCTGTTAGTGTCAGGCAAGGACAGGAAGTTGACGTTGGACTCATTGGCTGAGGTTGCTTGGGACCCAGGGGGCAATGTGTGCCAGGACAGATGGGTCTGGGGCTAGGAAGGCAGATTTGGGCTGGAGACTCGGGCTTGGGAGGCATCCCAGGTAGACAGTGGTTGAGGCTGTGGAAATGACCGCGATTGCCTGGGATGAGAGTGGAGACAGACAAGATGGGGGTTTTGCTTTAAGCCTGGGGAGCCCACCTCCCAGGTTCAAGCGATTCTCCTGCTTCAGCCTCCCAAGTAGCTGGGAATGCACGTGCATGCCACCATGCCTGACTAACTTTTGTATTTTTAGTAGAGATGAGGTTTGGCCAGGCTGGTCTCAAACTTCTGACTTCAAGTGATCGGCCCACCTTGGCCTCCCAAAGTGCTGGGATTACAGGCATGAGCCACCATGCCTGACCATTTTTAAATATTAATTTTTATGAAATATTTTCAAGCACATTTTACTATACATTGGAAAAGTCAATCATGATTTGAAAACTTCATCAAAATCCAATCAAATGTCAATTAACCATTTAATTGTGGATAGGTAAGGAGACTATTTTGACCAAAACATATTAGAACAATTAACACTTATAGAAATAATCTATGTTTTAATGTTTTAGTTGAATTAAACCATCTTTTATATTCTGGCCGGGCACAGTGGCTTACACTTGTAATCCCAGCACTTTGGGAGGCCGAGGCTGGCAGATCACCCAAGGTCAGTAGTTCGAGAGCAGCCTGGTCAACATGGCGAAACTGTCTCTACTTAAAATACAGAAATTAGCCAGGCGTGATGGCATACACCTGTAATCCCAGCTACTTGGGAAGCTGAGGTAGGAGAATCATTTGAATCTGGGAGACAGAGGTTGCAGTCAGCCGAGATCGCACCACTGTACTTCAGCCAGCCTGGGTGACAGAGCGAGACTCTGTTTCAAAAATAAATAAATAAATAAAATAGAATTCTGAATTTTATTTTTAATAATTATTTTTGTAAAGAGAATGTCTTGTTTTTTGGAGTTGTTGAATTTATTGAATTGGCAAAAATTATGTACAAAAGGGTATACAACATGATGTGATTGAAGTATGTGTACATTATGAAATGGCTAAATCAAGGTAAATAACATATCACCTCCAAGACTTATTTTTTTGTGGTGAGAACACTTAAAAAATCTACTCTCTTAGTGATTTCCAAGTGTATGATATGTTGTTATTAACTATAGGTACCATGTTGTCCCACGGATCTCCTGAACTTATTCTTCTCTAAAAATGACATTCTGTGTCCTTTGGCATCTGCCCACTTCCCCACTCTGGCAACCATCATTCTACTACACTTCTATGAATTCAACTTTTTTCTTTTCTTTTTCTTTCTTTTTTTTGAGACAATCTCCTTCTATTGCCCAGGCTGTAGTGCAGGGGTGTGATCTTGGCTCACTGCAGCCTTGACGTCCCAAGTTCAATCAATCCTCCCACCTCAGCCTCCTGAGTATCTGGGAGTACAGGCATGCACTACCATGCTCCAATAATTTTTGTATTTTTTGTAGAGATGGGCTATTGCTATGTTATGCAGGCTGGTCTCGAACTGCTGTGCTCAAGCAATGTACCAGCCTCAACTTCCCAAAGTGCTGGGATTACAGGCATGAGCCACCATGCCTGGCTGAGTTCAACTTTTTTAGATTCCACATGTAAGTGAGATAATGTGGTATTTGTTGTTCTGTGCCTGGCTTATTTCACTTAACATAATATCCTGCAGGCTCATCCATGTTGTCTCAAATGGCAGGATTTCCTTCTTTTTGAAGGCTGAATAGTATTCCATTGTGTACATACACCACATTGTTGCTGGAAGTTTAATGGAGGCCAGTTGGGGGAGGAGGGGGAGAAGATTCACTCTAAGTCTAGATGCTCCAGCACCCACCCAGGATGTGTGCAAGGAAGTGCAGGATGCTCCTGGTCTTGCAAACTGTGGTTTGTGGGACTCCAAAGCCCCTATCCTTCCACGATGCTTTCTGTCCTGTTATCACATTTCCTTGGAGGAGAACCCAGCCTTGGTGGAGAGCTCTGCTCTGTCTTTGTCCCTCGGCATGAGATGGCAAAGGATGGTGCCGCTGGGAGACCCTCACGTCTGCATACTGGGGGCTGTTTGCCTTCTCCATTCCTCCTTCAAGTATCTGAGCAGCTCCTGTGTGCCAGCTGCTGGTCTACAAGACGGATCGGTCCTTGGAGATCACGCTGTAGCAGAGGAGGCAGGCTGTAGCCCACAGGCCAGAACCAGCTCCCTGCCTGTTCATACATATAAAGTTTTATTGGAACACAGCCACACCCATTTCAGTGCATATTGTCTGTGGCTGCTTTCCTGCTACAATGGAGAGTTGGAGAGTTGGGACAGAGACCTATGGCCTGCAAAGCTGAACTATTTACCATCTGGCTCTCAAGAAAAAGGAAAAAAAAATGCTTATCTTTGTACCCCGACAGTCTTAGATTAAGAGGACTTTGTACCACCCTGACGTTACAGGCGGCCATGAGTCCAGCCACCCCTGAAATGTACACACGTCTGGGCTGGGGTTGCAGCAGGTGAGTCCCAATTTTGCAGATCTTTGGTATCAGGAGCACAACCCAGGATTTTGAGTGGGGTTTCCTCATCACTGTGGCTGGGCACTGGGCTAGTGTGCTTTCTGATTTTTGTATGGGGAAGAGAAAGGAGGGAGGAAATGGCAACTTGTTGCCCTGTTCTAACATTTTCCTAAGATGGGTCTCCAGGTAAGGGCTTGGGATCTCACCTTGCACAGCTTACAAAACCCAGTGAGGCCGGCTGTCTTGGCGCTGCCACTCTGAGTGATGGAGCCCCTAAATGACTAGGAAGGGAGATAAAAGAATGGTTTCTGCAAGCTCAAGAACTGGCGTTATTGAAATTAACATTTCCCCCAAGTTTTACAATGTCTAGGCACGCATATTTAAGTGTCTGCCTCAAAAGCTCATGCTAATAACGAGATGGTGCATTTCATTTCCTTTTTTTGTTCTCTGAGCAACATGCAGCTTCCTGCACAGCCCTCCTTGCAGGCAACTGCACTGAGGTGACAGTCCTCCTGGCTGCCAGCAAAGATCCCCAGGACCTCTGAGAGCCCTGTATTCTGGGGGCAGCCTTTCCCCCTTCTATTTGGCCCCAGCTGGAAGGGGGCAGATTACCCACATCACAGCACAGGTCTCCCGCCTTAGCTTCTGTAGGGAGTCTGGCTCCCTCTGACCCTCTAGACCTCACTAGCTGAGGATCAGAGCCCCGGGGCAGGAGCCAGGGCCAGGGGGCATTGGGGGGTGGTTTGAGAGTGCAGCTCTGGAGGGGGGCAGGGCGGGCCAAGGAAAAGCTGCTCAGGGGAGACTGCAAAGAGATGGCAGAGTTAGGACAAGAGGGCCAGGCATGGTGGCTCACACCTGTAATCCCAGCACTTTGGGAGGCCGAGGTGGGCGGATGGCCTGAGGCCAGGAGTTTGAGACTAGCCTGGCCTACATGGTGAAAACCTGTCTCTACTAAAAATACAATAATTAGCCGGACATGGTGACACCTATAATACCAGCTACTCGGGAAGCTGAGCCATGAGAATTGCTTGAACCCGGAAGGTGGAGGTTGCAGTGAGCTGAGATTGTGCCACTGTACTCCAGCCTGGGCAACAGAGCAAGATTCCGTCTCAAAAAAAAAAAAAAAAGTCAGGACAAAAGGAGGAGGGAAGAGAAGGGAGCTGTGGGTCAGCGGCCAGGACCTTAAAGGCACAGAAGAGGAAGCTTGGATTTCCAATTCCAAAGGACATGAAGTCACGCACCTTTATTTAACCTGCTCCAGGTGAGGCTGGGCTTTGTGTATTTTCCTTGTTTTCCTTTTCCTTGTGTTCAGGCTGTTGTAGAAAGAGGTACACAGGGGCTCTGTGTGGTGCCCTGTTCTGGTGGCCTTCAGGAAGCATGGGATGCCCTGGTTTCCTTGGCTTCGTGTCCCCCTTTCCTCCTGCTACCCCTGACTGTGCACCCCACCTTATACCTCAGACCATCCTCCTGAAGGGGCCTGGCCAGGGCTTGTGTCCTTGCTAGTCTCTAGGAAGGAAGACTCTGTGGCTTGAAAGCTTGTTGGCTTAAGCTGCAAGGTGTAGGTGCCTGGGAGGGCATGTGAACGGCCCTTTGACTGATCCATTCATGTTTTTCTTTTTTGACTCTGTTCTATGTTGTCCTGACGGAGGGGTAAGCCCCTGCCTTCTGCCTTTCCTGCCTTGGACTCTTGCAATTGGACCAGATGAGAGGGTCCATGTGGTCTGAGAATTCAAGCAATGTAGGCCAGGCATGGTGGCTCACACCTGTGATCTCAGCACTTTTGGAGGCCAAGGCGGGTGGGCCAGGAGTTTGAGACCAGCTTGGCCAAAATAGTGAAACCCTGTCTCTACAAAAAATACAAAAGTTAGCCAGGCTTGGTGGTGCGCACCTGTAATCCTAGTTATTTGGGAGGCTGAGGCAAGAGAATCACTGGAACCCAGAAGGAGTAAGCCGCAATGAGGAGCAGGTTGCAGTGAGGAGGAGGTTGCGGTGAGGAGGAGGTTGCGGTGAGGAGGAGGTTGCAGTGAGGAGGAGGTTGCAGTGGGCCGAGATTGTGTCCCTGGACTCCAGACTGGGCAATAGAGGGAGACTATGTTTCCAAAAAAAAAAAAAAATTATATAGAAAACAAAAAACTAAACATCCTCTTGACTTGCTTTTCTTGATCTTGCTTCTCAGAGGTAACACTGGGAAGGGTTGGGGTATACCTCTCCACAGCTTTTTCTTTGATTTCTGTTTACTTTTTATTCTACGTTCTGAGATACATGTGCAGAACGTGCAGGTTTGTTACATAGATATACATGTGCCATGGTGGTTTGCTGCACCTATCAACCCGTCATCTTTGTTTTAAGCCCCGCATGCATTAGGTATTTGACCTAACGCTCCCCCTCGCCTTGTCCCCCACCCCCGACAGGCCCCGGTGTGTGATGTTCCCCTCCCTGTGTCCATGTGTTCTCATTGTTCAACTCCCACTTATGAGTGAGAACCCGCAGAGTTTGGTTTTCTGTTCCTGTCCACACCTTTTTCCTCTGTGCACGCAAGCACATGTATTTGCACATAAGTGTTTATTGTAACTTTTTTAAAAAGTAAAATGGAATAATGCCGTATTTATTCTTTGGAAAGCCTGCTTTTCAGGCAGCATGTCTTTGACATTGTCTCACGTTGGAACCTGGGAACCACCTTCTTTTCCCAGCAGTTATTCTGACGTGTGGATGCACCTTGCTTCGTTTAACCAGCCCTGCACCGATACTTCTTTGGATGGTTTCCGCCTTTTCCCAATCACAGACGGTGTTCTGATGAATTTCCTTACACACATCACTTGGTGCTGTGTCTGCATTTCTGTGAGATGTTCCTGGAGGTGGGCTGTCTAGGTCAGAGGGGTATCTGTGCTTAATTTGCATCCTGTGCAAAATTCCATCCAGTCATCCAGCTCCCCAAGGGCTCACATGGTACTGTCCTCTGTAGACATCATCTTCTGCAGATGATGGCACGACCGCCTCTCTTTCTTTTACTCACACCAGTCTGCACCCTGGTGTCCTGGGGGGTCCAGCCCCTACCTGCTTGTCTGCCCCCACCCCACAGTCCCCCCAGCCCCTGCTAACAGGGACTCTGGCTTCTGAGCTCTGGCAGACTGCCTCACTCTGGAGAAGTTTGCTTTCTCAAACATTCCTGGCAATGTTACTGCAAATCTCGAGGCCTGCATTTGCCGCCTTCAGGCCTCAGTTTCCTCAAAAGTAAAATGGGGATAATGTGATGCTACTGTCTGCATCCTAGAGCTGCCATGAGGGTTCAGTGAGATCACTGTTGAGAGCACGTTCACAGTGCCGGCCTTGTGCGCAGTCAGCACGTGTGGGGCAGGGCTGTTGCTGATAGGTGGTTGACTGTCATTGCTAGACTGTGGCTTTACCAGGGGCATTGTCTTTAGTGCCGAGCCCAGAGCCACCCCTAGTACCTGCTGTGTTTATAGAGTGATTGAGTGTCAGGGTCAGAGACTGGGGCAATGGCAGCAGAAACAGAGGAAAGAAGTGGGGCTTCTAATAGTTCCTGCACTAGTGGCTTTTGAGATGAAGCCTTCTTGCCAAGGTCTGGGGCTGTGCTGTGTGTTCTAGGCCCGAGACTGGAAGCTAGGCCTGGCTGCAGTCCCAGCTGACCTGGGGAAGTGCAGGTCAGCATCCTGCTTCACTAGGACACCTCCAAGCCCAGCTTAGACCTGGATGCCAGGTGACCCTCTGTTTACTCTGAGCCCAGACAGAGGACAGGGAAATGTGCAAGGGTGGGGACCCTCATCACAGCCCTTGACTCTGTAAGGCATATGGGTTTGTGCACGTGTGTGAGCACGGCCGTGGCTTTTCTGTGAGTTTCAAGCTCGAGGTTGTGTTTATGCAGGGTTAGGCTTGCCAGGTAAAATACAGGAAGTCCAATTAAACCTGAATTTCTCATTAACCTTTTTTTTTTTTTTTTTTTTTTTTTTTTTTTTTTGTGCAAATATATCCCATGCAATATTTGGGACCTGCTTACCCTAAAAAATGATTTGTTGTTTATCTGAAATTCAAGTTAAACTGGCATCCTGTCTTTTCACTTGCTACGTATGAGAGTTCCGTGTGGGGGTTATCAGTGTGCATTTGTGAGTTCCCATGTGAAGGACTCTCTCCAAGTGTCTGTAGGTGCCAGGATGGAGATGGACAGAGAAGATCCTCTCGGGCTGCTTTAGTGGCACCTAGAGGCTGTGGGGTTGGACACCTCAGCCCAGGGGCCTAGGCAGCACTGCCCAGCACCTGTGTGCTCCTGTCTTCTTCATGGGGGCTGACTTCCCTGCCATCTCTGTCCAAATACGGTGGCAAGAGCTATCCCATCCGCCCCCATCTTGAGCTCGGCTGCCCAGCCAGACAAGATGGCAAACAGTGTGCAGATGGCTGCAAAGCTTTCCCCAGCTCCTTCTGCACGGGGCCTGCAGATGAAATGGAAGCCCTCATCCTCACCGCCTCCCCCTTCCAGAAAACCCAGGCAACAGTCACCTCTGAATGCTGCTTTAGAAGCTTCTCCCTCCTGGTGATTAAACCACCACAAACAAATAAAGCACTGCATTTCCACCATAGGCTTGTTCACATGCACGCAGCCAGTTGTCTTGGATCCGCCCCTGTGCCTGATTCATCAGGGTGAGGGGTTCTCCTCTGAGGTGCTTGCAAAGAGCTTCTTAATTTTCATCTGAAAGGGCTTTGGAAGAAAGCCCTTTCTCCCCCTTTAGCAAATTCTGTGTCATTCTTTTTTTTTTTCTTTCTTTTTGAGACGGAGTTTCACTTTTGCTGCCCAGGCTGGAGTGCAATAGTGCAATCTCGGTTCACTGCAGTCTCTGCCTCCCTGGTTCAAGCGATTCTCCTGCCTCAGCCTCCTGAGTAGCTGGGACTACAGGCACCCACAACCATACCTGGCTAATTTTTTTGTATTTTTAGTAGAGAGGGAGTTTCACCATGTTGGCCAGGCTGGTCTCGAACTCCTGACCTCAGGTGATCTACCTCGGCCTCCCAAAGTGCTGGGATTACAGATGTGAGCCACCATGACTGGCCGGAATTCTGTGTCATTCTGGATACTTATCGTGACTTCAAGCATCCAGGACTCTGTCCTGGGTATCCTGAGCCTGAGGCTGTATGGCTTGGAGGTTGTCTACAGGCAGGTTGAACTTGGCCTCTGAGTCCATGGCAGCCTCACATGGGAAATACCACCAAGGAGCTTCATCCTGTGCTTTTAGGAGATAGTTTCTATTTAGTCATTGCTGAATCTGTTACAGACAGTGTCTCAGTTTCTTGCAAGTCCTGTTTGAGGTGGGTGCTGTGATTATCCACATGTTCACTTGTTCTTTCTGGCCTCTTTCAGGCTCTTGCACTTCCTTTGCTCTTTTCCTGCGACGGGGCCTTTGCACATCCTGCTTTTTCTGCCTGGAACGATTTTCCCTCTCCCTACCTGTTCACCTGATCATGGTCTCATCTGACAGTGGAGTCACTACATCCTCAGGGACACCTGGCCACACTGACTCAGTCACAGCAACCCCCTGTTAACTACTTTCATGACACCAGATGTCATGAGCTCAGCTATGGCTTCCTATTTCTGTGCGTGTCATCCTTCCCCTTCAAGACTGTGGTCACCATGACGGCCAGGGCCATGCCTGTTCCTGATTCTCATTTGTGTCTCTGATGTTTAGTATATGCTTACCTAGAATTTGATTAATGAATGACGGCATACCCATTTTACAGATGAGAAAGTTGAGGCTCAGGGACATTATGTAACTTGCTCAGTATTAGATAGTGATGGTTAGAAGCCATCTGGCTGGTCGCTGGGTGCACACTCTTAACCACTTCACTGTGGTTCTTCTCTCATGGTAGTCCTCCAACAGCAGGAGTGAGAGACAACTTTAGGACAGGTGTAACCAGAATCCCAGGGGTTATCCTAGAAGGTGGTGTCAGGAACATGCTTGCCTATGGGCCTTCTTACTGTATTGCATAAAATACCCCGTGTTTCTGACTCGCCTTTAGTAAAGACCTTAGCAATATTTGAAGCACAGTTCTCAGTAGGAAAGGGTGGGTGTTTATACTTTTTTAAAAAGGAGTCTATATCATATTTATCTTGTGGTCTGCCATGCCCCCCGATCTTCCTCAGCTTCAGTTATGCAAAATTAACACTTCTTCTCTTGACTGCCTCTCTCTTATCTGTTCAGGTTCTTTTCTGTGTTCGAGATTGCTTAGAATTTTTCCCCATTACTACAGCCTGCTTCCCACCTTTATCCCCCAGACAGCTTGTTCTGGATTTTGTCAACAACAGTTCCAGGGTTTAGTGAGGGCTGGACTGAAGGAAAGCCTTGGAAAAGGCTGTGTGATGAATGGTGAAGACACGTAATGGGCAGGCAGTCATCAGGGTTAATTCAAAGGCTGGAAGAAGGGCTGACCTGGAGGACTGGAAATGTCTTTGAGCTGAAGGTCATGTGCAGGTGGAACGAAGAGGGTGAGCATTTTGGGGTGAACTGCAAGCATTTGATAAGATCCCTGTCCCCATGGTTGGGGAAGTCTTGATAAGCATCCTCAATATGATGGAGGGATCAAGGAACCCGTGGCTCTACCTGTCCAGCATGGCAGCAACATGGCACAGCCAAGTTATTGATTATTGGTTGCCCAGCTGTCATCACTCAACATCTTCTGTTAGTTATAGCTGTAATTTGCATTAGTTGTCAGTGCCAGTTCTGACTTTCCTAGTCAATAAAGTGTTCTGAGAGTGGCGACTAAGGCTGAGCACTACCCATAATCATGAGTATTACAGAGGTAAGCCGCCTTGCCCACCTACCTGCAGGTGATGACACACCCTAGGAAATCACTCAGTTCTTTGGAGGACCCTGAATAAATGCTCAAGTCCATTTGTTCATCTGTCCATCCATCCATCCACCATTCCATCCATCCATGCATCCATCCATGCATGCATCCATCCATCCATCCATCCATCCATCCAGACACGCATACATCCATCCACCCACCTACCTATCTATCCACCCACCCACCCATCTATCCATCCAACCCACTCTCTTATGCACCCAGCTATCATCCACCTACCCACCCACCAACCCATCTATCCATCCACTCACCCATGCCTCTATCCACCTATTCACTCATCTACCCATCTATCCACCCACCGGTCCATCCATTTATCTATCCCTCCACCCCCTCACCCACTCATCCATTTCTCCACCCACTCAGCCATCCCTTCACCGAGTCAACCATCCATTCATTCATCCATCTGCCCACCCACCCATCTTTCCATCCACCCATCTATCCACCTACCCACCTATGTATCCATCCACTGCTTGTCCTTCTGTTCATTTATTCCACAAAGACTCATTAACCACCTACTAGATTCTGGGGAGGTATCTGTTCTAGTAATTGAGAACATGGTTTCTGGAATCTGATTCCCTGGGCTCAAATTGAGCAGCCTCCTAGCTAGCTGCTTGGGTAAGTTATAGAAACCGTGCTTTGATTTTCTTATCTGAAAATTGGCTATTAATAGCTTCTACTCTTGCAGATATAGTGAGGATTAAATAAGATGTCACATTAAAAGTGCATCATCGACACTCAATAGAGATTAGGTTTTACCATTCATTATTATTCTTGACAGATGCTGCAGATAACGTGGAGAGCATACGAAAGACACATGTTTGAACCAGTAGTGACATACAGGTGCTACGTTCTGCAGTAGGGGAAGGGCAGAGAGCCATGGAGAGGGCCTGGCCCAATCTTGGAGCCTCAGAAAAAAGTTCCCCGTTGAATTGCTGTTTTAGCTGAGACTTGTGGGATGGGTAGTAGTTGGAGATCCCAGACAGGAGGTGACCGAGTTAGCCAGGGAAAAATTGGGTCCTGGCACCCATGGCAGAGTTGAGTGATCCAGTCCTTCTGTCTCCTCTGGCTGGAAGTCCACCAGATCTGGGAATGTCCAGCTGGGGCAGGGGGCTGACAATGATCATGACCTTCACCTGTCCTCACATGTCCTCTGCCTCAGTCTCCTCTTCTGGAAAGTGGGATTGGAAACCACATCTGCTTCTCTCCCAGGACTGCTAGGAAGACAAGATTAGATGGCAGGTGAGAGCTCTTTGAAAATGAAAACATTCTGCTATTTGAATGCAAAGTGTTCTTCTTTGCCTGTGATGTTTCCTAATCTGTGAAATCATACTGGACCTCGAAGCTGTGTGTTAAAAAAAAAATAGCAAAGTGGCTGGGCATGGTGGCTCATGCCTGTAATCCTAGCACTTTGAGAGGCTGAGGGGGGTGGATCACTTGAGGCCAGGAGTTCGATACCAGCCTGGCCAATATGTGAAACCCCATCTCTACTAAAAATACAAAAATTTGCCAGGTGTGGTGGCGTCTACCTGTAGTCCCAGCTACTCGGGAGGCTGAGGCACAAGAATCATTTGAACTCAGGAGGCAGAGGTTGCAGTGAGCCGAGATGGTGGCACCACTACGCTCCAGCCTGGGCGACAGAGCAAGGCTCTGTCTGAAAACAGAAAAAAAAAAAAAAAAAAAAAAAAAAAAAAAAAGCAAAGTTAACACTTCCTCCATCTCTCCCCTAGGGGAGGCAATTTGTCAAAAATTGTTGTTGGATTTTACACACAGGGAAATCTAAGGAAGGTGTGGAAACCAGATCAGGAATCCAGACTCTCGTCTCTCTGTTTACAGGGTCTTAAATGGGGGAGCCACTTTGGGTTCTTTCCACAAGATTGCTTTGTAAAAAAAAACAAGAAACAAACAAACAAACAAAATACTCAAAAAAACAGCCCTGACCTAAATATTCACAAGGGACCTTAGGCAATATCTGCAAACAAAAGCGAGTGATGAGTGGAATCTGTCGTCTTTACAACTAAGACAGCTCCAGAGTTGAAGCAAGTGGAAACATCTCTAGAGACAGAGATTTGGGTGGGTTTTGCCAGTTAAAAGCTATGAGAACCTGGGCAGGTTTACCTCTCTGAGCTTCTGTGACCTTGTAAAATAGGCTGCATTGCGCTAAATGTGCAGGAGGAATCCCAGCATCCTCCTGTGCACAAGGCTGGTTTCTTCCCATCCTTTTCCTTGTTCTGCCTCTCTCCTCCTCTCAGAGACGAATACATTTGGGCCCAGTAGGGGCCTATGTTTGCAAAAGCTCGCAGGTGATTCTCATGCAGCCAGCCTGGCTCTGGCACTGAGTTCTTGGACACTTCTGGAGGCACATTTACTAGTGAGGAAGATCACTGTGTGCTGAAGGCATGATTCATCTTCCATTCCTTTCTTCCATGAAACAAGGCGCATGGGTCGACTGAGCTGGGAGAGTCCACGGTGTCAGCCTCCCCCATGCTTCCCTCCCTCCCTATTCCTTGTGTGCTGTACGTTGTCTTGATTTCCTGTACTCTGCACCAAGCCAGGAGATGGTAAGATCTCAAAAAAATCATTTTTTTGGGAAATGGGATCAAGAGGGTTTTGGTTTGCTTGTTTGTTTGAGACAGGGTCTGTCTCCCAGGCTGGAGTGCAGTGTCATGACCTTGCTCACTGCAGCCTTGACCTTCTGGGCTCAGGTGATCCTCCCTCCTCAGCCTCCTGAGTAGCTGGGACTGCAGGTGCACACCACCATGCCTGACTAATTTGTCTATTTTTTGTAGAGATGAGGATTCACCATGTTGCCTAGGCTGGTCTCAAACTCCTGGGCTCAAGCAGTCCTCCATCCACCTCGGCCTCCCAAAGTACTGAGATTACAGGCATGAGCTGCTGTGCCTGGCCAAGGTTTTTTATTCATTATGAAAAATTTTCAATATACATAAAAGTAGAGAGACTAGTTTAATGAGCTATCATATACCCATCACATAGGTTTAAAAACTATTAACATTTGCAATGTTTGCTCCATTTGTTTTTCTGAAGTATTTAAAAAATAGTTTACAGTAGTTATGTAATTACATCCTGATATTCACCCCTATGTAATTTACTTTCCCTCTAAAAACATGAGGGCATTTTTTATATGATCATTGTCATACCTAATCAAATTACCAGTAATTCCTTAATATCCTCTAAGATCAAGTTTACATTCAGATGTCTTGTCCTCAAAATGTCAACTGTGATTATTTTTTTCTTTGAGCAAAGATAATAAGATCTCAAGATTTAATGACAGAGATTCCATGTTAGCCCTGATGTCTAACCTCTGTGGTCCATTGTGGATTTACTTGAAAGCCTGAGGCTAGGCGTGGTGGCTCACATCTGTAATCCCAGCACTTTGGGAGGCCAAGGTAGGTGGAACATGAGGGCAAGAGATCAAGACCATCCTGACTAACATGGTGAAACCCTGTCTCTATTAAAAATACAAAAATTAGCCAGGTGTGGCGGCGGGTGCCTATAGTCCCAGCTACTCGGGAGGCTGAGGCAGGAGAATCACTTGAACCCGGGAGGCAGAAGTTGCAGTGAGCTGAGACTGCACCACTGGACGCTAGCCTGGGTGGCAAGAACGAGACTCTGGAAAAAAAAAAATAAACTCTCTCACTGTGGTCTCATAATAAAAGGACACTCCATTTCCTTTCTGGCCCCTCCTCCTTAATGTTAGCCCCCTCCTGTGGGGAGGAGGGGATGACTTTCAGCGCAGGTTCAAACAATCCCAGGGCTGGCTCTGATCCCGATAAAACCCATCGACATGAATGAATGCTTCCCTTGCAAGTTATTGAAAGTATTGTAAATAGTGCACGTGGAGTGTCCTCATGATGCCTGGAATGGTAGTGA
Source organism: Homo sapiens (assembly GCF_000001405.40). Lineage (NCBI taxonomy): Eukaryota > Metazoa > Chordata > Mammalia > Primates > Hominidae > Homo > Homo sapiens. The sequence continues at coordinate 12,640,541 of NC_000008.11, read as the reverse complement.
ATATTTATAGGTTTCTTTTAGTGCCTTTTTTTTTTTTTTTAGTGTTTTCTATAGTTCCATGTTTCTACAACCCTTAGGAACATCAGAATCATGTGTGTGTGGGTGCTTATTAAATACACCAGTTCCTGGAGCTCACTCCCAGTGACTGCCAGTCTGATGATTAGGGTCTCAGCTAGGACCTAGGTTTGCAAAAGCTCCCAGCTGATCTCATGCAGCCAGCCTGGCTCTGGCTCTGGCGCTGGGAGCTGGGTTGGGAACTAGTCTTTGGTGCTATTCTGCTGATACTTCAAGTTGGGCTCTTTGACTCTGTCTTGTATTGTCATCACTTGTATTCAGGTCTGTTCTTCCCCTGGATTGTAAACTCCTTGATGTCTGGGTCATCTCAGCTCATGATCTGAGCTTTCAGTGGGTGCTCAGTGGAACAGGTGCTGAATGGAGTCAGGCTCTAGGGAGACCAGCGTGTGTTGTTAAGTGAGAGACAAAAATCATTTTAAAAAGAATCTTTTTGCCCTTCAGTTGTGTTTGCCATGAGTTAATGTGATTTACTCTAGTGGAAGCCAGTGCAGCTTAAGTGGAGGTCTTGTCCTGAAATGGAGCCAGGTTATGGATCAGCAGAGCTGCCAAAAGCGTTTTGGGGGAAATGTTTCTGTGTCACCCTCAGTTGATTGAACTCAAGTTTTCACTCACGTTTAACACCACGTGGGGGCCATTCTGACTTCTGCGGAGTGGGTATGATCAGATCTTCTGTAAAAGTGTAAGTGAGGAGGCTGGGCACGGTGGCTCACACCTGTAATCTTAGCACTTGGGAGGCTGAGGTAAGTGTATCACTTGAGGCTGAGAGTTTGAGACAGGCCTGGACGACATGATGAAACCTCATCTCTACTAAAAATACAAAAATTAGCCAGGCATGATGGTGTATGCCTGTAATGCCAGCTACTCAGGATGCTGAGGCAGGAGAATCGCTTGAACCTGGGAGGTGGAGGTTGCAGTGAGCTGAGGTTGCACCATTGCACAGCATTCCAGCCTGGGTGACAGAGCGAGACTCTGTCTCAAAAAAAAAAAAAAAAAAAAAAAAAGTGTATGTGAGGAAACTGGAATTGAGCTTGGGGATGTTGGGGGATGGAGGTACTTCATTTACTGAACAACAAAAACCATAGGATACCAATGCTGGAGGAAGAAGCATCATCCTCAGTTTCTACTAACCCAGCCATGCATGAGATGGGGATTTGGTGTCCGAGAGAAAAGCTTCTTTTTAGGTCTTGAACCTTGATCAAACCATTTCTGAATTCCTCATACACATATAATCAGGTGCTATGAGTGGTACTGATTGGATAATCTTTCTGTCGTTTCCTGTGCTAGGAAGGAAAATACATGTACAGCCAACTTCCTTGAGGGTTCGTTCTTTTGCATCAGGGTGCCTCAAACTGCTGCCCTTAAAACACGTGTAAGAGAATCATCCAGGCGGCTTGCTCGCTCTGCATGCATACCCTTTAGAATCAGAGTCAGAATCCCTGGGGCTGGAGCCACAAAATGACATGACATTTCAACGACTTTGTCATCATGTGAGAGAGAATAGGTGAGTATTTGGATACCTATAATACAAAGTAGATTAAAAAAGAATGACTTGATTATTTTAAATGTTGTGTTTTTAAAAATTTAATACAGAAAAGGCTGGGCGCGGTGGCTCATGCCTGTAATCTTAGCACTTTGGGAGGCCAAGGCGGGTGGATCATTTGAGGTCAGGAGTTCAAGACCAGCCTGGCCAACAAGGTGAAACCCCATCTCTACTAAAAATATAAAAATTAGCCAGGCAGTAGTGGTTCTTGCCTGTAATCCCAGCTACATGGGAGGCTGAGGCAGGAGAATTGCTTAAGCCTGGAAGGCAGAGATTTGGTAAGCTGAGATCGTACCACTGCACTCCAATGTGGATGAAGATTGTTTAACCACCACCAAAATGGGTTCTGAGTCCAACTATTAATATGAAGATGACATCCATTGTGGTCTTGTACATTTTGTTGCCTTTCCGGGATGAAGGACATTGGTGACCATTTGTTTCCTCTGGAGCGGTCGATTGATCATGAACTTCCTGGTCCAGATAGTTGCTGTGTCATTCATCATGGTGGTTGATCCTCAGGTAGTTAGGGAGGAAAATAAACAAGAAGTTATGTATTTAAAACCACGTTTCAATTTTAGACCTGATTAATTGACTAAATAAAGGGCATTAGCACTTCTACTTCCTACAGTCCCTCCCTTTACCTCTGGAAACTAGTGATTTCTAGGTTGTTTTATGTTGTTAAGGTTGGCCACCTTTCCTTTCTGTTCTGCAATCATAGTCCTATTTTTAAATGGATTCACCTCTCATCACTAGCCTTTTGTCATGGTCATTCAATTCACAAGTTGCTTATTTTTTAATTTCTTGGCTGACTAAATTTTATTATGAAGACTTTTCTTTAAAGAGCTCAGAAATACTGTATTCTTTAAGTTCTTGAACTTGTGATGGTGTTTATTGCCTATTTTGATTGGGCAATAATTTAGCTGGCTATAAAATTCTTGGATTATACTCTATTTCCCTTAGAAATTATAGGCACCCATCCACTCACATTTCATTGTGCTTTCTTTTTTTTTTTTTTTTTTTTTTTTTTGAGATGGAGTCTTGCTCTGTCACCCAGGCTTGAGTGCAGTGGTGTGATCTTGGCTCACTGCAAGCTCTGCCTGCCAGGTTCACACCATTCTCCTGCCTCAGCCTCCCGAGTAGCTGGGACTACAGGTGCCTACCTCCATGCCTGGCTAACTTTTTTGTATTTTTAGTAGAGACGGGGTTTCACTATGTTAGCCAGGATGGTCTCGATCTCCTGACCTCGTGATCCACTGGCCTTGGCCTCCCAAAGTGCTAGGATTACAGGTGTGAGCAACTGTATGAGCCCAGCCTCATTGTGTTTTGTACTGACCCCCTCTCCCTGGCCTCTTCCAGCTTGTCTTTTTCTCTCCCAGTAGTTTCTTCATGAAGAGGCCATGTGCTATATTCCATGAGATATTTCACACTCAAAGAAGACTTCTTTTATATTCTTGTGATAATTTGTCTGGGAATCACTGTCTTCATTTATAAGGGAGTTTGTAATAAATACAGTGAAAGAGAAACTCACAACATATTTTGAGATATCTGAGAAGGGAGAAACCAATTCTATTAATATTTGGGGTTAGCAGGGAAGGCTTAGTTAAGAGGTAACATTTGAACTAAGCCTTGAAATAAGGGAAGGATTTGGCCATGCAGTAATGGCGAGAGAGTAGAAGCAAGGCATGATGGTTAGTGTTATGTATCAATTTGACTGGGTTGTGGGGTGCCCAGATATTTGGCTACACATTATTCTGGGTGTGTCTCTGAGGTATTCTGGATGAGGATAACATTTAATTGGTAGACTGAATAAAGCAGATTGTCCTCCCCAATATGGGTGAGCCTCATCCAATCCACTGAAGGCCTGAACAAAACAAAAAGGTAGAGTCACAGAGAATTTGCTCTTTTTACCTGATTATATTTGAGCTGGGACATCAATCTTCTCCTGACTTTAGATGTGGACTCGAGTTGGAACTATATCATTAGCTGTCTTGGGTCCCCAGCTTGCTGGCTGCAGACTCCAGGACTCCTTAGCCTCCATAACCATGTGAGCCATCCCTTACAACAAATCAATCTGTCTCTATGTGTATAGCTCTACCTCTATCTCTCTGCTCTTTCTCTGGAGAACTTAGAGTAATACACAAGGTTACATTAGAGAAGAGGATGACCCAAGGAAAAACATGGAGGCAGAAAACTGCAAAGAAGGTTTGGGAAGACGGGGGTCCTGATGGGGAGTTTGGATGTCACTGTGTGTAGCATGGAGAATCCTTGAAAATATTCGAGAGGTGAAAATTGTATTTGTGGAAGAACACCAGGAGTATGTGAAAAGAAAAACACTCACTCCATTTTAACTCCACCGAAGGGAGCACCAAAGGGATGCACTGGGGACATGGGTTGGAGGGTAGTTGAGGCCATATCTGGAGGATCTTTACTTCTAGGCTGAGTCTGAAGTTATCTTTCTGGGGAGTGGGAGATTACACATCTTTGAGCTCCACTCAAGAGATGGTTTTGCTAACAATGGCAGGGCGACGGTGGTGGTGGGGGTGGTGGTGGGAAACTGTTATCATGAATTCTAATTGGGCTTCTGTTATTTTAGCTGAGAAAGTTGGGGAATGGACTTTCAGTAGAATAATACAGATCTGGGAATCAACTGCATGGAGGAGGTAGTTATAGGTGATGAGATGTCTCAGGGACAAAGTTTGGTGGAAGGAGAAAAGATACTAGGCTGGTACAAAAATAATTGCTATTTTTGCCATTACTTTTAATGGCAAAATCCGCAATTACTTTTGCACCAACCTAATAGGATGCAAACTTCGGAGCCATCTGCATCAGAGGGATTGATGAAGATCAACAAAGTTTGGGAACACAGGAAAGGAGCAGGGAGGGTAATGACTTGAGGGCATAGCAGGGATAATCAAGGTTTTTCTTATTAGCATGTGGAGACTTAAGCATGATTATATGTTAATCGCCTGGCACATACATGGTGCAAAATATTTATGAGTGAAATGACAAGTGAAGGTGGTGAGTCATGGGAGTTCCAAGGGAACGGGTGATAAAGGCAGGTCTCAAATGAGGCACAAGTGGAGAAGGTAGCTTGGGAAAGGAGAAGGATGTTTCTCCTTATAAGATGGGAAAGGCAGAGGAAGAGGGTCAAGATACAGTGATCTAGGGGTGAGATGGAAGTGAGTTGAGAGAACTCATCTCTGGGCTCTTTTCACCCCTAGGGATGGGTTAGGGGGCTTTGAGATATGGAGGAGGCTTAAAGTCAATAGTTATAGCAAATATGGTTTGGAATTTATTTATGATGTTTAAAAATATTGCTGAACAGAAGTGAAGTCTTTCCTAGAGTTGGATGGTGAGATTATTTAGTGGAACTACCAGATCCCTGTTGTGATTCTTTCCGGTATCATTCAGCAGCCCTTGGGCAGTTGCGAGGCAAGTCATCAATGGGGTATGGAGATTTTCCAGGTGGGTGTGGTTAAAGGCAGGGAAGAACGAGTTTAGGAGCACCGTACAAGAGGAAGGTGAATGTTAAGTCCAGGCTGAGCAGGAATGTATAGCAAGAAGGAAACATGAGGTTGTGAAGGGAAGTTTAGAGGGATGAGGAGGCAGGAGAGGTGAACAGTTGCAGGACGTAGCTAGAGTGGCAATGTTAGATCTTGGGACCAGAGAGCTTTACAATGAGTATGAAGATCAAAGGGCATTAGAATCAAGCTATAAAGAGCTACTGTTTGATGTTGGTATGTAAGTATGCTGCAGGTGGATGTCTGCACATTGATGGTGAGAAAGTGGTCACCCTGGCCCTGCTGGGTCTTTGCTAAAGAGACTGTGCTCTGTTCTTGGGGCCGTTTTCATCACCTGATTACAGCAGTGGTCCCCAAATGGTGTTCTTTGGACCATCTGTATAAAATGTTCATAGGTCAAGGATAAAATGGAAAAACAGAGAAAATGTCACAGAAATGTGCCCATTGGTGAAAGACCACCAGCTGTCCCTTTTTGGAGGATTTTTCTTTATTCTAAAAATGTATATATTCTATTCTATTAAAACATTTTTGTATTTGCATTTTTTTCTCTTTTATGAAATGCCATGGGGTAGAAATTTATAATGTATCCAGTTCTCCTGTCTCCATGCATTGCAGTGTGGTGGGGGAGGAGATGTGGCTAGTACTGGCCAAGAGGCTGGGGGCAGAGGTGCAGTGTTAGACTTCTAGCCTGGAGCATTTAATTCTTAGTACAAGACTCTCTAGCATTCTTCTCCCTCTGTTCCCTGCTTGGTGATACTTGAGGTATTGCAACCCCCATTAGCCTTACTCTTAGGGAAAGTTTGATGGGAAACAGAGCACCCCACACCTCCCTGCAGATGTAGCATGAGTAAGAAACACAACTTCTGATGTTTGAAGTTACCAAGATTTAGGAGTTGTTTGTTGTTGCAGCAAAACCTCACCTATTCTGACCAATCATGGTGGAATTTCTGTGTGTGTGTGTGTGTGTGTGTGTGTAACTAGTAGTTTAAAAAATTTCCTTCTTACCAAAAAGAAAAAAAAAATAGCAACCTTATGTTTGTTCTCAAATTAAAAAAAAATTTTTACTGGTTTATAAAATAGAAAAATCTGAGAATCTGTAGCTTAGAGAACTACAGTGTGGGATGTCTATAAAGCCAGCTTATTTTATCAGCTCCTAACACCCCTTAATAGAAGCTTAGCCAAGACTTGGACTATTTCAGTCTTTCCCGTTCCACATTCCATGGACTCTTGAAGAGACATTGATAAAACGGTGCAGCCATGAACCACCCTAACTCAATCCTAGTGGCAGAACCTGCCTTTTACTGCAGAATGAGCTTCTTGCTACAGTGATACTTCAACCCCTTAGATATATCCTGTATTAATTATATTAAAACACGACCAATGCTTTTGCTTTGTTGTCCCCCAAATTAAACACATTAATCATGAGAACCCAGAGAATTGGATTTAGTGTAACTGATTCCAAACTGTCAGTAAGAACATAATTAGGTTATATTTTTCTCCAATTCAAATAAAAGAAAATTGACAATAAAATGCTGATCAATACGTGTAGCTCAGGAGGTAGAGACTGCTTTGAGATGCAGAAGTGTTTGTTTTTTTTAGATCTATATTCTTGAGTAAAGAAAAAAATCCATCTCTCTTTCCTAGAAGGGAAGAGTTTCAGAACTGGGCTTGGCAACAGCCTGACTATCAGAGGCTGAATTAAACAAATAGATACCTCCCTGGAGTGAATGGTGGGTTTCTCCAGTTCGGGAAACCGTGCTTTTATGGTGGAGTTTGCGTTCTGCCTTGGTCTCCGGATGTGTGTATCTGTGGGTGGATGTCTGCATGCAAATGGCAGTGTATACCTGTGTGGGTGTGTACAAAATTCCCATGTGAATCTCAGCTTTCTGGGGACTTCCAGGTCTTGAGCCCAGCAGATGCCATTTGAAGAAAAATCACTTGAAAATGAGATAGAAAGAATGGAAACTAAATCCTAGCTCTAAAGGCACCAGGCTGATTAAAAAAAAAAAAAACAAAAAACTCTGGATCTTCTTTGTTTTGGACTCTACCTACCTCTAAATGACATTTCTGTTTCCTATGAGATGATTAGAATGAAAGAGATCCTGAGCACAAAAGAGCAGATACTGTGCGATAGTGTGTATGTCAGGGTGTTAGCTGTGACACTGCTGACATTTTGGCTCTGCAGTTTCTCTGTTCTATGTGTGGGGGTTCCCTGTGCATTTCAGGATGTTGAGCGGCATCCCTGGATCCCTGGACTCACTGGATGCAGTAACACAACTCCCCCCAAGTAGAGACAACCCCCAGTGTCTCCAGATATTGCCTAATGTCCCCAGGGGACAAAATAGCCCCATCTGAGAACTGCTGCTTTCATAAAGTACAATGTCAGGTGAAATAGGTGGAGGCTGTTTGTAGTCAGGGGTTAGTAGAGATGGAAGAGACCCCAGGAATATCCTGGAAGGGGCTGGAATATTTTGTTTCTTGAATTGGGTGTCAGTAATATGGAGATGTTCAGTTTGTTGTTGTTGTTGTTGTTGTTGTTGTTGTTTTGAGGCAGGATCTTGCTCTGTCACCGAGGCTGGAGCACAGTGGCACCGTCATGGCCCACTGCAGCCTCTGCCTCCTGGGCTCAAGCCTTCCTCCCACCTCAGCCCTCCTGAGTAGCTGGAACTACAGGCATGTGCCATCACTGTTGCCGAATTTTTGTATTTATTTATTTTTTGTAGAGAGGGGTGTATCACTATGTTGCCCAGGCTGGTCTTGAGCTCCTGGGCTCAAGCAATCTGCTCACCTCGGCCTCCCAGAGTGCTGGGATGAGAGGCAAGAGCCACTGCATCTGGCCAGTATGTTCAGTTTGTAAGAAAATTACTGTGTTGACCTCTTCTATGTGCACATTTCTTTAAGTAAAAATTCAATAAACCATTTAGAAAAATTGGTCATAACAGGAGTGATTTGTAGAGTGATTGGCATGAAAGCTGATCACCTTAATTTGAACTACTCTGAAATGAGCACCAGGGGACACCAAGAGGACCCTTTCAAGGTGTCATAGCCAAAGAGAGGAGTGTGTTGTGTACATCTCTGCATAAAGAATTTGCTGGTTACATGGAAGGATGAAGCCTCCTTCTGAGGACAGAGGCAGCAAAGCAAGTGGAAGCCCAAAGCATTGAGCTTTCTAAATGGACTTTGCTAAAATCTTGTGGATGACTCATGCTCTTAACATACACCCATGTACATATTGTCCATATAAACATTAATTCTGTAACAAGGCCCACACTTAAGGGGTTTTTTTTTTTCTTTTGAGACAGTCTTGCTTTATTGCCTAGGCTAGAGTACAGTGGCATAATCATGACTCACTGCAACTTCCGCCTCCTGGGTTCAAGCAATGCTTGTGCCTCAGCCCCCCGAGTAGCAGGGACTACAGGTGCACACCACCATGCCTGGCTAATTTTTGTATTTTTAGTAGAGACAGGGTTTCACCATGTTGGCCAGGCTGGTCTCAAACTCCTGGCCTCAAGTGATCTGCCCACCTCAGCCTCCTAAAGTGTTGGGATTACAGGTGTGAGCCACTGTGCCTGGGCCCACACATAAGGTTTGAGATGAGATAGAGAAACTCTGGCAGGACTGAGGAATTTGGCCACAGTCTCTGGGAAATATGCACAATTTCTGGAATCTTCTCTACTTCCAGAGTTCCCACTTTCTATCTGTCTCCTATTTATTCAACAAACTTGTATGGAACCACAGTGTGTCTAGAACTTGCCAGGTGTGGAGGATAAAAAGATGACTGAGATCGGACATGGTGGCTCATGCCTGTACTCCCAGCACTTTGGGAGGCCAAAGCAGGCGGATCACTTGAGGGCAGGAGTTTGAGCACAGCCTGGCCAACATGATGAAACGTCTCTACTAAAAATACAAAAATTAGCCAGGCATGGTGGCATGCACATGTAGTCCCATCTACTTGGGAAGCTGAGGCAGGAGAATCGCTTGAACCCAGGAGGCAGATGTTGCAGTGAGCTGAGATCACCCCGCTGCATTCCAGCCTGGGAGACAGAGCGAGATTCCATGTCAAAAAAAAAGATGACTGAGATACAGACTCCATCAGGGTTGACTCTAACACAAATTAGGTAAGAGCCCAAGGTCTGGCTGGGCAAGGACCTTGATCGGCCTCATCCTGCAGTGTCTACTAGAATGAAGAACACTTTTTTCTTTACCCATGAAAATGTTTTGTGCTTCGTACCTACAGGTACAATTTGTGTTAATTCTGCAAAACCTGCCGCATAACTCTGCCTGTATTCTTAGCATTTTTCTTTTGAGAGATTTCTCAGCACATCATCTTTGGACTATGTGGAAATGGAAGTTTACTTAGAGTCAACAACAAGTACAGGAAAGTTAGTTCTTAGTCAAGAGTTAGGTTTTCAAAGACAGTGGATAAAATAAAAAATCTAGTACAGTCAAGATTATACGTGCAAATCCCCTCATCATTCATGAAGTTTAGCAGTCAGTCTTACCGTGACTCACCAGGTCCAATCCATACTTCTTCCTCCACGATTGGAGCAGAGGGTGATTTTTTTTTATGAGCAACGGATGAAGTCATTTAGAGACCATTTGCAGTAGGAGCCCTGTGTACTAGAGACCAATCAATGTGCCCTCGTGGCTCCATTTCTGCCTCTCTCCCTCTTTGTTCTTGCCAAGTACCCACAGCTCATTTTCCATAGATTAAAAGAGCCCAAGTTGGGCCTATACCTAGAAGTACAATTGCTGGGTCATTTGGTAACTCCATGTAGAATTGTTTGGGAAGTTGTTAAACTGTTTCTCACAGTGGCTACACAATTTTAACTCCTACCAGCAGTGTATGAAAGTTCTAGTTTCTCTGCATCCTCACCAACACTTGTTATTTTCCGTATTTTTTTTTTTTGAGACAAAGTCTTGCTCTGTCGCCCAGGCTGGAGTGCAGTGGCACAATCTCAGCTCACTGCAACCTCTGCCTCCCAGATTCAAGTTACTCTCCTGCCTCAGCCTCCAGAGTAGCTGGTATTATAGTCACCTGCCAACATGCCTGGCTAATTTTTGTATTTTTTTTTAGTAGAGACAGGGTTTCACCATATTGGCCAGGCTGGTCTCAAACTCCTGGCCTCAGGTGATCCACCTGCCTCGGTCTCCCAAAGTGCTGATATTACAGTCATTAGCCACCGCACCAGGCCAATTTTCTCTATCTTCAATTCTAGCCATCCTTATGGGTATGAAGTGGTATCTCATTGTGGTTTTGATTTCTGTTTCCCTGATGGTGAATTTCATTGAGCATCTTGTCATGTGCTTATTGGCCACTTGTATGTCTTCCTTGGAGGTGTGCCATATTTTCATATTCAAAAATGAAAGCACAGGTCCACACAAAAATTTGTACATGAATAATTACAGTAGCATCACTCCTAATAACACAAAGAGGGGATTAATCCAAATGCCCATCACCAGATGAAGAGAGACACCTATTGTTGTCTACCCACATGGTGGAATATTATTTGATCACAAAAACGAGGAAAGTACATACGCTACAGCGTGGATAAACCTTCAAAACAGATGAAAGATCACATTCTACATGATTTCATTCAGATGGAAATCTATAGAAATAAGAAGTCGATTAGTGGTTGCTTAGGGCTGGTAGGGGCATGGGAGGATGGGGGTGTTAGCTAAAGTGTATGAGGTTTGTTTTTGAGGTCATGAAATGTTCTAAAATTGACTGGTAATGTTTGCGTATATCCCTGAATATATTAAAAAGCATTGAAATGTAAAAAATGCAAAGAAAAAACAGCCCAAGTTGCAATTTTATTCAACACTTGATTGCTTTAAAAATAGATTCCAGGCTGGGCATGGTGGCTCACACCTGAAATCCCAGTGCTTTGGGAGGCTGCGGTGGGAGGATTGCTTGAGGCCAAGAGTTCCAGGCCAGCCTTGGCAACATGGCAAGACCCTGTCTGTACAAAAAAAGAAAAAATAAATATCAGCTGGGTGCAGTGGCTCACACCTGTAATCCCAGCACTTTGGGAAGCTGAGGCGGGCAGATCACCTGACATCACTTCAAGACGAGCTTGGCCAACATGGTGAAATCCCGTCTCTACCAAAAATATAAAATTTAGCCTTTTGGTACTCTGAGCAGCACCATGGCGGTTGTTAAGAACAAGTGCCTTATGAAAGGTGGCAAAAAGGGAGTTAAGAAGAAAGTAGTTGGTCCATTCTCTAAGAAAGATCAGTATGATGTGAAAGCACCTGCTATGTTCAATATAAGAAATATTGGAAAGACTTGGTCACCAGGACCCAAGGAACCCAAATTGCATCTGATGGTCTCAAGTTTCTAGTGTTTGAAATGAGTCTTGCTGATTTGCAGAATGATGAAGTTGCATTTAGAAAATTCAAGCTGATTACTGAAGATGTTCAGGGCAAAAGCTGCCTGTCTAACTTCAATGGCATGGGTCTTACCTGTGACAAAATATGTTCCAAGGTTGAAAAATGTTCAACAATAATTGAAGCTCATGTTGATGTCAAGACTACCGATGGTTACTTCTTTCTTCTGTTTTGTGTTGGTTTTACTAAAAAACACAACAATCAGAAACTGAAGACCTCTTATGCTCAGCACCAACAGTCTGCCAAATCCAGAAGAAGATGATGGAAATCATGACCTGAGAGGTGCAGACAAATGACTTGAAAGAAGTGGTTAATAAATTGATTGCAGACAACATTGGAAAAGATGTAGAAAAGGCTTGCCAATCTATCCTCTCCATGATGTCTTCATTAGAAAAGTAAAAATGCTGGAGAACCCTGGGTTTGAAAGGCATGGAGCTTCGTGGTGACGGTAGTAATTCTGGAAAACCCACTAGGGACGAGACACATGCTAAAGTTGAATGAGCTGATGGATAGGAACCACCAGTCCAAAAATCTGTTTAAAGTTCAGACTTAAAACAGTAGCAAATAAGAAGCTCTATTTGTGAAAAACAAACAAGAAACAACAATGAAAGAGCTAAATTACTTTGGTGTGGTGATGCATGCCTGTAATCCTAGCTACTCAGGAGGCTGAGGCACGAGAATTACTTGAATCCGGGAGACAGAGGTTGCAGTGAGCCAAGATTGCACCATTGCACTCCAGCCTGGGCAACAGAGGGAGACTTTACAAAAAGAAGAAAAAAAAAAAAATAAGTATCCAGGCTTGGTGGCATGCGCCTGTAGTCTCAGCTACTCTGAAGGCTGAGATGGGAGGATGGCTTGAGGCCAGGAGTAATTTGAGGCTGCAGTGAACTATGATTGTGACACTGCACTCCAGCCTGGACTGCAGAGCAGGATCCTGTCTCTTATACATACATACACACACACACACACACACACACACACACACACACACATATACACACACATACATACACACATACCCAGGCTCTACCTCTGGTGATTTTGACTCAGTAGGGTGGGGTATCCCCTAGGGATCCTGCTGTTCAGCCTGGTCTGGGATCCACTTTTCATCGGGAACTTAGACACTGGCTGTGAGCCCTTCTGTCCTGAGATGTAGAGGTCATGGGGATGCAGGTTCAAGCTTAAGGAGACCTGACTGTGTGTTAGGTATTGTGTTGAACATCATCTCTTACTCTTACAGCAACATCCGTAGAAGGTTGATGATGTGTCCCTGCTCTACAGATGAGGAACTGAACTTTCAGAGGAGTTTAGCTTGTTCAAAACTTATTCTTCCTATTGGAAACTTTGTACCCTTTGACCAGTGTCTCCTATCCCCTCCCTTTCCTTCACCCCATCCCCGGATAACCACTGTCCTACTCTCTATTTCTGTGAGTTCAACTTCTTTAGATTCCACATATAATAAAATCATGCAGTATCTGTCTTTCTGTGCCTGGCTTATTTCACTTAACACAATGTCTTTCAAGTTCATCTATGTTGTTGAAAATGACAGGATTTCTTTCTTTTTTAAGGGTTAATAGTATTCCGTTGTGTGTATATAGTACATTTAATTCATCCTTTCATCCACTGATGGACACTTAGGTTGATTCTATATCTTGGGTATTGTGAATAGTGCTGCAGTGAACACAGGAATGTAGGGATCCCATCGACATATTGATTTTGATTTTTTGGGGGTCTATATCCAGAAGTTGGGTTGCTGGATTATATGCTTTGAAATCTATAGCACAGCAGTGAGACTATAGTAAATAATAATGTATCTTTCAAAATAACTAAGTGGGTACATTTCAAATGTCGCATCATGAAAATTATCAGTAAATTAGGGGATGGACATGTTAATTAGTTTGATCTAATCATCCCACATTGTATACACATATCAAAACATCACATACATGTGTACAATTTTGATTTGTCAATTAAAATAACGTTAGTTAAAAAAATAAGTAACTTGTTCAAAGCCCCAGTTGGGATTGATGGAGCTGGGACATGCACCAAGGCTGTTGCTCTCAGGCCCACAGAGTCCTTGGTCCACGAATGTTGAAGCCCTACCTGAGATTTCAACTGAGATCAGTGTAGGGATTCAATGTCTCAGAATCATCCCATCCTCCAGGGCCCACAAGTCCATGACCGCTGCCTCTACCCCCGACCCTACTGACCTGAAATGTGGCCCCTGCTTTCATTTCCGGGAGCATACAACACTTACACCAAGCATTGATGGGTTTTGTTGACTTCATTTGAGATGTGGGGTCGTGGAGAGGGTCCCATGATCCTTGCTTGGTGTTGGCCAACTCATTGACTTCTCTCCTTTGACTTCACCCTTCCCTTTTCTACTCACCTCCTCTGTCATGGATTGTTCTGGTAATTCTGAGCCCTGGTTCCTTTATTTTGCAGATAACCTTCACTCTTCTCTGCAACGAATCCCAAAAGTGTGTAGTTGAGCTGACTGCAAGGTGCTTGACACGCAAGAGATTCCACAAATGGGATTCGGCCTCTGGAAAGTGGTGGTAGTTCCAGATTTATGTGAATGTTACTTTGTTTTTCCCTATAAAATCTATTCTTTAAACTATCAAGCTCTTGGGTCCTGGCTGCAGTCATTTGCTGGTGGTAGTGGGCTGGGTACTGCCACCGGGGAGAAATGCTGTCCACTTAGAGAAAGGGAAACTGGTTCTCTTTTAGAGGCAGAGGGAGGTTCTCTGTGCCAGTTTGTTTGGAGGCAAAATGGCTGTTGTATTAAAATTGCCCAAAGTTGGGCTGGTGCCTTGTGTGTTTAGAGCTCAAAGCCACGATTGTTTTCTTTTTGTTTTTTTTTTTTTGGTGGTTGGTTTTCCATCCTTTTGCTTGGCAGGTTTCTGCTGATAGCTTCAACCTCAAGAGTCCCATTATACAGACACTAATAGCACCTCCTATGTGTCAGTCTGTAGTGCCTACTATGTGCCAGGCATTGGAGATAATATAATGATGAACAAGATAAACATGACATTTGGAAAAGAGAGTCTACTTCCCACTCTCAGCCCACCCCAAAGAGAGGCCAGAATTGGGCTTCCAAAGATCTCAGATGCCCTTGCATCACCTCCCTGAAGAGGGCGGGTGAAGCTTTGGTGTCTGCAGAGAATTTGTCTGGACAATCCCCCAGGTTTGGAAGAATGGGAAGGAGCTGCCATCTGTGTTTAAGGTGAGAATTGGGGGAGTGGCTGGATATCAGCAGAAGCCAAGATGAAGAGAAGGTTTTTGTGAGTTCCTATGCATAGTGGAGACCTGTTCTAGTGAGGGTCCCTGGGGCTGAGCCTGTGGGTCAGTGGAATGATGCTGTGAGGAGGGTCTTGCTATAGCAGATGGCCCAAAGAATGTTGATGGATTGTGAGCAGCTGGAAGAATGGAGAGTTCAGGGGATGTAGTTCCTACCTGGCTTTCCAACAGTGTGTAAGCCCAGAATTCTTACATAAGCCCATGGAGAAGGGAAAGGAATGCTGGTAACGACAAGATTGAATTCTCCACCTGCCAGGCATCCAGGGACTCAGAGCAGATTTAAGTGAAGTTACAGAAATAGGAATGTGACATTTCCTACATCCGGGTGTGCTGGAGCAAATGTATTCCCTCTCTGGTTTGTGGGGAAGGAGAATGCTAACAGACAAGACTCTAGGTTTTCACTCTTAAACCTGGTGCCTAGAGATGCATTTTCTACTGGATGCAGACAGAAGCTCCATATAGACATATCCATCGCTGTATCTCTCATGCCTTCTGTTCTCCCTAATTTTCCCTTTTTAACCCACAGAGGAAGAAAGTTCCAGCATCACTTCTGGCCTCTCAAGAGTGAGTTTGGTGGCCAGGTTGGGTTATTCATGCCTGTAATCTCATACTGAAGGGGTGGCCTGCCCCTCCACACCTGTGGGTATTTCTTGTCGGGTGGGATGAGAGACAGAAAACAAATCAGACTCAGAGACAAAGTATAGAGAAACAACAGTGGGCCCAGGGGACCGGCGCTTAACATACCAAGGACCTGTACTGGCACCGTTCTCTGAGTTCCCTCAGTTTTTATTGATTATTATCTTCATTATTTCAGCAAAAAGGAATGTAGTAGGAGGGCAGGGTGATAATAAGGAGAAGGTCAGCAACAAACATGTGAGCAATAGAATCTATGTCATAATGAAGTTCAAGGGAAGGTACTATGACTGGACGTGCATGTAAGCCAGATTTATGTTTCTCTCCACCCAGACATCTCAGTGGAGTAAAGAAGAACAAGGCAGCATTGCTGTAAACATGTCTCGCCTCCCACCATAGGGCGGTTTTTCTCCCACCTCAGAATTGAACAAATGTACAATCGTGTTTTATACCGAGACATTCAGTTCCCAGGGGGCAGGCATGAGACAGCGGCCTTCCTCTATCTCAACTGCAAGAGGCTTTCCTCTTTGACTAATCCACCTCAGCACAGACATTTTATGGGTGTCGGGCTGGGTGACCGTCAGGTCTTTCTCATCCCATGAGGCCAGATTTTGGACTATCACATGGGGAGAAACCATGGACAATACCCAGCTTTCAAGGGCAGAGGTCCCTGCGGCTTTCCACAGTGCACTGTGCCCCTGGTTTATTGAGACGAGAGAATGGTGATGACTTTTACCAAGTATACTGCTTGCCAACATTTGGTTAACAAGGCACGTCCTGCACAGCCCTACATGCCTTAAACCTTGATTTCATACAACATGTTTTTGTGAGCTCCAGATTGGGTCAAAGTGGTTGGGGCAAAGCTACAGATTAACAACATCTCAGCAAAGCAATTGTTTAAAGTACAGGTCTTTTTCAAAATGGAGTCTCTTAAGTCTTCCCTTTCTATGTAGACACAGTAACAGTCTGATCTCTCTTTCTTTACCCTACATATCCCCCTTTTCGTTTTGACAAAACCACCACCATCATCATGGCCCCTTCTCGCTGGTCGCTGTCTCTCTGGAGCTGCTGGATACACCTGTAGACTAACAATAGAAAGGACAGAAATACAAGGATTAATACAAAATTTGCAATAGTGGAATTTCCGGTGGTTTTAACCCAAGTGACGGGGGCAAGAGGACGGTGTGGGTGCTGCGGCGCCAAGGCAGTCTCTCACCTCCTTTGTGTCTTAGTTGCTGTTTCTCATAGTTTTCAGTCTTTCTCCTCACCTGCTCACTCGCACCTTTTATCTCTTTGTCTCCCTTTCTTACGGTCTCTCTCTCTCTTTTACTCTGTTTCTCTCCCCAATCTCTTTCTGTGTCTCTCTCTGATCTCTGTCTCTTTTTCTTTCTCTTCCTCTCCCTGGCTCTCCACATGTGCCGTTTCCTTGGTGGATTGTAACTTCATCTGTTCTTCTGATATCACCATTTTGTTCACCCTGCGAGTCGATGATGCTCGATGGCGGGTTTTCTGTCTCTGCAGAGGCACTTTCATTTGCATCTCTGATAGGTTCATTGTAGAACTTCAAATGTCTAGTGGGTATCCAAACAGGAAGCTGATTTTCTCCTTGTGAAACACAAGCAAAACCTCTCCCCCATGTTATCACCTTACCTATTTCCCATGTTTTGTTTTTGTTGTCTTTCCACCAAATCAGTTTTCCCTCATGTGGCCTATTCTTTTTACCAGTAAAATGTTCTGCAGAAGTAGTGGTCTGATTTCTATGTATGTCTAGAAAATCTAAAGTATAGAGTGTTACATTAAGTTGCCTCTGGGGAGTGCTATACTCCTTACTGTCTTTTTCCTTTTTTTGTTTAACCAATTGAACTTTGAGTGTTCTAAACAGGACAGGTAAGATCTGCATCTGGCACAGTCAGCAAGGTCTCCTTACCCTGTGCTTCCCTTTCTGCCTGTGACTAAATGGGCATGTCAGGGTCTACCAGGGGATCCAGGAGGAGGAAGCCTCATTAACTTCTATTCTGCAGCAATTGATGGCCACCCAACTTGAACAGTGGGGGCTTATCACCTCATGTACTAAGACCAGAGATAGCTGATGCCAAGTTGGCTAAATTAGTAGCTTGAGATTTTAGGTTTTTCATTTGAGGTTTCTATGCTGCTATTGTCTTCTGCTCTTGGTCACAGAGGCTGCCACAATCCGCATGTCAAGTCCTCGTGTGACAATATCCAGAGACAGCAAAGAAGAGGTACAGTGTATTCCTGCATGTTTCTTAAAAGGAAAATGTTTTTGATAGAGAATAATTGTACACATTTAAGGGGTCCATGTGAGATTCTGGTACATGAGTGCAATGTGTAATGATCAAATCAGGGTCTTTAGGATATTAATCACCTCAAACGTTGATCATTTCTTTGTGTTGGGAATATTTAAAATCTTATTGCTATTTAGAAATACACAATAATTCTATTTATCAGGATATAAAATCTATGTACACAAATCAGTAGCAGTGCTATACACCAACATCTACCACGCTGAGAATCAAATCAAACCCTTTTATAATAGCTGTAAAAATAAAATACTTAGGAATATACCTAACCAAGGAGGTGAAAGACCCCTACAAGGAAAACTACAAAACACTGTTGAAAGAAATCATAGATGACAAAAACAAATGGAAACACATTCCATGCTCATGGATGGGTAGACTCAATATTGTGAAAATGACCATACTGCCAAAAGCAGTCTACAAATTCAATGCAATTCCTATCAATGTATCATCATCATTCTTTATAGAACTAGAAAAAAAAAAAACAAAATTCATTTGGAACTAAAAAAGAGTCTGCAAAGCCAAAGCAAAACTAAGCAAAAAGAACCAATCTAGAGGCATCACATTACCCAACTTCAAACTATATTACAAGGCTATAGTCACCGAAACTGCATGGTGCTGGTATAAAAATAGGCACATGACCAATGGGACAGAGTAGAGAACCTATAAATAAAGCCAAATACTTAACAGCCAAATGATCTTCGACAAAGTAAACAAAAACAAAGTAAGAAAAGTACACCTTATGCAACAAATAGTGCTGGGATAATTGGCAAGCCATATGTAAAAGAATAAAACTGGATCCTTATCTCTCACCTTATACAAAAATCAACACAAGATGGATCAAAGACTTAAATCTAAGGTCTGAAACCATAAAAATTCTAGAAGATAACATTGGAAAATGCTTCTACACATTGGCTTAGGCAAAGAGTTTATGACCAAGAACCCAAAAGCAAATGCAACAGAAACACAGATAAATAGATGGGACTTAATTAAACTAAAAGCCTCCTGCACAGCATAGGAAATAATCAGCAGAGTAAACAGATCACCCACAGAGTGGGAGAAAATTTTCACAAACTGCATCTGACAAAGGACTAATGTCCAGAATCTACAGGGAACTCTAATCAGCAAGAAAAAAAGAATCTCATCAATAAGTGTGCCAAGGACATGAACAGACAATTCTCAAAAGAAGATATACAAATGGCCAACAAACATATGAAAAAATGCTCAACATCACTAATTACCAGGGAAATGCAAATCAAAACCACAATGCAATACCACGTGTAAAATAAACAAAAAGAGGGCCAGGCGCGGTGGCTCACGCCTGTAGTCCTAGCACTTTGGGAGGCCAAGGTGGGCGGATCACGAGGTCAGGAGTTTGAGACCAGCCTGACCAACATGGTGAAACCCAGTCTCTACTGAAAATACAAAAATTAGCCATGCATGGTGGCAGTTGTCTGTAATCCCAGCTACTCAGGAGGCGGAGGCAGGAGAATTGCTTGAACCAGGGAGGCAGAGGTTGCAGTGAGCTGATATGGCACCACTGTACTCCAGCCTGGGCGACAGAGCGAGACTCCATCTCAAAAAAGCAAAAAACAAAACAAAACAAAAAAAACAAAAATTGATGTTGGCATGGATGTGGTGAAAGACAACGCTTTTACACTGATGGTGGGAATGTAAGCTAGTACCACCACTATGGAAAGCAGTATGGAGATTCCTTAAAGAACTAGAAGTACATCTACCATTTGATCCAGCAATCCCACTGCTAGGTATCTACCCAGAGGAAAAGAAGTCATTATATGAAAAAGATACATTTGCACACATGTTTACAGCAGCAGAATTCACAGTTGCAAAACTATAGAACCAGCCCAAATGTCCATCAATCAGTTAGTGGATAAAGAAAATGTGTTATATATATGTATACCATAGAATACTACTTAGCCTTAAAAAGGAATAAAATAATGGCATGCATAGCAACCTGGATGGATTTGACCATTATTCTAAATGAAGTAACTCAGGAATGGAAAACCAAACATTGCATGTTCTCACTCGTAAGTGGGAGCTAAGCTATGATGATGCAAAGGCACAAGAATGAAAGAGTGGACTTTGGGGGCTCAATGGGAAGGTGGGAGGGAGTGAGAGAGAAAAGACTATACATTGGGTAAACTGCTTTGGTGATGGGTATGCCAAAATTTCAGAGATCACCACTAAGGAACTTATCCATGTAACCAAATACCACCTGTTCCCTAAAAACTATTGAAATTAAAAAAAAGAAATACACAACAAATTGTTGTAGTCACTTTCTGTGATAATGAACACTAGATCTTATTCCATTATATATTTTTATACTCATTAATCAACCTCTTTTCAAACCCCTCCTCTTCCCAGCCTCTATTAACTATCATTCTACTCTTTATCTCCATGATATCAATTTTATATAGCTCCAGGGCACACAAGTCCATAACTGCTATCTCTGTCCCTGACCCTACTGACCTGAAACATGGCCCCCACTTTGATTTCCAGGAACATAAACCGCTCATATAAGTGAGAACATGCAATAGTTTTCTTTCTGTGCATGGCCTAGTTCACCTAACGTTATGACGTTTAATTTCATCCATTTAGCTGAAAATGACAGGATTTCATTCTTTTTTAAGGCTGAATACTATTCTATTGTGCATATATTCCCATTTTCTTTAACCATTCATCCATTGATTGACACTCAGATTGATTCCATATCTTGGCTATTGTAAATAGTGCTGCAGTAAATATGGAGGTACAGATATCCCGCTGATACACTGATATCCTTTTTTTTGGATGTATACCTAGGAGTGGGATTGCTGGATCATGGTAGATTTGTTCTTAGTTTTTTTGAGAAATCTCTGTACTTTTTTTCATAATGGCTGTACTAATTTACATTCCCACCAACAATATACAATAATTTTCTTTTCTTCACATGCTTGCTAGCATTTGTTGTGCTTTATCTTTTTAATAATAGCCATTCTAACAAGTGTGAGATGATATCTTATTGTGGTTTTGATTTGCATTTCCGTGATGATTAGTGATGTTGAATATTTTTTCCATAAACTTGGTGATGTGTATATCTTCTTTTGAGAAATGTCTGTTTGTTTTTTGATAGTTTCTTTTGCTGTGCAGAAGCTCTTTCATTTAATTAGATCCCATTTGTCACTTTTTGCTTTTGTGGCAATTGCGTTTGGCATCTTTACCATGAACTCTTTGCCCATCACTATGTACTGGAGGGTATTGCCTAGGTTGTCTTCTAGCGTTTTTATAGTTATGGGTTTTACATTTAAGTCTTTAAGCCATCTTGAGTTAATTTTTGTGTATGGTGTAAGGGAGGGGTGTTGTCTTTTCACTCTGTTGATTGTTTTCTTTGATATGCAGAAGGTATTTAATTTAATATAATCCCATTTGTCTGTTTTTGTTGCTTGTACTTTTTAAGTGTTAGCCATACAATCTTTGTTCTCAAGCGTTTCTCCTGTGTTTACTTCTAGTAGTTTTATAGTTGTGGCTGTTACATTTAAGTCCTTAATTGATTTTGAGTTTATTTTTGTAAGTGATGAGAGATAAGGGTCTAGTTTCATTATTCTGTGTTTGGATATCTAGTTTTCCTGGCACCATTTAATGAAGAGGGTGTCCTTTATTCAATGTATGTTCTTGACAGCTTTCTTGAAAATCAGTTAGCTGGAAATATGTGGATTCATTTCTGGATTCCTTAGTCTGTTTCCTTTGTTTTTGTGTCTGTTTTAATACCAATACACGCTGTTTTGGTTACTATAGCTTTGCAGTATATATATATAATGTTATTTTTTTTTTCTTTTTGAGATGGAGTCTTGCTCTGTCACCGAGGCTGGAGTGCAGTGGCGTGATCTCTGCTCACTGCAAGCTCTTACTCCCGGGTTCACGCCATTCTCCTGCCTCAGCCTCCCGAGTAGCTGCTGGGACTACAGGTGCCCGCCACCACGCCTGGCTAACTTTTTTTTTTTTTTTTTTTTTAAGAAAAGACGGGGTTTCACCGTGTTAGCCAGGATGGTCTCGATCTCCTGACCTTGTGATCCACCTGCCTTGGCCTCCCAAAGTGCTGGGATATAGGCTTGAGCCACCTCACCCGGCCTCTTTGCAGTATATTTTTAAATCAGGTAGTGTGAGGCTTCTAGCTTTGTTCTTTTTGCTCAGTATTGCTCTGGTTATTTGGGGTTTTCTGTGGTTCCATATGAATTTCAGGGTTTTTTTTTCCTGTTGCTGTGAAAAATATAATTGATAGGGCTTATACTGAATCTCTAGATTGCTTCGGGTAGTATGGTCATTTTAACAGTATTAGTTATTCCAACCGACGAGCATAAGATGCCTTTCCATTTGTTTGTGTCCTTCTCAAATTATTTTAACAGTGTTTTGTGGTTTTCATTGTAGAGGTTTTTTGGTTTTTTTTTTCCTCATCCTTGGTTGAGTTTATTCCTAGGTATTTTATTTTTGTAGCTATTGTAAATAGAATTTCTTCCTTGATTTCTATTTTAGCTAGTTTGTTACTGGTATATAGAAACATTACTGATTTTTGTATGTTGATTTTGTGTCCTGAAGCTTTACTGAATTATACATCCGTTTTTAAAAAATTTTTAATTTTTATTTTTTATTTTTTGAGAGAGTCTCATTCTGTTTTCCTGGCTGGAGTGCAGTGGTGCAATCTTGGCTCACTGCAACCTCCACCTCTCGGGTTCAAGCGATTCTCCTGCTTCAGCCTCCCAAGTAGCTGGGATTACAGGCACTTACCACCATGCCTGGCTAATTGTATTTTTGGTAGAGACAGGGTTTCACCATGTTGGCCAGGCTGGTCTCAAACTCCCAACCTCAGGTGATCCGTCCACCTTGGCCTCCCAAAGTGCTGGGATTACAGGCATGAACTACCATGCCCAGCCTAATTTATTTTAAGAGTTTTTTGGTGGAGTCTTTAGGTTTTTCTGTTTACAGGTATAAGATTATGACATTTGCAAAGTGAGACAATTTGACTTCCTCTTGTCCATTTGGATGCCTTTTATTTCTTTATCTTGTCTGATCACTCTGGCTTGGATGTCCCATACTGTGTTGAATAAGTGGGGTGAAAGTGGGCATCCTTCTCTTGTTCCAGTTCTTAGAGGAAAGGCTTTTCAATTTTTCCCAGTGAGTAGGATGTTAGCTGTAGATTTGTCATATATGCCTTTTCTTAGGTTGAAGTGTTCCTTCTATGCATAATTTGTTGAGAGTTTTCATCATGAAGGAATGGTAAGTTTTACTGAGTGATTTTTCTGCATCTGCTGAGATGATCAGATAGTTTTTGCCTTTCATCTTGTTGATATCATGTATCACATGTATTGATTTGTGTATGTTGAGCCATTTTTGCATTCCTGGGATAAATCCCACTTGATCATGGTATATTATCTTTTTCATTCATCATTAGATTTGGCTTGGTAGTATTATGCTGAGAATTTTACCATGTATGTTCATTAGGAATATTGGCCTGTAGTTTTCTCCCTTTGTTGTGTCCTTGTCTTGATTGGATATCAGGGTAATGCTGGCCTTATACAATGAGTTAGGAAGAATTCCTCCGTCTTCAATTTTTGGGAATAGTTTGAGAAGAATTGGTGTTTGTTTTTCTTTATAAATTTGGTAGAAATCAGCATAAAAGCCTAGTCTAGGGCTTTTCTCTTTTGGGAGACTTTTTGTTACTGATTCAAACCTGCTATTCATTTTGGGTCAGTTCAGGTTTTCTGTTTCTTCCTAGTTCAATCTTGGTAGGCTGTGTATGTCTGGGAATTTATCCCTTTCCTCTAGGTTTTCCAATTTGTTAGCATATGGTTGCTCATAATAGCCTCTAATGATCCTTTTTATTTCTTTGATAACAGTTGTAATGTCTCCTTTTTCATTTCTGATTGTATTTATTTGGGTCTCCTTTTTTTTTTTTTTTTTTTTGTTGGTTAGCCTCACTAGTGGTTTATCAGTTTTGTTTAACTTTTCAAAAAACCAACTTTTATCTTGTTGATTCTTTGCATTTCTTTTTTGTCTCTGTTGCATTTGGTTCTGCTATGTTATTTATATTTTTTCTTTCTACTAATTGTGTGTTTGATTGGTTCTTTCTTTTTGAGTTCCTTGAGGTGCATCATTAGGTTGTTTATTTGAAATCTTTCTACTTTTTTGGTGTAGGAATTTATTGTTACAGACTTTCCTCTTAGTACTGCTTTTGCTGTATCCTATAGGTTTTGCATGATGTGTTTCCATTTTCTGTTTAAAAAAAATTTTTGATGTCCATCTTAATTTCTTCATTGACCCAAAAATCATTCAATAGCATGTTTAATGTCCATGTATTTGTACAGTTTCCAAATTTTTTCTTCTTATTGCTTTCAAGCTTTATTCCATTGTGGTCTGAGAAGATACTTGATATTTTAATTTTTAAAATTTTATTGAGCCTTGTTCTGTGTCCTAACATATGGTCTATCCTGGAGAATGTTCCATGTGTTGATGAGATGATTGTATATTCTGCTGCTGCTGGATGAAATATTCTGAAAATATCTGTTAGGTCCATTTGGTCCAAAGTGCAGCTTAAATCTAATGTTTCTTTGTTGATTTTATGTCTAGATGAATTGTCCAATGCTGAGAGTAGGATATTGAATTTCTTAACTATCATTGTATTGGACTCTATCTCTCCATGTAGATTTAATAATATTTGCTATATGTGTCTGGATGCGGTTATGTTGGTTGCATGCATATTTAGAATTGTTATACTTTGTTGCTGAATTGATCCCTTTATTACCATATAATGAACTTCTTTGTCCTTTTTACAGTTTTTGACTTAAAGTCTGTTTTATCTGATGCAAGTTTAGCTACTCCTGATTACTTTTGATTTCTGTTTGTGTGGTATATCTTTTTCCATCCCTTCACTTTCAGTCTGTGTGTGTCTTTACAAGTGAAGTGAGTTTCTTGTAGACGTTGTTGGGTCATTTTTTATCCATTAAGCCTGTCTCTATCTTTTAGGTAGGTAATTTAACACATACTCGAAGTTATTATTGATAGGTGAGGACTTATTCCTGTCATTTTGTTCATTGTTTTCTGGTTATTCTGTATATCCTTTTGATATGGTTTGGCTGTGTCCCCACTCAGATCTCATCTTGAATTCCCATGAGTTGTGGGAGGGACCCAGTGGGAAGTAGTTGAATCATGGAGGCAGGTATTTCCCATGCTATTCTTTTAATAGTGAATAAGTCTCGTGAGATCTGATGGTTTTAAAAGGAGGAGTTTCCCTGCTCAAGCTCTCTGCCTGTTGCCATCCCCGTAAGATGTGACTTGCCTCTCCTTGACTTCCGCAATGATTTTGAAGCCTCCCCAGCAATGTAGAACTGTAAGTCCATTAAACCTCTTTCTTTTGTAAATTTCCCAGTCTTGAATGTGTCTTTATCAGCTGTATGAAAATGGACTAATGCAGTAAATTAGTACCACAAGTGAGGTGTTGCTAAAAGATACCTGAATATGTGGAAGTGACTTTGGAACTGGGAAACAGGCAGAGGTTGGGACAGTTTGGAGAGCTCAGAAGGAGACAGGAAAATGTGGGAAAATTTGGAAGAGATTTCCTAGAGACTTGCCCAAAATGCTGATGGTTATATGGGCAATAAAGTTTAGGCTCAGGTTGTCTCAGATGGAAATGAGGAGCTTGTTGGGAACTGGCACAATGGTGACTCCTGTTATGTTTTAGCAAAGAGACTGGTGGCTTTTTGCCCCTGCTGTAGAGATTTGTGTAGTTTTGAACTTGAGAGAGATGATTTAGGGTATCTGATAAAAGAAATTTCTAAGCAGCAAAGCATTCAAGAGATGACTTGGGTGCTGTTAAAGGCCCTCAGTTTTGTAAGGGAAGCAGAGCATGAAAGTTTGGAAAATCTGCAGCCTGACAATGCGATAGAAAAGAAAATCCCATTTTCTCAAGAAAAATTCGATCTAGCTGCAGAAGTTTGTTTAAGTAACGAGGAGTCAAATGTGAATCCCCAAGACAATGGGGAAAATGTCTCCAGGGCATGTCACAGGTCTTCATGGCAGCCCCTCCCATCAAAGGTCCAGAGGCCTAGGAAGAAAAGATGGTTTTGTGGGCTGGACCCAGGGACCCCTGCTGTGAGCAGCCTAGGGTGCCAGAGTCCTAGCCACTCCAGCTGCAGCTAAAAGGAGCCAAAGTACAACGTGGGCTGTGGCTTCAGAGGGTGCAAGCCCCAAGCCTTAGCAGCTTCCACATAGTGTTGAGCCTGTGGGTGCACAGAAGTCAATAATTGAGGTTTGGGAACTGCTGCCTAGATTTCAGAAGGTGTAAGGAAATGCCTAGATATCCAGGCAGGAGTTTGCTGCAGGGGCAGGGCACTCATGGAGAACCTGTACTAGGGCAGTGCAGAGGGGAAATGTGGGGTCAGAGCCCCCACATAGAGTCCCTACTGCAGCGCCACCTAGTGGAGCTTTGAGAAGAGGGCCACCATCCTCCAGACCCCAGAATGGTGGATTCACTGACAGCTTGCACTGTGTGCCTGGAAAAGCTGCAGACACTCAATGCCAACCCGTGAAAGGAGCCAGGGGGGATTTAAACCCTACAAAGCCACAGGAGTGGAGCTGTGGCCTTTTTTCTCCCAAGGCCATGGGAGCCCACCTCTTACATCAGCATGACCTGCATGTGAGACATGGAGTCAAAGGAGATCATTTTGGAGCTTTGAGATTTGACTGCCCCACTGGATTTTGGGCTTGCATGGGTCCTGTAGCCCCTTTGTTTTGGCAATTTTCTGCCATTTGGAATGACTGTGTTTACCCAATGCCTATACCCCCATAGTATCTAGGAAGTAACTAACTTGTTTTTGATTTTACATGCTCATAGGCAGAAGGGATTTGCCTTGTCTCACATGAGACTTTGGACTCTGGACTTTTGAGTTAATGCTTAACTTAGTTAAGACTTTGGGGGACTGTTGGGAAGGCATGATTGGTTTTGAAATGTGAGGATATGAGATTTGGGAAGGGCCAGGGGCAGAATGATATGGTTTGATTTTATCCCCACCCAAATCTCATCTTGAATTCCCACATGTTGTGGGAGGGACCTGGTGGGAAGTAATTGAGTCATGGGGGCAGGTCTTTCCCATGCTGTTCTCATGATAGTGAATACGTCTCAGAAGTTCTGATGTTTTTGAAAAGGGTAGTTTCTCTGCAGAAGCTCTCCCTTTGCCAGGTGCCATCCATGTGAGACATGACTTGCTTCTTCTTGCCTTCCAACGTGATTCTTAGGCTTCCTCAGCTATGTGGAAGTGTACGTCCATTAAACCTCTTTCTTTTGTAAATTGCCCAGTCTCAGTCAGGTATGTCTTTATCAGCAGTGTGAAAACAGACTAATACACCTTTGTTCCTTTTTTCTCTCATTATTTATGGTTGCAGTTTGGTGGTTTTCTTTAGTGGTGATGTTTGAATCTTTTCTTCTTTGTGTGTCTGAACTAGCAGTGAGTTTTATACTTTCATGTATTTTCATGATGGTAGATATTGTTCTTTTGCTTCCCAATGTAGGACTGCCTTAAACATTTCTTGTAGGACCACAACAAACAAGACACAAACAAACAGTCTTTTGTTTATCTGGGAAATACTTTTTCTCTTTTATTATTATTATTATTTTTTAGCAATGGAGTCTTACTCTGTCACCCAGGCTGGAGTACAGTGGCATGATCATAGCTCACTGCAGCCTTGAACTCCTGGGATCAAATGGTCCTCCTGCCTCAGCCTTGAGTCTCTGGAATTGCAGATGTGAGCCACTGTGCCAGGCTCCTTCATTTGCGAAGGATAGCTTTGCTGGGTATAGTATTTTTGGCTTACTTTTTTTTTTTTTTTTTTTTTTACTTGTAGTATACATCCTCTTTTCTCCTAGCCTGTAAGGTTTCTGCTGAGAAATCCACTGTTAGCCTGATGGAGATTCTCTTATAAGTGACTTGATGCTTTTCTCTTGCTGTTTTTAGCATTTTCTCTTTGTCTTTTGACAATTTTACCATAATGTGCCTTGGAGAAGACCTTTTTGAGTTGTATTTATTTGGTAAGCTTTGAGCTTCCTGCATTTGGAAGCTTTCAGGAAGTTTTCAGTTATTATTTCATTAAATAGGTTTTCTATGCCTTTACCCATCTCATCTCCATCCAGAACTCCCAGAATTTCAGTTTTTGGTCACATATGTGTCCCATATGTCATGTAGCCTTGCTTCAGTCTTTTTTCTTTCTTTTTGTCTGACTGGATTATTTTAAAGACTAGTCTTCAGGTTCAGAAATTCTTTGTTTTGCTTGATCTAGTCTATTGTTAAAGCTGTCAATTATCTTTTGTATTTATTTCAATGATTTATTCTCTTCCAGGATTTGTGTTTGGTTCTTTGTTATGCTGTCTATCTCTGTTGAATTTGTCATTCAGATCATGAATTGTTTTCCTGTTTTTTTTTTTTTTTTTTTTTTTTTTTATTCATTATCTGTGTTCTCTTGTATCTCCCTGAGTTTCTTTAATAACATTATTCTGAATTTTTTTTCAGGCATTTCATAGATTTTCTTTTCATTGGATCTGTTGCTGGAGAATTATTGTGCTTCTTTGGAGATGTTATGTTTCCTCTTTCATATTTCTTGCATCCTTATGTGACTATCTGTGCCTCTGACATAACAGTCATTTCTTCCAACTTTATGGATTGGCTTTTATATGGGAAAGACCTTTTCTTATAGCTGTATCTACAATGTTCATTGGATATCACACTTTGGCTTTGATTCTCGCTGGGTACAGTGGTATAATCTGCATATGATTCCTTCAGCTGTAATTGGCATGAGTGGTGTCTGTGAGTCATTCAGTGGCTTAGACTGCAGTGTTTGTTTTTTGTGGTTATTGAGATGGAGTCTAGCTCTGTCACCAGGCTGGAGTGCAGTGACACAATCTCAGCTCACTGCAACCTCTGCCTCCCGGGTTCAAGCAATTCTCCTGCCTCAGCCTCCTGAGTAGCTGGGACTATAGGCACGTGCAACCATGCCCAGCTAATTTTTGTATTTTTAGTAGAGACGGGGTTTCACCATGTTGGCCAGGCTGGTCTCGAACTCCTTACCTCATGATCTACCCACCTCATCCCCTCAAAGTGCGGGGATTACTGGTGTGAGCCACCACACTTGGCCAGACTGCTGTTGTTATTGGAGGCTGTGGTGAGGCTTTGCTGAGGATGGGCATGCCAGGAAGTCTTGTCCTTCAGCATCAGTGGTAGTGGTTGTGGACGAGGTGTGTCAGTACTAGGGACCATGGGCAGTGTTTGTGGGCACTGATGATAGCCTGTCTGCGTGGGCCAATCCCTGGGCCTCCATGTGGCTTCTTTGGTTGCTGGCAGTGGCAGCACTGGGCCAGGTGGGCAGGTTCGCCACTGGGCTCCTTGGTGGTGTGTGTGGCAGGCTGATCTCTAGTTCTCCATGTGACGTATGCAGGTTCTGGTGGTGGGTAGGCAGGCGTTTCCTCAGGCCTCTCAGTAGTAAGTGTGGGCACTAGCTCTGGAGGCAGGTGAGACAATCTTCAGGCACTAGCATATTCCTATGCATTTCTAGATAAAAGTATTTTTCAGAAAACCTGAGCATATGTCCTATTAATACAACTTACCCTCATCAGCTCCACATGAGAAGAAGGGGGAATTCCCTCAGTAGAACAGTCAGAATGGAATCACAGACTTGTTTTGAGCTAGTCACTGGTAAGGGGGTGTAGGCTAAAATGACAAGCTCAGAATCTAAACCTTAGACTAGGGAATGACAAACTTTTTCCATAAAGAGGCAAACGGTAATATTTTAGGCTTTTTGTCTAGATAACCTCTGTTGCAGTGACGCAGTGGTGCCATCGTAGTCTAAAAGCATATGTAGACAAGGCATAAATCAATGGACCTGGTTTTATTCCAGTAAAACTTAAATTATACAAACAGTCAGAGGGCCAGATTTGGCCCTTGGTCTATAGTTGGCCAACCCTGTTTAGACCAGACAAAATTTATTCCCTGGGGCTGGGCCAACTTTTTCTTAGAAAAAAAAAAAAAGAAAGCAACCCACTGTCAGAATAAAATAGGGTTTCTATTTATAAAGAAGAAATGGCTGGTTGTGGTGGATCATGCCTATAATCCTAGCACTTTGGGAGGGTGAGGCAGGAGGACTGCTTGAGGCCAGGAGTTTGAAACCAACTTGGGCAATATAGTGAGACCCTGTCTCTGCAAAGAATAAAAAAATTAGCCAGGCATGGTGGCACATTTCTGTAGTCTTAGCTACATAGGAGGCTGAAGGGGAAGATCACTTGAGCCCAGGATTTTGATGTTACAGTGAGCTCTGACTGTACCATTTGTACTCTAGCCTAGGCAAAGAGGGAGAACCCAAAAACAAACAAACAAAAAAGGTTGGTTGGGGCGGGTTGGAGAAGAAAGTATTTGTGAATTTCTGGTTAGGTTACTGGTAGTGTCAGGCCAAACTAGTTCTACTGTCATTTTCATTATAAATAAAGGCAACTAGAAGATCTCCATCTAGCTATTAAAAATTGGTTAAAATCTACAGAGATAAAGGACGGTGACCCTTGTATCAGTTAGTTGTTGTCACAAAATGCTGCATAAAAAGTCACTCCAAATCTCAGTGGCTTAATACAACAATCATTTATTTTCATGGATCTATGGGTCAACTGAGGATTGGTCAATCTAGCATGAGCATGTCTGGGAAGCTTGACTTCACTGTTGGTGCTCTTATCTTCTGCTGGAAGCAGTTTACATTTTTAAATTGGTTACTAGTGTCAGAATGTTTCATGAGTAAGAGCACAGCCTCTAAGTTGGATACCCTGAATTTAAGTCTCAACATGGCCATTTTGTATATAAGCAGAGGACGGATTTGGGGACCCAATGGATCTACCATGACATGAACTTGGGCCAACATTCACCTGAACTCCAAAATGCCTATTCTGACTGGTAGACCCTAGTCTCGCCCTAGTGCCAGTTCAGAGCCTGTGTCCAGTGGTCTTGCACAGGTCCCATTAGTTCTTTTTCTCCTATTCAGTCATCCTGGTAAAGGCTGTGTATTCCCTTGGGGACAGGCTGGGAGAAAGATTGACAGTATAAATTTTTGGCAGTGGAGCAGAGTCCTTTCTGGAGGGGACCTGGCTTCCCATTCAGACAAGGGACTCCAGGTCTGTGAACTGGCTTATGTCTGGGAATTGACGGGGGACTGTGACTCTGTTTTTATGATTCAGATTAGACTTCTGCTCACCTGACCTAGAATTCTTCTTCAAACACAGATCAAGTAAAAATGTGGCAGGCTTCTTATCTATTTCAGTTCTAGGAAAGCCACGATCAGCCGGCACCATAGGTCTCTGCGAGTCAGGCTATTCTGGTTGCAGCTTTGACTCTGCTGTCTTTTATGGTAACTGCATCCACCTTGCCTTTGGGGATTGAGTGCTCTGATCACTTGACCCCAGCCCCTGTACTGTGCGTATGTCACTTACCCTCTTTATACCTCAGTCTCCTCCTCTATAAAATGGGCATCCTCATTGCACCCACCCCCAGGGCTGCTGTGAGGTATAGATGGATTAGCATATGGAAGGTAATAGAAGAGGGTCTCAAAGCCCATGTGTCGTTATCAGAATTATTTCGTGACAGGGGAGAGCTGGAGGAGAGAGGAAGGTGCTGAGCAGACCCACGTGCTCTCCCACCAGTGTTTCCTGAGCACCCACTATGTGCTGCCCACTGTGAGAGCTGTTAGGGTTGAAATAGGGAGAACAGCAGGATAGGGGCTGCCATCAGGAGCTTAGTGGGGAGACCGTTGTGCAACATGGTTACAGTGCTTGGGGTGGGGAAGCCCAGGGACTACAGGGGCCTAGGATCCAGGGCAGAATCATGGAAAGGACACAGCCGCCCCAGCCTCCCCTGCCTCCCCTGCCTCCCTGACCTCCTCTGTTCCCTGGCCTCTCCTGCCTTTCTGGCTTCCCCTTCCGCCCCGGCCTCCCCAGTCTCCCCTGTCTTTCCTGCTTTTGAGGTGGGCCAGGAGCTGCTGGTGCTCACTTAGCCTGTCCTGGACTCTGGGTGTAGCACTTCGATGTCCAGAAAATACCCCCGGGTTCAGCTTATCACACAGCCAAGAAAGGAGCTCCACACTGACACTAAGGGTGCATCCTGGGCTCATTCATCAGGGCATGCCTCCAAAATATTTCTCCACGTCTCCTCCCTTTGCCCACCTGCATTGTCTCTGTGCCTCAGCCCCGGCTGGGGGCCTGCAAGGATCCTCTATCTCCTCTGCCCCTGCACGGCTGGGTCCCAGGCAATCTGTCTGCCCACCACACCTCTCTCCTGTTGCCCACCACGCTCCAGCCCCACAGTCCTCTTTCTGCTTCTTTCCCAGCCTCTGGGCTTTTGCACACGCTGTTCCTTCTGCCTGAACGCCCTCCACTGTGCTGAGAACAACTCTCTGAGACCTCTCTCAGCTGTTGCTTCCTTTGGAAAAGCCGCTGCTGCTGTCCCTCTCCCAGCTCAAAGACCTGCTGAGCCTCCTGTCTTTTTCAGTTCCCATGCCCCCAGCACTTCTCCTTGGCCTCCTTTGGCCCAATTGACAATGTCCATTCTCAATGCCTTCCCACCCAGCGCTGAGCCCCACTTGGTGAAGGCAATGCCTGTCATGTTCACCACAATATCCCCTCCCCCATCACCACGACTGGTCCACAGTGATGCTCAAAAAAGATCTGTTGGTAGGCAATGCGAAGGTGCATTCATGTCATCCTGCAGGCGGAATTCTCCACGAGTTTTGAGCAGCCTCGGGTTTCCCACCACCTCCAAATCATGGAAGACACAGGGTAAGAGCAAAGACAAGGTGGCTGTGGCCGATGTCCACCCTCTCGTGGCGTCCCTTCTCTTCTCTCCTCCTTGGGCAGGGAGACCATCGGGGTGCAACCTGGCTGGGGCGGGGAGGTGGTGCAGGGCATTGCCAGAGCGGGCCTGTCCATGGGCAAGGGACAGCGACCTCCTGGGCCAGGACATGTGACAGCTGCGCAGGCCTGGGCCCGGCGTGGCAGAGGTGCGCGAGAGCGGCCAGAAGAGGGCGCCAGAGAGCCAGGCGCGGCCCGCGGAGGAGCCCGGGCCGGCCCCGATACCCAGCTCCGCGCCGCGCGGACCCACCGAGCCCGCGCTCAGACGCCCCAGCTCCGCCGAGAAGCCGCTTGAGCCGGGTCCTTCTTCTTCCCCAAGTTCAGGCAGAGCCCGCGGAGCCATGGCCAGCCCTTCCAGCAGCTCCGAAGCCACTGGCAAGCCGCGAGGCAGGGATGGCAGTCCCAGGATGGGGGAGGAGGACGTCCCTCCCGAAGAGAAGAGGCTGGGGCTGTAGCTGGAGGGGGGAAGCGCACAGCCCGAGGACTGCGAGGACGGGGAGGACCCGCCGCTACCGGGCAGGAAGGAGACCGGCACCCAGACAGGTGGCGACGGCAAAGGAGTAAGTGATGCGGGCGCGGGGGTCCGGGAGTGCCGGGGGCTCGGGGGTGCCGGGGACGCAACGAAGGGGCGTCGGGAGGCTCCGTGGCCGTCCCCGGGTTGAAGTTGGGAGTGCAGCCTTCATTCTGAACCCATTTAGGCAGCACGGGCAGCCCTCCTCGCCATGGGCAGGATCAGAGCCCCCCCGCCCAGTCTTGGGGTTGCTCCTGGATGCTGTCTGGGAGGCTTGCTCATGGTGACATCCTCATCTCCCCGTCCACGTTACCGCATTCAGAGCTTGGGTCACCTGGACACTGAACTCAGGTGAATTTTCTCTGAGATCCCGGGAGAAGGAGGACAGTTCTTTGGAAGGTTTTCCAGGGCCGATCACGGAAAGGATGAGAAGGGAGAGGTCCTGGTCGGGGACACAATTATGGTGGCAGTGTAACGCCGGGAAACTTTATTGCATGAAGTCCCTCTCACTCCCTCTACCTCCCTCTTTTACGTGGACTCTGCCAAAGACCAGGATACCAGAATGCGGTGGAGAGGCCAAGTGTAGTGAGACCTTGGGAATGCGATTCTGGAGCCAGGCGGCTGGGGTTTGCATCCTGGTTCTGCCCCTCCTTAGCTGGCTGACATGGCACAAGCCACTTACCCTGTCTGAGGCTTACTGTCTTCAGTGGCAAATGGATCTGTCAACAGGCTCCATTGCCTGGGGTTGTTGCTGCTGAGATTAAGGGAAGCTCGTCCATAGAAGCACTTAGCGTTGTGCCTGGCACATAGTGTATGGTGGATAAGTGGGACTTAAGACTAAAACTCATGCCCTGATGTGTTTTTGCAGTGATGTTTTGTTCTGGAGTACGTCACAAGAGACAAGGTCCTTGGCTGGGCATGGTGGCTGAAGCCAATAATCCCAGCACTTTGAGAGGCCGAAGGGGGAGGATCGCTTGAGCCCAGGAGTTTAAGACCAGCCTGGGCAACATGGTGAAGCCTCATATCTACCAAAAAAAAAAAAAAAAAAAAAAAAAAAAAAGGCAGTTATGGTGGTGAGTGCCTGCAGTCTCAAGTACTTGGGAGGCTGAGGTGGGAGGATTGCTAGAGCCTAGAAGGTCAGGCTGCAGTGAGCTGTGATCATGCCACTGCACTCCAGCCTGGGTGACAAAGTGAGACCGTTTCAAGGAAAAGAGAGAGAGACAGACCCACAAAAGTCTTAAGCCAGAATCTCCATGTTAAAATGCTTTCTGGAGGCTAAAAGGATGATATGTTGATAATGAAATGTTTAAAAGGCAGAAACCCCACTGAATTGTTTGGTCCACAGAGGGAAATGGGAATAGCATGACCTGAAGGATGATGGAGGAACTGAACAGAAACCATCCTTGTTTCCTGAATCTGAACATGGCACGCTCTTTTCACGGTGCCTGTATCTGCTCAGTCCGGCAGCCCCTTGAAAAGAGGGAATCTTGATTTTCAAACTTAAAATTTGGCCCAAAGCTCACTGCTGCCCACAATGCCCGCCAGACACATTCCTCTTCCCTTTTAGTTCCTATGGGAATACTCTCTTTGAAGAACCCATGAAGCAGTGTCAGGCTGGTACGAGGATCAGCAGTGATTTCTTTGAGGAGGAGAGCCCGTTTCTTCACTCACAGGCCATGTCTGAGTGGATCAAGAAGAACAGAGTGCCCTTTTATGAGATTTTGTCTGCGTAGACCACTAGCTTGGTAAAAATGTCAAAACCATCCTCGTTCTTTAATAACAGATTATTTTGGACTTTTCTCTGCAAGAAGCAGCATGGGCATTCAGATGCTTTTAAGGATAAAATGTTCTTTCTCATCACCAGGACTGGTGCTCTGGATGGCTGAGGTTTTAATGTGACTGGATGTCCCTTGGAGTAGCTCCCAGGCTGTGCTCTTGTGGTTGGGTGGCAAGTGGTTGCTTTATTCGGTGGTGGCTAGAGGATGTTTTAGCAGATAAA
Source organism: Homo sapiens (assembly GCF_000001405.40). NCBI lineage: Eukaryota > Metazoa > Chordata > Mammalia > Primates > Hominidae > Homo > Homo sapiens. The sequence continues at coordinate 12,605,340 of NC_000008.11, read as the reverse complement.
TCGGGACCCCAGGAGCCCCTGAGTGTCAAGTCCTGCTGCAGGGCATGTGTTTATGGTGGGGAGGTGGGGGAGGGTGGAAGGGGGGGCATTGATTTCCTCCCAATATCAGAAGTTTCACAGGCTTCTTGTTTATCCACAAACACCCACCCCATTGAGAAGGCCTAGAAAATCTGCCCCTCCTCAAGCCTTTATTGACCGCTTGTGAATGATCCCAGTGTGTGTCTGACCCACAGCTCCTCCTGGAGGGAGAGAAAAGTCTCTCCTAGGTATTTGGTTGTCCACCTCAACCACTTGCTGAGTCTTCCGCAAGACCAGGCACCTCGGCAGAGATTTCTGGGTTGTCAGGCAGAACCGAGCATTCAAGGGTGATAACTCACTGGAGTCCCTGAAATCCCTGATGGACGCACCAGGTAAAAGCATCCAGGGTTGAAACCAGATCAGGAAGGTTATTGTCAGCCTGGGGCTCCTGTAGAGGTGCATCCACGTTGCAGGGATTTTCCTTCTTGCTGAGGAGAAACCTGGGTTTCTCAGCTTTGGCACAGTCAGAATATTTGTGGTGAGACCATTCGTGGTGCTGGTGGTGGGGCTGTGCTGTGTATTGAAGGATGGTTAGCAGCATCTGTGGTCTCCATCCTCTAGGTGCCATTCTACCCTCCCTGCTATGGCTACCCCAGACGTCTCCAGATGGTTTCAAATAATGTGGGGCAAGGGAGCGGTACGTGAGCAAAACCACCCCAGTTGAGAGCCATTGGTCCACAATTGTATAAATGTTTGAGGGTGAGAGTGTCGAGCTTGGGTCCCTGCTGTACCCTTTATGAGCAATGGGGTCTTGGAAAATTAATACTACTCCAGGGGCCTCAGTTTTCTCATCTATAAAATGGAGATAAATGAGATACACTTTGATAGGAAGGTTATATGGGATTCACCGAGATAATAAGACAGTACATGGAAAATGCTGCGCATAGCATTTATTTATTTTAATTTTTTTTTAAGACAGAGTCTTACTCTGTTGCCCAGGTTGGAGTGCAGTGGCATGATCTCCGCTCACTGCAATCTCCACCTCCTGGGTTCAAGTGATTCTCCTGCCTCAGGCTACCGAGTAACTGGGACTACAGGCGCGCGCCATCATGCCCATCTAATTTTTGAATTTTTAGTAGAGACGGGGCTTCACCATGTTGGCCAGGATAGTCCGATCTCTTGACCTCGTGATCTGCCCGCCTCGGCCTTCTCAAGTGCTGGGATTACAGGCGTGAGCCACCGTGCCTGGCCAAACATAAACTTACTTTCTTACCTCTTCTGCTGAACTCTATTTGCTTCTTTTCCCATACGTCTTTATCCAGAAGAGCTTTTAGCAACAAAGTTACCCAATGCCCTTCCCTAGTCTCTCCTTGCAACTGGCTCTCAGCAGGGGGTGGGAGGAAATTCTTGACAGAACCAATTTACATGACTGTTTTGGGGACCCATTCTAGTCCCAGGAGGTGTTTACACTTTTAAATTGGTTACTAGTGTCAGAATGTTTCATGAGTAAGAGCCCAGGCTCTATGTCGGATGCCCTGAATTTGAATCTCAGCATTGCCGCTTTGTATATAACCAGAGGATGGATTTGGGGACCCAATGGACCTACCGTGACATGAACTTGCACCAACATTCACCTGACCTCCAAAATGCCTATTCTGACTGGTAGACCCTAGTCTCGCCCTAGTGCCAGTTCAGAGCCTGTGTCCAGTGATCCTGCACAGGTCTCATTAGTTCCTTTTCTCCTGTTCAGTCATCCTGGCGAAAGGCTGTGTATTCCCTTGGGGGCAGGTTGGGAGAAAGACTGACAGTATAAATTTTTGGCAGTGGAGCAGAGTCCTTTCTGGAGGGGACCTGGCTTCTCATTCAGACAAGGGACTCCGGGTCTGTGAACTGGCTTATGTCTGGAAATTGACTGGGGACTGTGACTCTGTTTTTATGATTCAGATTAGACTTCTGCTCACTTGACCTAGAGCTCTTCTGCAAACACAGATCAAGTGAAATGTGGCAGGCTTCTTATCTATTTCACTTCTAGGAAAGCCACGATCAGCAGGCACCATAGGTCGCTGGGATTCAGGCTATTCTGGTTGCAGCTTTGACTCTGCTGTCTTTTATGATAACTGCATCTACCTTGCCTTTGGGGATTGAGTGCTCTGATCACTTGGCCCCAGCCCCTGTAGTGTGCGTATGTCACTTACCCTCTTTATACCTCAGTCTCCTCCTCTATAAAATGGGCATCCTCATTGCACCCACCCCCAGGGCTGCTGTGAGGTATAGATGCATTAGCATATGGAAAGTAATATAAGAGGGTCTCAAAGTCCATGTGTCGTTATCAGAATTATTTCATGATGGGGAGAGCTGGAGGAGAGAGGAAGGTGCTGAGCAGACCCACGTGCTCTCCCACCAGTGTTTCCTGAGCACCTACTATGTGCTGCCCACTGTGAGAGCTGTTAGGGTTGAAATAGGGAGCACAGCAGGGTAGGGGCTGCCATCAGGAGCTTAGTGGGGAGACCATTGTGCAACCTGGTTCCAGCGCTTGGGGTGGGGAAGCTCAGGGAGTTCAGGGGCCTAGGATCCAGGGCAGAATCATGGAAAGGACATAACCTCCCCAGCCTCTCCTGCCTCCATTGCCTCCCTGGCCTCCTCTGCTTCCCTGGCCTCTCCTACCTTCCTGGCTTCCCCTTCCACCCCGGCCTCCCCAGTCTCCCCTGTCTCTCCTGCTTTTGAGGTGGGCCAGGAGCTGCTAGTGCTCACTTAGCCTGTCCTGGGCTCTTGGTGTAGCACCTCAATGTCCAGAAAATACCCCCGAGTTCAGCTCATCACACAGTCAAGGAAGGAGCTCCACACTGACACTAAGGGTGCATCCTGGGCTCATTCATCAGGGCATGCCTCCAAAATATTTCTCCACGTCTCCTCCCTTTGCCCACCTGCATTGTCTCTGTGCCTGAGCCCCGGCTGGGGGCCTGCAAGGATCCCCTATCTCCTCTGCCCCTGCACAGCTGGGTCCCAGTCAATCTGTCTGCCCACCACACCTTCCTCCCCTTGCCCACCACGCTCCAGCCCCACAGTCCTCTTTCTGCTTCTTTCCCAGCCTCTGGGCTTTTGCACACGCTGTTCCCTCTGCCTGAACACCCTCCACTGGGCTGAGAACAACTCTCCGAGACCTCTCTCAGCTGTTGCTTCCTTTGGAACAGCCGCTGCTGCTGTCACTTTCCCAGCTCCAAGACCTGCTGAGCCTCCTGTCTTTTTCAGTTCCCATGCCCCCAGCACTTCTCCTTGGCCTCCTTTGGCCCAATTGACAATGTCCATTCTCAATGCCTTCCCACCCAGCGCTGAGCCCCACTGGGTGAAGGCAATGCCTGTCATGTTCTCCACAATATCCCCTCCCCCATCACCACACCTGGTCCACAGTGATGCTCAAAAAAGGTCTGTTGGTAGGCAATGGGAAGGTGCATTCATGTCATCCTGCAGGCGGAATTCTCCACGAGTTTTGAGCAGCCTCGGGTTTCCCACCACCTCCAAATCATGGAAGACACACGGTAAGAGCAAAGACAAGGTGGCTGTGGCCGATGTCCACCCTCTCGGGGCTTCCCTTCTCTTCTCTCCTCCTTGGGCAGGGAGACCATCGGGGTGCAACCTGGCTGGGGTGGGGAGGAGGTGCAGGGCCTGGCCAGAGCGGGTCTGGCCACAGGCAGGGGACAGCGACTGCCTGGGCGGGGGCAGGTGAGTGCAGCGCAGGCCAGGGCCCGGCTTGTCCGCGGTGCGCGCGAGCGGCCAGCAGAGGGCGCGAGAGCCAGGAGCGGCCCGCGTAGGAGCCCGCGCCGGCCGCTATGCCCAGCCCCTCGCCGGGCGGACCCACCGAGCCCGCGCTCAGACGCCCCAGCTCCGCCGAGAGGCCGCTCGCGCCGTATCCTTCCTCTTCTCCAGGTGCAGGCAGAGCCCCCCAGCCGTGGCCAGCCCTTCCGGCAGCTCCGAAGCCACTGGCAAGCCCCGAGGCAGGGATGGCCGGCCCAGGAGGGAGGAGGACGACGTCCCTCCCGAAGAGAAGAGGCTGCGGCTGTAGCTGGAGGGGGGAAGCGCAGAACCCGAGGACTGCGAGGACGGGGAGGACGCGCCGCGGCCAGGCAGGGAGGAGACCGGCACCCAGACAGGTGGCGAAGGCAGAGGAGTAAGTGACGCGGGCGCCGGGGTCCGGGGGTGCCGGGGGCGCCGGTAGGGGCGGCGGGAGTCTCAGTGGCCGGCCCCGGGTTGAAGTTGGTATTTTAGCGGCAACTCCGAAGGGCGCGGAGTGACAGCGCGTGACGGCCTCCGAGACGCCAGCTGCCGCTTCTCGGCTGTGTGGCTTTGACTTCCTGATTCTCCCACGACGTCCCTGGCTGGGAGACCCGCTGGACTCTGCGGCTGGCCAAAAAGAGAGGGGCAGCCCCGCGTCCTGGGGGCCCCTAGCAGGGGAAGTGGCGGGTGTTGCGCTGGGCATCCTGTCTGGGGCATCAGTCTGGGACCCTGTCGGTGCCTCTCACCTGGCGAGGGGCCTGTGGTGGGGTAGGGGGGAAGTCCCTGGCGCCAGGCTTGGCCAAGCCCTGCTCTGCTGGACTGCGGGCTGGCGGCGCTCACCCAGCTCCTCACCCGTCCCGCATCTTCCTGTTTTTCTTCCCTTTCTGGTTGGGCAGCAAGAGTTGAGAGGAGGCAGATGGCTTCCATCCCAGAAATCGCTCTCCTCTTTCCATCCCTACAGAGAGGGACAGAGAGGCAAAGTTCCTTGCATCCCCGGGGCGCTGTCCCTGTGAGCTCCCGGTGTCCTGCAAACGTTGGCCCCTGAATCACCGGGCCAGTGTGTGTGGGATGGGGCTGCATAGCCAGGCTGGCCTCCTGGGGTTCACTTTCGGCTTTCCTACCCCAACTCTTCCTGTGTGGCTTTGCTGGCCTTCCACTGGGGAGGCATGTGGGTTTGGAGGGCAGATGAGAGCCCGCTGGAGAACTGTACCCCTCAGTGAGGGCCGCCACCTTGATGGTTTTTAATGGATAATGGGGTTGACCTCTTTGTTCCTTCCACATGTTTTTATGTTTGACCATTTGCTCAGCTGAGCTTGTCTTAATAATTGGATTCATGGTTAATGAGCCCCACATGGGAGAGAGGGCGGCCTTCATTCTGAACCCATTTAGGCAGCATGGGCAGCCCTCCTCGCCGTGGGCGGCATCAGAGCCCCCCTGCCCAGTCTTGGGGTTGCTCCTGGATGCTGTCTGGGAGGCTTGCTCATGGTGACATCCTCTTCTCCCCGTCCACGTTACCGCATTCAGAGCTTGGGTCACCTGGACACTGAACTCAGGTGAATTTTCTCTGAGATCCCGGGAGAAGGAGGACAGTTCTTTGGAAGGTTTTCCAGGGCGGATCACGGAAAGGATGAGAAGGGAGAGGTCCTGGTTGGGGACACAATTACGGTGACAGTGTAACGCCGGGAAACTTTATTGCATGAAGTCCCTCTCACTCCCTCTACCTCCCTCTTTTACGTGGACTCTGCCAAAGACCAGGATACCAGAATGCGGTGGAGTGACCAAGTGTAGTGAGACCTCTGGAACGCGATTCTGGAGCCAGGCGGCTGGGGTTTGCATCCTGGTTCTGCCCCTCCTTAGCTGGCTGACATGGCACAAGCCACTTACCCTCTCTGAGCCTTACTGTCTTCAGTGGCAAATGGATCTGTCAACAGGCTCCATTGCCTGGGGTTGTTGCTGCTGAGATTAAGGGAAGCTCGTCCATAGAAGCACTTAGCGTTGTGCCTGGCACATAGCGTATGGTGGATAAGTGGGACTTAGTACTAAAACTCATGCCTTGGTGTGTTTTTGCAGTGATGTTTTGTTCTGGAGTACGTCACAAGAGACAAGGTCCTTGGCTGGGCATGGTGGCTGAAGCCAATAATCCCAGCACTTTGAGAGGCCGAAAGGGGGGGATCACTTGAGCCCAGGAGTTTAAGACCAGCCTGGGCAACATGGTGAAGCCTCATATCTACCAAAAAAAAAAAAAAAAAAAAAAAAAAAAAGGGCAGTTATGGTGGTGAGTGCCTGCAGTCTCAAGTACTTGGGAGGCTGAGGTGGGAGGATTGCTAGAGCCTAGAAGGTCAGGCTGCAGTGAGCTGTGATCATGCCACTGCACTCCAGCCTGGGTGACAAAGTGAGACCGTTTCAAGGAAAAGAGAGAGAGACAGACCCACAAAAGTCTTAAGCCAGAATCTCCATGTTAAAATGCTTTCTGGAGGCTAAAAGGATGATATGTTGATAATGAAATGTTTAAAAGGCAGAAACCCCACTGAATTGTTTGGTCCACAGAGGGTAATGGGAATCGCATGACCTGAAGGATGATGGAGGAACTGAATAGAAACCATCCTTGTTTCCTGAATCTGAACATGGCACCCTCTTTTCACGGTGTCTGTATCTGCTCAGTCCAGCGGCCCCTTGAAAAGAGGGAATCTTGATTTTCAAACTTAAAATTTGGCCCAAAGCCCACTGCTGCCCACAATGCCCGCCAGACACATTCCTCTTCCCTTTTAGTTCCTATGGGAATACTCTCTTTGAAGAACCCATGAAGCAGTGTCAGGCTGGTACGAGGATCAGCAGTGATTTCTTTGAGGAGGAGAGCCCGTTTCTTCACTCACACGCCATGTCTGAGTGGAACAAGAAGAACAGAGTGCCCTTTTATGAGATTTTGTCTGCGTAGACCACTAGCTTGGTAAAAATGTCAAAACCATCCTCGTTCTTTAATAACAGATTATTTTGGACTTTTCTCTGCAAGAAGCAGCATGGGCATTCAGATGCTTTTAAGGATAAAATGTTCTTTCTCATCACCAGGCCTGGTGTTCTGGATGGCTGAGGTTTTAATGTGACTTGGTGTCCCTTGGAGTTGCTTCCAGGCAGTGCTCTTGTGGTTGGGTCGCAAGGGGTTGCTTTATTCGGTGGTGGCTAGAGGATGTTTTAGCAGATAAATCGGGACCCCAGGAGCCCCTGAGTGTCAAGTCCTGCTGCAGGGCATGTGTTTATGGTGGGGAGGTGGGGGTGGGGGTGGAGGATGGGGGCATTGATTTCCTGCCAATATCAGAAGTTTCACAGGCTTCTTGTGTATCCACAAACACCCACCCCATTGAGAAGTCCTAGAAAATCTGCCCCTCCCCAAGCCTTTATTGACCGCTTGTGAATGATCCCAGGGTGTGTCTGACCCACAGCTCCTGCTGGAGAGAGAGAAAAGTCTCTCCTAGGTATTTGGTTGTCAACCTCAACCGCTTGCTGAGCCTTCCCCAAGACCAGGCACCTTGGCAGAGATTTCTGGGTTGTCAGGCAGAACCGAGCATTCAAGGGTGATAACTCACTGGAGTCCCTGAAATCCCTGATGGATGCACCAGGTAAAAGCATCCAGGGTTGAAACCAGATCAGGAAGGTTATTGTCAGCCTGGGGCTCCTGTAGAGGTGCATCCACGTTGCAGGTATTTTCCTTCTTGCTGAGGAGAAACCTGGATTTCTCAGCTTTGGCACCGTCACAACATTTGGGGTGAGACCATTCGTGGTGGTGGTGGGGGGGCATCCTGTGTATTGTAGGACGGTTAGCAGCATCTGTGGTCTCCATCCTCTAGGTGCCATTCTACCCTCCCAGTTATGGCTACCCCAGATGTCTCCAGATGGTTTCAATGCTGTGGGGCAAGGGAGTGTTATGTGAGCAAAACCACCCCAGTTGAAAGCCATTGGTCTACACTTGTATAAATGTTTGAGGGTGAGAGTGTCGACCTTGGGTCCCTGCTGTACCCTTTATGAGCAATGCTGTCTTGGAAAGTTAATAGTACTCCAGGGGCCTCAGTTTTCTCATCTATAAAATGGAGATAAATGAGATACAGTTTCATAGGAAGGTTATATGGGATTTACTGAGATAATAAGACAGTACATGGAAAATACTGGGCATAGCCTTTATTTATTTAATTTTTTCTTAAGACAGAGTCTTACTCTGTTGCCCAGGCTGGAGTACAGTGGCATGATCTCTGCTCACTGCAACCTCCACGTCCTGGGCTCAAGTGATTCTCCTGCCTCAGCCTCCAGAGTAGCTGGGATTACAGGTGCCCACCACCACACCTGGCTAATTTTTGTATTTTTAGTAGAGATGGGGTTTCACCATGTTGGGCAGGCTGATCTCAAACTTCTAACCTCAGGTGATCCGCCTGCCTCGGCCTCCCAAGTTGCTGAGATCACAGGTGTGAGCCAGCACACTGGGCTTGTCATCGCATTGTAACACAGACAAAGCACAAAATACGTGGACAATATCTTTTTACATTTGGCTTGTCTAGACTCCATCCTCCATCCCCTCGTGCACTGGTGTGGTGCAGACCAGAATATCGCTCACCTAGACTGCAGAGTGGATTTGGGTGGCATCTTGGCTTTCTGCACAAGACTTGCCTGCTCCCCACCACATCCCCCTGGTTCTCAGGGTTCAGGATTCCAGGAGGCCGGGATGTGGGTAGGCAGGTCAGGTGGCCCACCCAGTTCACTCTCACACTGGGGACCTGCAGAGCCAGCTCCCTGAGACAGGGTGTTTTGACCAACATCTGATTTTTTTGATTTCCATTTGAGCACAGCTGGACTACACAGGCTGAAGCTCTCTCTGCCGAGATATAGATATTTCCCTGGCAATGATCTTTCAAGTTGACATGAAGACATGGCCATCCGCTGGAACATCGTGGGTCTGCCGTAGTGCTCTTGTAATTTGTGAGGCAGGCTCCTGATGAATGCAGTGCGTAAGTGGGAAATGGTAGGATGTTCTCCCATCCTCCCCTTGCCGAAAGTGCTGCCTGCGCAGGTTGGTGGACGGTCCTTTGAGCAGGAAGAAGACACGGAGCACATTCCTGTTAGCTATGACAGAGAGGGGCAGGGTACACACTGGACATTTCAAGCCCCTGTAGAGAAGCAAGTCTTACTGTGCTGGGAGTTCTTGTGGAGTGGGGGCTGTGTTGCCCTGGGCTTTAATTATTTCAGGAACATTTAACCACAGGGCCAGCAGGCTGGATCTTGATATGTGTTTCTTAGTTGGAAAGATTTTGGACCATAGAGAAATGTCTTCTCAATTCTTTTAATTTCATTAAGGTGGTCATTTTTCTTCTTGTGGCCTCTGGAATGTGACACAGAACTCAAGGGACAGGAAGGAGATGAGTTGGAGGCTGGGACAGGGGTCCCTGCCAGGGATGCTGGTGACTCACGTGACGGTGTTGATGTGTGGAGTCCGGTGCCTGGTTTGGGGAATGTTCGTGGGATATGTTCCAAAGGACTGACAGACCTATCAGGTACTGGAGGTGAATGGTCAAGTCTGATCTCAGGGCTGACAGTGTCAGGCAAGGACAGGAAGTTGGCATTGGTCTCATTGGCTGAGGTTGTTGGGACCCAGGGGGCAATGTGTGCCAGGACAGATGGGTCTGGGGCTAGGAAGGCAGGTTTGGGCTGGCGACCCGGGCATGGGAGGCATCCCAGGTAGACAGTGGTTGAGGCTGTGGAAATGACCGCGATTGCCTGGGATGAGAGTGGAGACAGACAAGATGGAGGTTTTGCTTTAAGCCTGGGGAGCCCACCTCCCAGGTTCAAGCGATTCTCCTGCCTCAGCTTCCCAAGTAGCTGGGAATGCAGGTGCGTACCACCATGCCTGACTAACTTTTGTATTTTTAGTAGAGATGAGGTTTGGCCAGGCTGGTCTCAAACTCCTGACCTCAAGTGATCGGCCCACCTTGACCTCCCAAAGTGCTGGGATTACAGGCATGAGCCACCATGCCTGACCATTTTTAAATATTAATTTTTATGCAATATTTTCAAACACATTTTACTGTACATTGGAAAAGTCAATCATGATTTGAAAACTTTATAAAAATCTAATCAAATATCAATTAACCATTTAATTGTGGATAAGTAAGGAGACTATTTTGACCAAAACATGTTAGAACAATTACCACTTATAGAAATAATCTGTGTTTTAATGTTTTAGTTGAATTAAACAATCTTTTATATTCTGTCCAGGTGCAGTGGTTCACACCTGTAATCCCAGCACTTTGGGAGGCCGAGGCTGGCGGATCACCTAAGGTCAGGAGTTCGAGACCAGCCTGGTCAACATGGCAAAACTGTCTCTACTAAAAATACAGAAATTAGCCAGGTGTGATGGCACACACCTGCAATCCCAGCTACTTGGGAGGCTGAGGCAGGAGAATCGTTTGCACCTGGGAGACAGAGGTTGCAGTCAGCCGAGATTGAACCACTGTACTTCAGCCAGCCTGGGTGACAGAGCGAGACTCTGTTTCAAAAATAAATAAATAAATAAAATAGAATTCTGAATTTTATTTTTAATAATTATTTTTGTAAAGAGAATGTCTTGTTTTTTGGAGTTGTTGAATTTATTGAATTGGCAAAAATTATGTACAAGAGGGTATACAACATGATGTGATTGAGGTATGTATACATTATGAAATGGCTAAATCAAGCTAAATAACATATCACCTCCCAGACTTACTTTTTGGGGTGAGAACACTTAAACAATCTACTCTCTTAGTGATTTCCAAGTGTATGATATGTTGTTATTAACTATAGGTACCTTGTTGTCCCATGGATCTCCTGAACTTATTCTTCTTCTCTAAAAATGACATTCTGTGTCCTTTGGCATCTGCCCACTTCCCCACCCTGGCAACCATCATTCTACTCTGCTTCTGTGAATTCAACTTTTTTCTTCTCTTTTTTTTTTTCTTTTTTTTGAGAAAATCTCCTTCTATTGCCCAGGCTGTAGTGCAGGGTTGTGATCATGGCTCACTGCAGCCTTGACGTCCCAAGTTCAATCAATCCTTCCACCTCAGCCTCCTGAGTATCTGGGAGTACAGGCATGCACTACCATGCTCCACTAATTTTTGTATTTTTTGTAGAGATGGGGTATTGCTATGTTATGCAGGCTGGTCTCGAACTCCTGGGCTCAAGCAATCTGCTGGTCTCAGCCTCCCAAAGTGCTGTGATTACAGGCGTGAGCCACCATGCCTGGCCGAGTTCAACTTTTTTAGATTCCACATGTAAGTGAGATCATGTGGTATTTGTCGTTCTGTGCCTGGCTTATTTCACTTAACATAATATCCTCCAGGCTCATCCATGTTGTCTCAAATGGCAGGATTTCCTTCTTTTTGAAGGCTGAATAGTATTCCATTGTGTACATACACCACATTGTTGCTGGAAGTTTAATGGAGGCCAGTTGGGGGAGGATGGGGAGAAGATTCACTCTAAGTCTAGATGCTCCAGTACCCACCCAGGATGTGTGCAAGGAAGTGCAGGATGCTCCTGGTCCTGCAAACTGTGGTTTGTGGGACTCCAAAGCCCCTATCCTTCCACGATGCTTTCTGTCCTGTTATCACATTTCCTTGGAGGAGAACCCAGCCTTGGTGGAGAGCCCTGCTCTGGCTTTGTCCCTCGGCATGAGATGGCGAAGGATGCTGCCGCTGGGAGACCCTCACATCTGCACACTGGGGGCTGTTTGCCTTCTCCATTCCTCCTTCAAGTATCTGAGCAGCTCCTGTGTGTCAGCTGCTGGTCTACAAGATGGATGGGTCCTTGGAGATCACCCTGTAGCAGAGGAGGCAGGCTATAGCCCACAGGCCAGAACCAGCCCCCTGCCTGTTCACACAAATAAAGTTTTATTGGAACACAGCCACACCCATTTCAGTACCTATTGTCTGTGGCTGCTTTCCTGCTACAATGGAGAGTTGAATATTTGGGACAGAGACCTATGGCCTGCAAAGCTCAACTATTTACCATCTGGCCCTGGAGAGAAAGGAAAAAAATGCTGATCCTTGTACCCCGACAGTCTTAGGTTAAGAGGACTTCGTAACACTCTGACGTCCCAGGCGGCCATGAGTCCAGCCACCCTTGAAATGTACACAAGTCTGGGCTGAGGTTGCAGCAGGTGAGGCCCAATTTTGCAGGTCTTTGGTATCAGGGGCACAACCCAGGATTTTGTGTGGGGTTTCTTCCTCACTGTGGCTGGGCACTGGGCAAGGGAGCTTTCTGATTTTTGTATGGGGAAGAGAAAGGAGGGAGGAAATGGCAACTTGTTGCCCTGTTCTAACATTTTCCTAAGATGGGTCTCCAGGCCAGGGCTTGGGATCTCACCTTGCACAGCTTACAAAACCCAGTGAGGCCGGCTGTCTTGGCGCTGCCACTCTGAGGGATGGAGCCCGCAAATGACTAGGAAGGGAGATAAAAGAATGGTTTCTGCAAGCACAAGAAGTGGCGTTATTGAAATTAACATTTCCCCCAAGTTTTACAATGTCTAGGCATGCATATTTAAGTGTCTGCCTCAAAAGCTCATGCTAATAAGGAGATGGTGCATTTAATTTCCTTTTTTTGTTCTCTGAGCAACATGCAGCTTCCTGCACAGCCCTCCTTGCAGGCAACTGCACTGAGGTGACAGTCCTCCTGGCTGCCAGCACAGATCCCCAGGGCCTCTGAGAGCCCTGTATTCTGGGGGCAGTCTTTCACTTTCTATTCGGCCCCAGCTGGAAGGGGGCAGTTTAACCACAGCCCAGCACAGGTCTCCCGCCTTAGCTTCTCTAAGGAGTCTGGCTCCCTCTGACCCTCTAGACCTCACCAGCTGAGGATCAGAGCCCCGGGGCAGGAGCCAGGGCCAGGGGGCATTGGGGGGTGGTTTGAGAGTGCAGCTCTGGAGGGGGGCAGTGCGGGCCCAGGAAAAGCTGCTCAGGGGAGACTGCAAAGAGATGGCAGAGTTAGGACAAGAGGGTTGGGCATGGTGGCTCACATCTGTAATCCCAGCACTTTGGGAGGCCGAGGTGGGCGGATCACCTGAGGCCAGGAGTTTGAGACCAGACTGGCCAATATGGTGAAAACCTGTCTCTACTAAAAATACAATAATTAGCCGGACATGGTGACACCTATAATCCCAGCTACTCGGGAAGCTGAGCCACGAGAATTGCTTGAACCCGGAAGGTGGAGGTTGTAGTGAGCTGAGATTGTGCCACTGTACTCCAGCCTGGGCAACAGAGCAAGATTCCATCTCAAAAAAAAAAAAAAAAAATAGGACAGGAGGAGGAGGGAAGAGAAGGGAGCTGTGGGGCAGCGGCCAGGACCTTAAAGGCACAGAAGAGGAAGCTTGGATTTCCAATTCCAAAGGACATGAGGAAAATTCACACACCTTTATTTAACCTGCTCCAGGTGAGGCTGGGTTTTGTGTATTTTCCTTGTTTTACTTTTCCTTGTGTTCAGGCTGTTGTAGAAACAGGTACACAGGGGCTCTGTGTGGCGCCCTGTTCTAGTTGCCTTCAGGAAGCATGGGGTGCCCTGGCCTTGGCTTCGTGTCCCCCTTTCCTCCTGCCACCCCTGACTCTGCCCCCCACCTGGTCCCTCAGAACATCTTCCTGGAAGGGCCTGGCCAGGGCTTGTGTCCTTGCTAGTCTCTGGGGAGGAAGACTCTGTGGCTTGAAAGGCTGTCGGCTTAAGTTGCAAGGTGTAGGTGCCTGGGAGGGCATGTGCACGGCCCTCTTGACTGATCCATTCATGTTTTCCTTTTTTGACTCCGTTCTATGTTGTCCTGATGGAGGGGTAAGCCCCTGCCTTCTGCCTTTCCTGCCTTGGACTCTTGCAATTGGGCCAGATGAGAGGGTCCATGTGGTCTGAGAATTCAAGCAATGCAGGCCAGGCATGGTGGCTCACACCTGTAATCCCAGGACTTTTGGAGGCTAAGGTGGGCAGGCCAGGAGTTTGAGACCAGGTGGCCAAAATAGTGAAACCCTGTCTCTACAAAAAATACAAAAGTTAGTCGGGCTTGGTGGTGCATGCCTGTAATCCTAGTTATTTGGGAGGCTGAAGCAAGAGAATCCCTTGAACCCAGAAGGAGCAGGTTGCAGTGAGGAGCAGGTTGCAATGAGGAGGAGGTTGCAGTGAGGAGGAGGTTGTAGTGAGGAGCAGGTTGCAGTGAGGAGGAGGTTGCAGTGAGGAGGAGGTCGCAGTAAGGAGGAGGTTGCAGTGAGGAGGAGGTCGCAGTGAGGAGGAGGTTGCAGTGAGGAGGAGGTTGTAGTGAGGAGCAGGTTGCAATGAGTAGGAGGTTGCAGTGAGGAGGAGGTTGCAGTGAGGAGGAGGTCGCAGTGAGGAGGTCGCAGTGAGAAGGAGGTTGCACTGAGGAGGAGGTTGTAGTGAGGAGGAGGTTGCGGTGAGGAGGAGGTTGCAGTGAGCCGAGATTGTGTCCCTGGACTCCAGACTGGGCAATAGAGCGAGACTATGTCTCCAAAAAAAAAAAAAAAAAATTATATAGAAAACAGAAAGCAAAACTACCTCTTGATTTGCTTTTCTTGATCTTGCATCTCAGAGGTAACACTGGGAAGGGTTGGGGTATACCTCTCCCCACCTTTTTCTTTGATTTATTTTTATTTTTTATTCTACGTTCTGAGATACATGTGCAGAATGTGCAGGTTTGTTACATAGATATACATGTGCCATGGTGGTTTGCTGCACCTATCAACCCGTCATCTAGGTTTTAAGCCCCGCATGCATTAGGTATTTGACCTAACGCTCCCCCTCGCCTTGTCCCCCACCCCCGATGGGCCCCGGTGTGTGATGTTCCCCTACCTGTGTCCATGTGTTCTCATTGTTCAACTCCCACTTATGAGTGAGAACACACCGTGTTTGGTTTTCTGTTTCTGTCCACAGCTTTTTCCTCTGTGCACACAAGCACATGTATTTGCACATAAGTGTTTATTGTAATCTTTTTAAAAAAGTAAAAATGCAATAATGCTATATTTATTCTTTGGAAAGCCTGTTTTTCAGGCAGCATGTCTTTGACATTGTCTCACGTTGGAACCTGGGTACCACCTTCTTCTCCCTGCAGTTATTCTGACGTGTGGATGCACCACGCTTCGTTTAACCAGCCCTGCACCGAGACGTCTTTGGAGGGTTTCCGCCTTTTCCCAATCACAGACGGTGTTCTGATGAATTTCCTCACACATATCACTTGGTGCTCTGTGCCTGCATTTCTGTGAGATGTTCCTGGAGGTGGGCTGTCTAGGTCAGAGGGGGATCTGTGCTCAATTTGCATCCTGTGCAAAACTCCATCCGGTCATCCAGCTTCCCAAGGGCTCACATGGTACTGTCCTCTGTAGACATCATCTTCTGCAGATGATGGCATGACAGCCCCTCTTTCTTTTACTCACACCAGTCTGCACCCTGGTGTCCTGGGGGGTCCAGCCCCTACCTGCTTGTCTGCCTCCACCCCACAGTGCCCCCAGCCCCTGCTAACAGGGACACTGGCTTCTGAGCTCTGGCAGACTGCCTCACTCTGGAGAAGTTTGCTTTCTCAAACATTCCTGGCAATGTTACTGCAAATCTCGAGGCCTGCATTTGCCTTCTTCAGGCCTCAGTTTCCTCAAAAGTAAAATGGGGATAATGTGATGCTACTGTCTGCATCCTAGAGCTGCCATGAGGTTTCAGTGAGATCACTGTTGAGAGCACGTTCATAGCGCCGGCCTTGTGCGCAGTCAGCACGTGTGGGGCAGGGCTGTTGCTGATAGGTGGTTGACTGTCATTGCTAGACTGTGGCTTTACCAGGGTCAATGTCTTTAGTGCCGAGCCCAGAGCCACCCCTAGTACCTGCTGTGTTTATAGAGTGATTGAGTGTCAGGGTCAGAGACTGGGGCAATGGCAGCAGAAACAGAGGAAAGAAGTGGGGCTTCTAATAGTTCCTGCACCAGTGGCCTTTGAGATGAAACCTTCTTGCCAAGGTCTGGGACTGTGCTGTTTGTTCTAGGCCCGAGACTGGAAGCTAGGCCTGGCTACAGTCCTAGCTGAGCTGGGGAATTGCAGGACAGCATCCTGCTTCATTAGGACACCTCCAAGCCCAGCTTAGACGTGGATTCCAGGTGACCCCCTGTTTACTCTGAGCCCAGACAGAGGACAGAAAAGTGTGCAAGGGTCTGGACCCTCATCACAGCCGTTGACTCTGTAAGGCATATGGGTTTGTGCACGTGTGTGAGCACGGCCGTGTCTTCTCTGTGAGTTTCAAGCTCGAGGTTGTGTTTATGCAGGGTTAGGCTTGCCAGGTAAAATACAGGAGGTCCAATTAAACCTGAACTTCTCATTAACCTTTTTTTTTTTTTTTTTTTTTTTTTGGTGCAAATATATCCCATGCAATATTTGGGACCTGCTTACCCTAAAAAATGATTTGTTGTTTATCTGAAATTCAAGTTAAACTGGCATCCTCTCTTTTCACTTGCTACGTATGAGAGTTCCGTGTGGGGGTTATCAGTGTGCATTTGTGAGTTCCCATGTGAAGGACTCTCTCCAAGTGTCTGTAGGTGCCAGGATGGAGATGGACAGAGAAGATCCTCTTGGGCTGCTTTAGTGGCACCTAGAGGCTGTGGGGTTGGACACTTCAGCCCCAGGGACCTGGGCAGCACTGTCCAGCACTTGCCTGCTCCTGTCTTCTCCACGGGGGCTGACTTCCCTGACATCTCTCTCCAAATACGGTGGCAAGAGCTATCCCATCTGCCCCCATCTGGAGCTCGGCATCCCAGCCAGACAAGATGGCAAAGTGTGCAGATGGTTGCAAAGCTTTCCCCAGCTCCTTCTGCAAGGGGCCTGCAGATGAAAGGGAAGCCCTCATCCTCACCACCTCCCCCTTCCAGAAAACCCAGGCAACAGCCACCTCTGAATGCTGCTTTAGAAGCTTCTCCCTCCTGGTGATTAAACCACCCCAAACAATAAAGCACTGCCTTTCCACCATAGGCTTGTTCACATGCACGCAGCCAGTTGTCTTGGATCCGCCCCTGTGCCTGATTCATCAGGGTGAGGGGTTCTCCTCTGAGGTGCTTGCAAAGAGCTGCTTAATTTTCATGTGAAAGACTCTCTGTAGAAACCAGGCCCAGCTTTGGAAGAAAGCCCTTTCTCCCCCTTTAGCAAATTCGGTGTCATTTTTTTTTCTTTTTTGAGACGGAGTTTCACTTTTGTTGCGCAGGCTGGAGTGCAATGGTGCAATCTCAGTTCACTGCAGTCTCTGCCTCCTTGGTTCAAACGATTCTCCTGCCTCAGCCTCCTGAGTAGCTGGGACTACAGGCACCCACAACCACACCCAGCTAAATTTTTTTTTGTATTTTTAGTAGAGAGGGAGTTTCACCATGTTGGTCAGGTTGGTCTTGAACTCCTGACCTCAGGTGATCCACCTCGGCCTCCCAAAGTGCTGGGATTACAGGCATGAGCCACCACGCCTGGCTGGAATTCTGTGTCATTCTGCATACTTATCATGACTTCAAGCATCCAGGACTCTGTCCTGGGTATCCTGAGCCTGAGGGTGTATGTGTGTCCAGCTGGCTTGGAGGTTGTCTACAGACAGGTTGAACTTGGCCTCTGAATGCATGGCAGCCCCATGTGGGAAATACCACCAAGGAACCTCATCGTGTGCTTTTAGGAGATAGTTTCTATTTAGTCATTGCTGAATCTGTTACAGACAGGGTCTCGATTTCTTGCAAGTCCTGTATGAGGTCGGTGCTGTGATTATCCATATTTTCACTTGCTCTCTCTGGCCTCTTTCAGGCTCTTGCACTTCCTTTGTTTTCTTTCTGCCATAGGGTCTTTGCACATCCTGCTCTTTCTGCCTGAAAAATTTTCCCTCTCCCTGCTTCTTCACCTGGTCACGGTCTCATCTGACACTGGAGTCACTATATCCTCAGGGACTTCTGGCCACACTGACTCAGTCCCAGTAACCCCCTGTTATCTGCTTTCATGACACCAGCTGCCTCTCTGTGGTAGAAACTAGCTCAGCTATGGCTTCCTATTTCTCTGCGTGTCATCCTTCCCCTTCAAGACTGTGGTCACCATAAGGGCCAGGGACGTGCCTGTTCTGATTCTCATTTGTGTCTCTGGTGTTTAGTATATGCTCACCTAGAATTTGATTAATGAATGACAACAT